>NC_000004.12:188012290-188315320 GCF_000001405.40 Homo sapiens | reverse complement strand
GAAACAACATGAAATTAACATTTGGAAAATTACAATTGAGCTGTACTATATGCTTCTGGTCTGTCCTGTTCTTGAGTATGAATTGCAAATGGATTACCTTCCTGAAATTAAATTCGATATCACAAAATATTATAGAAAAGTTCTTGCTTCTCCATGTAAATTTTAGATTCCTTCAAAATAGAGTTGTTATTTATTTTAAAAAATCTTGGTAGCATTACAGATAAAATGTTACTTGTGGAAAGTACTAAACAGGTACAAATAAACAAGGTTGTCCAGTCACTTGTAGAAGCTTCATATTTAACTTCAAATAGAAGAATTTGTGACTTTTCTTCAGTAAAGATTTCAAATAACCATATAATCAAATCACTATATCCATTTTTTCCTCAGAGATCAATAGGTTAATAAACTCTATTGGCCCACATAAATAAATAAATAATTTTAACAAAAGTTTAAAAATAAATACTATTTTTTTCCTTGCAACTTTAGAAAATACAGATAAGCAGTGAATAAATAAAACTGACAATTGCTGCAGATTAAAGACTTAAATATAGGATCTAAAAATCATAAAAATCCTAGAATAAAACCTAGGCAATACCATTCAGGACATAGGCATGGGCAAAGACTTCATGACTAAAACACCAAAAGCAATTGCAACAAAAGCCAAAATAGACAAATGGGATCTAATTAAACTAAAGAGCTTCTGCACAGCAAAAGAAACTATCATCAGAGTGAACAGGCAACGTACAGAATGGGAGAAAATTTTTGCAATCTATCCATCTGACAATGGGCTAATACCCAGAATCTACAGGGAACTGAAACAAATTTAGAAAACAACAACAAAAAAACATCAAAAAGTGGGCAAAGGATATGAATAGACACTTTTCAAAGGAAGACATTTATGCAGCCAACAAACATATGAAAAAAAGCTCATCATCTCTGGTCATTAGAGAAATGCAAATCAAAACCACAATGAGATACCATCTCACGCCAGTTAGAATGGTGATCATTAAAAAGTCAGGAAACAGGCAGGGAGCGGTGGCTCACACCTGTAATCCCAACACTTTGGGAGGCTCAGGTGGGCGGATCAAGAGGTCAGGAGTTCGAGATCAGCCTGGCCAACATGGTGAAACCCCATCTCTACTAAAAATACAAAAATTAGCCAGCCGTGATGGTAAGTGCCTGTAATTCCCGCTACTCGGGAGGCTGAGGCAGGAGAATCGCTTGAACTGGGAGGCAGAGGTTGCAGTGAGCCAAGATCGAACCATTGTACTCAAGCCTGGGCGACAGAGGAAGACTCCGTCTCAAAAACAACAACAACAACAAAAAGTCAGGAAATAACAGATGCTGAAGAGGTTGTGGAGAAATAGGAATGCTTTCACACTGTTGGTGGGAGTGTAAATTAGTTCGGTCATTGTGGAAAACAGTGTGGTGATTCCTCAAGGATCTAGAACAAGAAATACCGTTTGACCCAGCAATCCCATCACTGGGTATATACCCAAAGGATTATAAATCATTCTACTATAAAGACACATGCACACGTATGTTTACTGCAGCACTGTTCACAATAGCAAAGACTTGGAACCAACCCAAATGCCCATCAATGACAGACTGGATTAAGAAAATGTGGCACATATACACCATGGAATACTACGCAGCCATAAAAAAGAATGAGTTCATGTTCTTTGCAGGGACATGGATGAAGCTGGAAACCATCATTCTCAGCACACTAACACAGGAACCGAAAACCAAACACCACACATTCTCACTCACAAGTGGGAGTTGAACAGAGAGACATATGGGCCCAGAGAGGGGAACATCACACACCAGGGCCTGTCAGGCGGTGGAGGGAAAAGGGAGGGAGAACATTAGGAGAAATACCTAATGTAGATGACGGGCTGATGGGTGTAGCAAACACCATGGCACATGTATACCTATGTAACAAGCATGCATGTTATGCACATGTATCCCAGAACTTAAAGTATAAAAAAAAAAATTGACAGTTGCCTTCATGTTATATTAAGGACCAACGGATAATCAGAAAGACTTTGCCATGTGGTCTGGAGAAGAAAATCTTTTTTTTCTTTTCCAGGTCAGAAAAAGACAGAAAATCATGCAGTTGATAGGCAGGTGTTAAAGACGTAAATCTGAAGGTCTGAAGAGTTCGTCCAGGCGAATGACTTTCCCCACCAAATGCAGAGGGGAAAGTACGTGAAAAGAGGGAAGACAAGGGTGTAAAGTTCCCTTGATTTTGTCCAAGGTAAGTTTCACTTCCATTGTTCAAATCAAATGAAGTATTGAAGCAAAGTTTGCATATTTGGCAGAGGTTTTGTTTCTAATATGTTCTAATTTCTTCCACAGGGATATGTATTTCTGACAGGCTTGTCCTTTTCTAAGCAACAGGTCGAAGCCACATCAGTCCCTAAGACACTTCTCCTAGAAAACCGAGTAACTAGGCCGGGCACTGTGGCTCACGCCTGTAATCCCACACTTTGGGAGGCCAAGGCAATAGGATCACTTAAGTTCCTTCAACAGACACAATCTTTTTTTTTTTTTTTTTTCTGAGACGGAGTCTTGCTCTGTCACCAGGCCGGAGTGCAGTGGCGCGATCTCAGCTCACTGCAACCTCTGCCTCCCAGGTACAAGTGATTCTCCTGCCTCAGTCTCCCAAGTAGCTGGGACTACAGGCATGTGCCACCACGTCCAGGAGGTCTAGATTAGTCTGGGCAACATGGCAAAACTCCGTCTCCACAAAAAATAGAAAAGTTAGCCTGGCATGGTGGAGTGCACCTGCAGTCCCAGCTACTCAGGAGGCTGAGGTGGGAGAATTGCTTGAGCCTGGCAGGTTGAGAGTGCAGTGAGCTGAGATCACACAACTGCACTCCAGCCTGGGGGACAGAGCAAGACTCTGTCTCAAAAAAAAAAAAAAAAAAAAAAAAAAAAAAGAAAGAAAGAAAGAAAAGAAAAAAGAGAAGAAAACTGAGTAACTAAGTAGACACATTAACTTTCCACAGGCACTTCTGCCTGAAAATGCCAACCATGGAGGAACCAGGAAACACTTGGATATTGTCAGAAGCAAGGGTTTCCTTGGCACTCAGGCCCCTCACCTGGAGGACCAACTGGCCTCACTCTGTCTAGGCAGTTACCCGCTTCGTACTTCACCATGAAATGTGACAGCCATCGCGGGTTTCAGTGTGGAGTTGACTCTTCCTTGCTCAGAGGTATTTGAATGACTTTCTCCCTGTCTTTCATAATTTTTCAGGTTTTTGAGTGCATTCATGAAAACTGGGACTCTATGGCTTTTCGTACCCTGTCCTTAGAGTTATCTCCTCCATAATAGGTAATGACTTTGTCCCCTTTAATAAGCTCAGCCTCACCTCAGACCCCAGGACAGTCCTGCTCTTAATGAGTGAGAAATTAAAACTGTTCATGTGACACCGTTTAGGAAGCATTTATTGAGTTCCTTCAACAGACACAATCTTTTTTTTTTCACCATGTTGGCCAGACTGGTCTCAAACTACTGGCCTCAGGTGATCCGCCTGTCCCGGCCTCCCAAAGTGCTGGGATTACAGGCGTGAGCCACTGCGCCCGGCCCAATTGTTTTTATTTTGGAATCTACAGTTTAATCTGAAACATCTCATAGGATTTCTCCTTAGAATGTATCCTACACAAAGGCTAACTGTGTAAAGCTGAGGTTTGTAAAGTCCCATTGCAAATGTTATCTCTCTGGGCATACTATCACCAGCATACTCTACACTCTGCCTCACTCCTTCCTTCCCTCACTTTCTCCTTCTCATTCTGGTGTTGAAATGTTAGTAATATTTAAGAAGCCAGGACGTGAAGTAACTGATCAACCTTTTGCTCTTGGAAAACACTTCCAGCCTTGAAGCTCAAGATTCCAGGAGTCTTAAGAATTTCTTTCTTTATTTATTTTTTATTAAACAAACAATCAAACTTGGGTTTACATACATGTATCCAGGCTAAGAATACAAAAACTAATTTAAAACGTCAAGTACCTCCCCTGGGCTAAATTTTGGCTTACTTTATGCCTGTAATAATATAAATACTTTTTGAAAATTTAAAATCTAAAAATTTCCAGGCACAGCACTAAAAGCATTGTTTGCATTATCCCATTGAAACCTCGTGAATGTATCCTAGGAGGCAATATTATTACTATATCTTTTAGAGATGAACACACCAAGAGTTAGAAAAGTAAATTTAAGTATCTTTCTAATTCAGAAAAGTAAAATTAAGTATCTAGAGAAGTAAATGATGGAAACAGAATTCAATTCCAAATGTGTCTAACACCAGTGCTCAAACCATTAACTATACATATTCTGCTATTAACTTAGAAATAAAGACACACGGCTTCAGCCACTTCATAGTTGCCCAGCATTAGGCAAGTTCACTAACTTTCATTTTTTTCTCTGCAAAATGAAAACTGCAGTGACATTTACCTTCTAAGAAGGTTGCATGAATTAAATACAACAATAACATGAAATTAGATATACAGTGTATGGCTAATTGAAAATTACTGTTTTTTTAACTTAGTAAATCCAGTTGATTCCGCCGATTCAGTAGAAAAAAAATTTCATAACATCCAAAAAATAGTAAAATGAATAAAAATTTTGGGGAAAAACAAATTTCCTGAATGCAGTCTAGAAGTAACAGTTTAGCTTCTTAGTCTTACTTCCTATATTTAGGCAAATAAACTCCACTGGAAAAAAGTATGATACATTTGTTTCCAAATTTAATATTTGAAGAAAATATACACATACATATTTATTCTTTTAAAAAGGCTCCCTGGGGCCAGGCATGTTGACTCATGTGTATAATCCCAACATTTTGAGAGGCCAAAGAAGGAGGATGGCTTCGAACAGGAGTTGGAGACCAGCCTGGGCAATATAGCAAGACCCCATCTCTTAAAAAAAAAGTTTTTTTTAAGGCCAGGCTCGGTGGCTCACACCTGTAATCCCAGCACTTTGGGAGTCCGAGGCGGGAGGATCACAAGGTCAGGAGATTGAAACCATCCTGGCTAACACAGTGAAACCCCATCTCTACTAAAAATACAAAAAATTAGCTGGGCGTGGTTGCAGGTGCCTGTAGTCTCAGCTACTTGGGAGGCTGAGGCAGGAGAATGAAGTGAACCCGGGAGGCGGAGCTTGCAGTGAACAGAGATCGCGCCCCTGCACTCCAGCCTGGGCAAGAGAGTGAGACTCCATTTCAAAAAAAAAAAAATTTTTTTAAAGAGTCCTTGAAATTGTTGGATTAAAGGAACTCCTTGATGAAACAGTTCATGATATAGCATATTTATAGTGGGCTGAGTTGGTGTATAGCATGTTTACACATGAACAAAGACTCAGGTTGGAACCTGGAGAAGAACTAGGATGAAGAGCTCTATCCTCTTCCATGCATTGATCACCTGCCATGAAAGATTAGACAATTCTCAGATTTTTAACAAATCCAAATATTTTTGCCAATAAATATTTTCATTTTATTAAACTAGAAACCTTGCTAAACTGACAATTCTGAAATGGATATTATTTTGTATTTTGTAAACGAAAATTGCCAGGCTCCTGTTTTAATCTTGCCAGTCGCTGCCACAGTCCAGAGCTTGCCATAAACTCAACTTCATGTGTTCATTATAAGAACCAAAGTGATCAGACGAATCATCTTGTGTTCCAGACACTAGGGATGTTTTAATGATTAGATAGAATTTGTTGTGTGAGAAAGCAACTGATTTATCAGTAATTAACTAGAAACAATCAGCCTGACCAAAACAGTCAAACTTTTAAATTATAATTCATGTTTTCTTTTCTACATTCTGACTACATTATCAATTCAACGAATAGTACTCAAAATACACCCAAAAATTCTCTCATTTTTTTCATTGTTTACAAAAAAGAGACAGAATACCTAAGAAAGCTATCTTCCTTTACTTTCTTTTTAAAAACTTTTTAACACTGTTTTTTGTAAAAGAAAGACTATCTGGAATTAGTGTTTGGAAGTGTCTTGGATAGTTCTACCCCCACTGACAGGTGAAAATAGAAACAGCAAACCTGGGAAGCTTAGTAAAATGTAAAGAATGAACCTATTTTCTCCAGGTTAGTGTTCTTGATAATTGCACTTAGTTAAGGCTAGAACAACCTAATTGCACTTTTATTTTTGCCCACATAATTACCTTAACTGAACTCAAATCTGGCATGTTTATGGTCCCAGAATCATCTTTAAGCTAAAAATTGAACATTTTATCTTAACCTGAAAAAGTCCAATTAAGCCCCTTTGGAGATTTACATTGAATGCCAGCACTGATTTCTTTCTGTAGATATCAAGGGTGCCAGGATGTCACACCAAAGAGAGGCCAATAGTCAGCTTATTAACAAGACTGATGACCTCTACCAGTAGCTAGATCTTCCTGAGGTGAGCCTCTCAATGTAGACTGTAGTCCCATCCTGTGAGGCTGTAGGAAGATCAAGGAGGTCATCTCTCATTAAAAACAAGTTTATATGAATGGTTCAAAATACAATGATCTAAAGAACTCAACTGGCCGGGCGCGGTGGCTCACGACTGTAATCCCAGCACTGTGGGAGGCCAAGGCGGGTGGATCACTTGAGGTCAGGAGTTTGAGACAAGCCTGGCCAACAAGGCGAAAACCTGTCTCTACTAAAAATACAAAAAAAAAAAATTAGCCTGGCGTGGTGGCAGGTACCTGTAATCTCAGCTACTCAGGAGGCTGAGGCAGGAGAATCACTTGAACCTGGGAGGCGGAGGTTGCAGTGAGCATAGATCCCACCATTGCACTCCAGCCTGGGCAATAGAGCGAGATTCTGTCTCAAGAAAAAAACAAACAAACAAAAAACAACAACAACAACAAAAACTCAACTTTGGAATGACGCCAAATCTTTAAGCATTTGCGGTTAGTTACGCTTCTGTTTAAATGGTTGATCTATTGATGTAAGCAACGCAACTGAAACTCTTCTACCTCTCTGGTTTCACTTCAAAGGGAAATGCAGAATGCAAGCTGATTATTCTTACTTTCCATCCAGCTTTCTCTTTATTATTAAGACATGATTTTGTTTCCTCTAAAGCCAACATTAAGAACGGAGATTAGATTAGTGTATCTGCTAAATATTTTATCAGTGGTGGAACAAAATACTAATTAGTAGGATCCACATTTTTGTCATGTTCCTCAATGAATTTAGAATATGGACCTGTTAAATAAATTGGTCAGCAGTGTTGTCAATGTTTAAACATGGCAACACGAAAGAAGTATGTGAACCAAAAAAGCAAAACGTTATTAAAAAAAGAAAAAAAAAGTATTGTCGAGGCTGCAAAGTTGCCACGGAGGGAACCTCACAGTCAACCCTGACCGCACCCTCCCACCTCACTTGTTGGCCACTCCTTTGTGAGCTGATTCCCTGCAGATCAGGGACTACCCAAACAGCAAACATGTTCTCAGGGAACATAGCATTGAATAAACTCATTAAGACAGGCTACTCTAGTCAACTGCTAGAGTTAAACCGGAATGCAAAGTCATCAATTTGCAGCTACTTGAATACTGATTTCTTCTACTCTCCATTGTACTCAGTGTACTGTAGAAATGGAATTCATCTTCAAAATATTCATTAATCAACATGGGCTCTGAGAAAACGAAGGTAGAAATGAAACTGACCCAGTTGTCCCATATAATTGAAGTTTATGGTTACTTTTGTGTAAACATATGTGATGGTTAATACTGAGTGTCAACTTGATTGGATCGAAGGATACAAAGTATTGATCCTGGTTGTGTCTGTGAGGGTGTTGCCAAAGGAGATTGACATCTGAAGTCAGTGGGCTGGGGAAGGTGGACCCACCCTTAAACTGCCTGGGCATCATCTAATCAGCTACCAGGGTTGCTAGAATATAAGCAGGCAGAAAATGTGAAAAGAGAGACGGGCCTAGCCTCCCAGCCTACATCTTTCTCCCATACTGGACGCTTCCTGCCCTCAAACATCGGACTCTGAGTTCTTCAGTTTTGGAACCTGGACTGGCTCTCCTTGTTCCTCAGCCTGCAGAGGGCCTATTGTGGGACACTGTGACCATATGAGTTAATACTTAATAAACTCCTATATATATAAGTTCATATATATATGAACTTAGAGAACCGTGTCTGTCTGTCACTCTAGGGAACCCTGACTAATACAATGTAGAAATTTTCCCTCCCAGTCTTGAAACTTGAAAAAGGTACATTTGTCTTACCTGAGTTCCTTTAACAGGAAACCAACCATCAGGCCTCCTGGTCAAAGAAGCTGAAACTCACCACATCACAGCCTCTGGACGATGAGATGCCAGACCCCTCACCCATCACGATTGTCTAACTGATCACCTGCTGCCTGTCAACCAACTCCTCTTCCTTACCCCACCCGAATTCCTGTTTTCCATTTCTTCCCTGCTATATAAACCCCTCATTTTAGTCAGCTAGGGAGGTGGATTTAAAACTGATCTACCATCTTTTCAGCTGCAACACCCAAAATGCCTTCTTCCCTGGCAGTACACATCATCTCTGTGATTGGCTTTCTATGCAGTGAGAAGCAAGACCTCAAGATTCTTTTGTCTTGAAGAATATTGAGCTCATGCCATGGTGAAATTTGAATTAGAAAAGAAAAAAAAAACTTCTCCCTTCTCCCACAAAAGAAAATATACAGCTCTGCCAAAAGTAATGCACCTTACCAAAAAACTTCTGTGCCTACCCTGAATAGATACAAATTAGCCCCTTCTAAATCTTTGCTTTAAGCTTCCGTTCTCCGTGTACATGGCATTAGATTAAAACTTTTTTTTTCCTTTCTTTTCTTTTCTTTTCTTTTCTTTTTTTCTTTTCTTTTTTTTTTTTTTTTGAGACGGAGTCTCTCTGTTGCCCAGGCCGGAGTGCAGGGGCGCGATCTCGGCTCACTGCAAGCTCCGCCTCCCGGGTTCACGCCATTCTCCTGCCTCAGCCTCCCGAGTAGCTGGGACTACAGGCGCCCGCCACCACACCCGGCTAAATTTTTGTATTTTTGGTAGAGACGGGGTTTCACCGTGTTAGCCAAGATGGTCTCGATCTCCTGACCTCGTGATCCACCCTCCTCGGCCTCCCAAAGTGCTGGGATTACAGGCTTGAGCCACCGTGCCCGGCCAAAACTTTTTTTTCTTAAGAAAGTTTACAATGAACTTGATGGAGTTGCAAAATATTCTTTTTACTTTGGTCATATTTTGATGAGGCACTACCTTAAATTAATTGGAACTAGGTATCTCCAATTAGTAAAAGATGAATCGGTCTCTTTAAAATAAGTCACTCTTTGGAAGCCCGTCCAGTCCTGCTGTTTCTTTCTGTTTGAGCTTCACTTCCAAATTCTAGAGACATTACCTCACCACTAAATAATGACTAGATGCCTTTGAACATTGAACCCTTCCAGAGGAAGGAAGGGTAACATCCCCCAAGCCCCAATTAACAGCACAATTACCTGTTTTAAATTTTGTTAAAGGTAGAAGGAGCCATGAGAAACAGGGTTAGCCACAGTGCTGCCAATGGAGTGGGTTATAGGGAGAAACACAGTATCTTAAATTACAAAAAATCTTCCTGATTCTAACAATAGAGGAAGGAAAAAAGATTATCTATTTGGAATGGAGTTCTGCACATAAGGCTTCTGCACACAGTGCCTTTTGTTCATGAACTATGACATATTACGGTACAAAGTGATTTGGTTTTGCTTTGTATTTATTTCTATAAAAACAGATCTAGTCTTAAACCTCCTTTTCTACCACTTACTACTTTGTGTGTCTTTGAGCAGGGCATTATAATTCTCTGAGTCTCATTTTCCTGCCTATAAAGCCGAATCAAAAATTACCTAACTTGGGCCGGGCGCAGTGGCTCATGCCTGTAATAATAGTACATTGTGAGACCAACGCGGGTGGATCACTTGAAGTCAGGAGTTAAAGACCAGCCTGGCCAACATGGTGAAACCTTGTCTCTACTAAAAATACAAAAATTAGCCGGAAATCTCTTGAACCTGAGAGGCGGAGATTGCGGTGAGCCGAGATCGCGCCACTGCACTCCAGCCTGGGCAACAGATCGAGACTCCATCTCAAAAAAAAAAAAACTTACTCTTTTGAAATTTTTTTCAACCATTTAAAAATGTTCTTAGTTCAGAGGCAATATACAAATAAGCAGAGGGTTGGATTTGGCCTGCAGCCGTAATTTGCCGGTCTCTGAGCTAGAAAAATAATGTGCAATCCAAACTGGAAGGACTCTCTGGCTTATAAGTCAATGTCCATCAGGCCCACCATGATGGTAGGAAAATGGTATCATGGAAACGTGAGAGGACCTCTCTAGTGATATGTTGTGTGTCAGCTTAGACTCAATTCTGATAAAAGTTCTCAGTTTATTCTTCAGGGTAGCAATGTTTAGAAAAGAACATGCATGTAGAACTTGAATTTTACCAAATATCTTACGTTCTTACTTATAGGTGGGGCTAAACCTTGGGTATACACATCCATAAAGATGGAAACAGTAGGCCAGGCACGGTGGCTCATGCCTGTAATCCCAGCATTTTGGGAGGCCAACACGGGTGGATCACGAGGTCAGGAGTTCAAGACCAGCCTGGCTAACATAGTGAAACCCCGTCTTTACTAAAAATACAAAAATTAGCCAGGCGTGGTGACAGGTGCCTGTAGTCCCAGCTACTCAGGAGGCTGAGGCAGGGAATTGCCTGAACCCGGGAGGCAGAGGTTGCAGTGAGCCGAGATCGCGCCACTGCACTCTAGCCTGAGTGACAGAGTAAGACTCTGTCTCAAAAAAAAAAAAAAAGATGAAAAAGATGGAAACGGTAGACACTGGCAACACCAAAAGAGGAGAGAGAGGAAGGGAAGAGAACAAAGGCTACAGCACTTTCTATCAGGAACTATGTTTACTATTTGGGTGACTTGATCAATAGCAGCCCAAACCTCAACATCACACAATATACCCTTGTAACAAATCTGCTCATGCACTCCTGAATCTAAAATAAAATTTAAAAAGAAAAAGAAAAAAAAAACCTTGATTTTAAATGTCCTTCTATTAGCTATGTACCCTTGGGCAAGCCACTTAACCTTTCTACACCTTAGTTTTATCATGTGTAAAATGAGCATAATAATTCCAGTTTTTTAGAGCTGCTGTTATGATGAGAGTGTATATAAACTTAGCCATCTAATATGTACTTGCTCAATAAATTGCAGCAATTATTGCAAATTTAGATTTAGTTTCTAGAATCTATTGTTTCTCACATCAGTTCTGCTTTCTCCAGCTATTTCTTTTCTTTCTTTTCTTTTTTTTTTTGAGATAGAGTGTTGCTCTGTCACCAGGCTGGAGTGCAGTGGTGCGATCTCAGCTCACTGCAACCTCTGCCTCCCAGGTTCAAGCTATTCTCCTGCCTCAGCCTCCCAAGTATCTGGGACTACAGGTGTCCGCCACCACACCCGGCTAATTTTTGTATTTTGTTTGTTTTGTTTTTTGTTGTTTTTTGTTGTGGTGGTGGTTTTTTTTTTCTTTTTGAGATGGAGTCTCGCTCCATCTCCCAGGTTGGAGTGCAGTGGCACGATCTCGGCTCACTGCAAGCTTCACCTCCCAGGTTCACGCCATTCTCCTGCCTCAGCCTCCCGAGTAGCTGGGCCTACAGGTGCCCGCCACCATGCCCGGCTATTTTTTGTATTTTTATTAGAGACAGGGTTTCAATGTGTTATCCAGGATGGTCTTGATCTCCTGACCTCGTGATCCTCCGGCCTCAGCCTCCCAAAGTGCTGGGGGATTACAGGCGGGAGCCACCATGCCCGTCCTTTCTCCTGCTATTTCTAAGCTATCTATTAATTGTAGCAATGTCCTTATAGCTACATATAACAGGATTAACTGTTGAGATATTCATACTTTTCTTGTTCCTACTGCTACAATAGGAACTGGAAACAGTGAAAAGATAAATCTCTTAACATCACCCTCATCTCTTAAAACCTCAAGTTCAGCCAATTATTGTATTATAATGCTAAACATCAACGCTGCAAGACTGGGGGTCACATGCACCTTGTGCCATGCCATATCCTTAGCACTTGGAGCAGCACCTGGCACAAACCAGGGCTAAAAAGCTGTTTGCTGAATGAATGGAGGCGCTAAGCCAGAAACTGCAATTGCTTAAAATATGAAGATGTCTCTCATCTAGCTCACACAGTGATTCTAAAGTAATAATAATTAGCTGAAAACAAAAAAACATGAGATAGGCCCAGTGCGGTGGCTCACACCTGTAATCCCAGCACTTTGGAAGGCCAAGGTGGTTGGATCACCTGAGGTCAGGAGTTTGAGACCAGCCTGGGCAACATGGTGAAACCCCGTCTCTACTAAAAATACAAAAATTAGCCAGGTGTAAAGGGTCGCACCTGTAGTCCCAGCTACTCAGGAGGCTGAGGCAGGAGAATCGCTTGAACCCACGAGGCAGAGATTGCAGTGAGCCGAGATCACACCACTGCACTCCAGCCTTGGCGACAGGGCTAGACTCCATCAAAAAAAAAAAAAAGAGAGAGAGAGATACTTTATGTAAAAGAAATTTGAATTTTTATATTCAATTAGAACCTACAAACTCATATGACAACAGGATCTGAAGCTAAGGTATGTTTCTGTTCTAAGTGGCAGGCCTATCCATCGGCAGTAAAAACACATTGGTTTGGTTTGGTTTGGGAAAAAGAGGGAGCAGAGAGCCTGGTACTTCCTAAGCAGAAGAGAGTGGTCCAACTCAAAGAGATGGAGAGCAAGAAGACAGAGGCTTCGATGTCAAGGCCAGTGCCTGACGCCCCTATAGCATTCTGCAAGGTGGCTGCATCCCTGAAGAGGAAGGACCGTGAATGACAGAAACTGGGAACTCAGCCGAGAGTGCTCAACCTAGATGGCAGCCATTGATGAGGGGCCCCACTGAGGTCACTGAGACAGTTCTTAATGGGCCTAGAACCAGGTGCCTGGCAAGTAGTGAGATCTGTATCAGTAAAGGTATAGGTAGCTGTTGTAACAAAGTCCAATATGTGTCCAACATGTGTGTGTATATATGTTTGGGTGTGTATATTCTATATTTCCAAACATTTATTTTCTGTATATCCAAACACAATAGCAGTTCTTTATCAAATCCAAATAGCTATTCGTGATTATGCATATGACCCTTCTTCAAATGCAGATTCCTTCCTTCTTGGCTTCTCCCGCCTCCTACACTGTCTTCTAAATTTTCATCTGAAACAACTAGGCTAATGGGAAGGAATGTGCAGAACTACGTGTGAGACATTCTTTAGTTTGGGTTCTCCAATGGACAGAAGACATGGAGAGGAAGGTTTGCATGAAGTGTTTTTCTGTGGGAGCATTTATGGAATCAAGTATTTTCTGTGTCATTGAATACACTGACAGGGAAATAAAGATACTGACATAAAGCAAGTTATTCGTCTGTTTTCAGTCTTCACAATGAATAAGAAAAAGGCATGGGCTGGGCACGGTGGCTCACGCCTATAATCCCAGCACTTTGGGAGGCTGAGGCAGGCGGATCATGAGGTCAGGAGATTGAGATCATCCTGGCTAACACGGTGAAACCCCATCTCTACTAAAAATGCAAAAAAATTAGCCGGGCGTGGTGGCGGGCGCCTGTAGAGCCAGATACTTGGGAGGATGAGGCAGGAGAATGGTGTGAACCCGGGAGGCGGAGGTTGCAATGAGCCGAGATCGTGCCACTGCACTCCAGCCTGGGCAACAGAGCGAGACTCTGTCCCCCCACAAAAAAGAAAAGAAAACCGCATGCTGTAGACTGACTGTGTTAAAATCTAACCCCCGCCTGGGCGCGGTGGCTCATGCCTGTAATCCCAGCACTTTGGGAGGCTGAGGTGGGCAGATCATGAGGTCAGGAGTTTGAGACCAGCCTGGGCAACATGGTGAATCCCCATCTCTACTAAAAATACACACACATACAAAAATCAGCCAAGTGTGGTGGCACGTGCCTGTAATCCCAGCTACTCAGGGGGCTGAGACACGAGAATTGCTTGAACCCAGGAGGTGGAGGTTATAGTGAGCTGAGATTGCATTACTGCACTCCAGACTAGGAGACAGTGAGACTTCGTCTCAAAAAAAAAAAAAAAATCTAACCCCCATTTTGATAGAGGTGAGGCCTTTGGGAGGTAATTTGGGTTACATGAGGTCACAAGGGTGGGGCCCCTCAATGGGATTAGTGCCCTTCTAAAGGAGACCCCAGAGATCCCCTCAATTCTTCTGCCATGTGAGGACACAGCAAGAAGACACTGTCTATGAACCAGGAAATGGGCCCTCACCAGACATGAAGTCTGCCAGTGCCTTGATGTGGGACTTCTAGCCTTTGGAATTGTGATAAATAAATGTCTGTTGTTTATAAGCCATCCATCTATGATATTTTGTTACAGCAGCCCAAATGGAGGAAGACATGGAATGATGCATCTTTATTGAACCTGTGAAGTGACTCAGAAAAAGCCACTCAACTTTAGCTGTTTATTTCTTTTGTACAGTTATACTACTGAGTGGCCAAATAGAAAGGAGTCCCAAAAGCTAGAGTAGGAGGGAGTTTATCTTCCAAATTCCAGGACTCTCAAAAATGAATAATGGTTCAGCCTTAAGGAAGAATGTCAGACAGTCCTTAGCACATTCTGGAAGAAGAGCGTTCAGTCAGTTTGAGATATGTCTGCTGGCCAGGGAGAGAGCCTTTAAGAGCTAGGATGATCTGCTTCCACACTGCTGATTGAAGGAAAACCAGGGCTGGCCGTGTCTCATCCGTTCCAAAGAGGAAGGGAGGTGTGGGCATGCTCTACCACTAAGCAGGGAAGAAGGAGGAGGGATGGGGGCAAATTGGGTGTTTGGGGGATAAACAGGAACTGTAATCGGGGAAGGCAGTTCCAGAAGATTTTGTTACTGAAATTCTAAGTAGAATGGACTTCATTACAATGTCGTCAAGCCTGTAAAAAAATCAGGTGTCAGGATTGTTGAGTAATTATCTTAAAAGCTGGCACTGGGAATCCTGCTATCCTTTGTGGAAATTATCTTAATAAGCTGTTTGGGGTGAAAGGTGATACTCTGCAAATACGGTAGCAGGAAGCGAATAAAATAATTGAGCCTGCTGTTCTACAAATTGATAGTAACTGAGGAGGAGAATCTGAGGAAGCAGAGGGAACAGGGCACACACAGGAGAAAAATGGGAGCGGCAGAGGACAACAGGGCACTCTGAAGGACTGGACAGCTTCCCTCCTTAGAACAGTCGTTCACATCCCAGTGATAAAAATCCTCCTCTATCTCACGAGATCAAAAAAAAGGCATAGTTATATTAAACAAAGGACTCTGGTTATTTGGTTTGGTTTTGTTTTTGGTGGAAAAATCAAGGAATGGAGTGAGTTAAACATACACATAAATGCTAGAGTAGAGATAAAGGAATAACAGCAAAGAACGTAACAGAGACCAGAATGAGGGCCCAGAAATTAATCATATGGATCCCCTCCACACACACACACACACACACACACACACACACACACACACACACACTCTTATCCACAGATTTGCAGAATTATTGAAGAGGGCATTGAACTTTACAGACAATATGAAACAGAGTGAATGTTAAGGTTAAAAGAAGACTCCGAGTGACATGTAGCTTACAGGTTTTCTCATGCACTTAACACACATACACGCTGAAACCAAGTTCTACTTTCCATCTCAGATGTCTTTCGTCCTGGTATTGGCCTTTTGAATTAGGAAAATGAACTGATTATCAAACAAAGGAACTGTACTGTGCCTTGACAAACTATCAAAAACTGAAATACACTCTTCCCCGGGGCTGCCTGCTCTTAAGATGATGAATATGCCTTTAACGATGTGGTATCTTCCCGGCTTCCACCCACTGAACTCTACCCAGCGCTGCAATTGCCGCAGTCAATCCTAGGCTTTTCCAACACTTGAAATCCAGCCAGCAGGGGACTGCAATACCTCCTCTTGGAAGGTTAGCAATGAGGGATTCATCACACTACGTGTGTCAACACCCCATCATTAAAGGACCCAGTGCTATTTGCCTAGCAGTCGAGTAATCCCATTTGGGGATACTGGGATCACAGTATGTAGTGATCACAACACATAGCACAGGACCCTCTGCTATATCTGCACTGCAGAAGTAAGAAGCCAGACCCAGATTGCCCAGAAAGCTGTGATGTGTGACTGCCTAGAGAAAGACCTGCAGTCTCCCCCTAAGTGCCTGGGACATAGGACGATTTTTGTCCAACTCTCCATCCTTTGACTAACTACTCCCCAAACTACCTTTGAGTAAAAGCTGATTGTGATAGGTTTTTGTTTGGGTTTTGTTTTTTGTTTTTTGCTTTCAGTAAACTCACAAAGTGGGAACGTCAACTCAGAAGATCTGAAGAGGAAGAAACGGACCAAGTTTTTAAAATAGATTCCCATCTCTTCACAGAAAGGCATTAGATGGTAGAGAAGGGCTATTGGGAAAGATCTCTCTCTAACTCTCCAAATGGACACAGCAACCCACTTCAGGAGCTGGGGAAGTGTTGCAGTGGGGTGTCCAGTCCCCCACCTCCTCCTCTCCAGTGCCCACTCGCTGGATTCTCAGAGAAGGTCCAATCACAGGCTCATAGCCACGCTTCTCAATGGAAGTGTGAAAGAGATAAGGGTGCAAAGTGGCAGCAGCCGGGCCGGGCACGGTGGCTCACACCTGTAATCCCAGCACTTTGGGAGGCCAAGGCAGGCAGATCACCCAAAGTCAGGAGCTGGAGACCAGCCTAACCAACATGGGGAAACCCCATCTCTACTAAAAATACAAAAAATTAGCCGGGCGTGGTAGCAGGAGCCTGTAGTCCCAGCTACTCGGGAGGCTGAGGCAGGAGAATGGCTTGAAACCTGGAGGCGGAGCTTGCAGTGAGCCGAGATCGCCCCACTGCACTCCAGGCTCGGTGACAGAGTGAGACTCTGTCTCAAAGAAAAAAAAAAAAAAAGATTCCAACCCTTTTCTTAAGTGTCAGTCTGTTAAGTTGTGCTCTCAAATGGTTCCTGGTTCTTTTCATGCCCTTTCCCCAGGAATGAGTTGCTTCCCTGCAGCTGATCAAAGCTTCTTGTTAGCAATGGTTCTTAAGAAGAAATGGCCAAGAGTCTGGGTTCCCTGACCAGCCTCTCCTATCACCATGACACCGCTTCGATGTCTAAGGACACTCCAGGCAGACTCGTCAGCACCAGTGAGTCCTTCAGTTCTAATGTGTCATGTAGCAGTTTAGCTCATGAGCTGGAATGAATCATGCAGAAACTTTAAAAACCTCATGAATGCTAGGCTGAGCATCTACACTACTCAGTCCATATTTTATTTTCCCTGTCCTCTCCCAAGCGTCGCTTGATCTTTTAAAGACCCAAGACTTGAAAGAAACCCTCGGGTACATCTTACTGCACTTAGTGTACAAAATAAGAGAAAGAGCCAGAAAAAAAAGTATTATGTTATAAATATATTTATAACATTTTGTATCTGATTACTAAATTACTAAATTAATACCAATTTGTTAGAGAATTTGATAAATATGAAAACTCAAACGACATTTTAAAAGTACTCATATGGTCACATCACCTAATCTTAGTTGCTATTTGATAAATTCTTCCTTTAATTATACTCTAACTATATATTTGTTTTTACATCTTTATAAACCTTGTGCATGTACTAGTTTCAAATTTGTGCAAAGTTTTCCAAGCAAAATAGGAATGTGATTATAACTCTGCCTGAGAAAGCTATGTGTGGTGGTTGCATATATAAAACTGGATTGAAGGAGGAGAATCTGGAGTCCAAAGAATCCACATGAGGCCGGGCTGAGTAGCTCATGCCTGCAATCCCAGCATTTTGGGAGGCTGGGGTGGGTGGATAACCTGAGGTCAGGAGTTCAAGACCAGCTTGGCCAACAGGGTGAAACCCCGTCTCTACTAAAAACACAAAAATTAGCTGGTCATGGTGGCGGGCACCTGTAATCCCAGCTACTCGGGAGGCTGAGGCAGGAGAATCACTTGAATCCGGGAGGCAGAGGTTGCAGTGAGCTGAGACCGCGCCACTGCACTGCAATCTGGGTGACAGAGCAAGATTCTGTCTCAAAAACAAACAAACAAAAAATGAGAACAAAACAGGCATGGAAAAAGATTAATGCAGTAGCAATGCAAAGAAGCTGCCAGGTGAAAGAAAAATCTTTTCCAAACAAGCATTTGTCTAAGTCAGTCTTTTCTGTAGAGTTCTGAAGGAAACCAGAGGGCAGCTGTCCCAGATGAGTAGGTAACAGTTTCACAGGTAACCAATTCTCTCTCTCTTTTTTTTTTTTTTGAACTTAGGCACAGTTGTAAATAAACACTCTATCACTTATTTACCTTCAATTTTCCCATTCTTCTTCTACCAGCTTTCCTAATTTTAGCAACTAGAAAAAGAAATGTATATAAAGAATAAAATTTATGATGCCAGTGTGAAGACTTTCCTGGCTGCCTTCTAATCATTTTGACCCATGCTCCTACTTTGTATGATTTCCTAGAAATGTCACTAGAAAGTGTTTATTGTTAAGTGCTCGGATATTAGCTGTGTGCTCCTTGATGTCAGCTTACTTGATATGTTCCATAGGTGTGGCATATACACATTCTTTACTGTTTACCAAAATTGAATTGTCAAGATTTTGTATTCATCATCAAGTGGTGCATCTGACCATGTTTCTAGATTTGGGAGCAAATCTGGATTCTTCTTTGGAGGTTAAAACAATACAGTGTGCACACTAGGAAATGACTAATTGCTTGATGCATGAATGTGTTACAGCAGAGACCATCATAACTAAACATTAGCACTAATTTTTAAATGGTATATTTGAAACAAAGAGGTTTCAAACCTGTTTATTAATATAAAACAGGATAAAGGTTTGCACCTGTTCAATTAAGAGAAATTAATAGTGTCATTGAAGTGTAGTGTGAAGGTCTGCAGAGGTGAAAAATTTTTTATAACTAATAAGATGGTTGTTTAGAATTCCTTTGTGCCCTCTGAGCACCATGGGAAGGAAAAAAAAATATCACCCATATCTATGATTCCCACTGCCTCCTTTCAACTGACTTACCATGTGACTGAGTTGAGCTGATTGGCCCCCGGGGAAATGACACACACTCCCTGTTAGCCACTGCCTTCTGATGCATACTGGCATCAAAAGGCAGTGGCTAATGCCTATGGACTTTCCTGAAAAATGAGCAGTAAGAAAATTATGCAATCAGTGAGCTAAATCTGGGAAGCAAGGGAAAAATAGAAAATTGCCAGAATTCATGCCTGCTTCTTCTTTTGGAAAATAATGGAGAAAAAGAAATCCAACAAACCAATCAACAAATTTCCTATCTCATTTAGAGCTGGCAATTTCCACAGCTCCGTTTCCAACAGACAGCATGGGCTCCAGCCAGCATTTTCCTAGTCTCAACCAATAGATTGCTTTCCGTAAGCATGTATTTCATCATTCTAAGGCAACAATGTGCCTGAATTAACTTATAACTATACATAGATTCATGGATAGATTTTTCATGCTTTACCATAGGAAAAAGCAGCCCAATATGGAATTAGTTGTATTTGGCCTGTCAGAGGAGCAAAGTTTAATTCACCATAAAGAGGACAGAAAGACGTTTGTTCACATGGTCTCAGCCCCTAGACTTTTTCACTTTCTCTTGCATGTTAAGGGTTTCTTCTTGGCACCAGAAAACAAGACAACACTAGCAAATGTCTGATTAAACTAAAGCATTTTATGTTTGCCAGTACAATTTGATTCTTCTTGTTGCCATTCGTGAGTAATTTTCACTAAAAGTATTATGTTTGTAAAAAGATGTATCTTGAAAATAAAAAACATTTTTGCAATATCTAAAAATTTACTTAGTACTTTTCTGCAATGCATTGGCATAAATACTGGGCTTGTGGAAGTGGTGACATGGGTATATAAAGAGGAATAAGGCACTGATACTGCATTCGGAAGAGAGGCAAATGCAACATGAACACCAAGGAACTAGCCTACCCCAATAACAGCAGGACCGCACAGTCAGACAGACCATAGGGAATATTGCCTGACATATCTAGCCCCAGATCTCTAAATGTAAATGCTCTGTTTGGGTAAAGAGCCACCACTTCAACATCTATTATCCTGTCACTGCGTCCCAGGAGTATGGCAATGGTAGCATGTCCTCCAATACCCATAGCAGCCTGGGGATAGGTAAGTTGACAGGAAGGAAGGGGTTGTTTTCAATCTTGTTCTAGCATCATGAAGAGTGTCTGTGGCTTTCAAGCCTTTGCTCAAATGTCACCTTCCTAAATAATCCTATTTAATATAGCAAACTGCTATATTATATATCCGCTATACTGTATATCTGCCTCACAGCTGCGCTACTACCAACAGTATTTGACCTTGTGTCTTATTATTGTTTGCTTCTTCATTATACATATTGTATTGTCTGTTTCCCCCTTAGAACATACACAAAACAAGGGGAAAGACTTTGGGCAATGTTTGTGCCCTAAAAAACAGTGCCTGCCATAGAAAAGATGCTTGATAAGTATTTGCGGGAAAAGCAAAGGAACAAAGAATATTAATAATTGTAAATCATTGTGTGAATAAGCAATTTGCAATTATTAATATAGGAGTTTGGAGCAATGACTTTAATGTTAAAGACCTCGAATCCTACAGTCTAAGTTACTGAAATGTTCTACCCCTCCATGGGTCAGGAGGAATGAATGAACTCAACACATGGCATAGTCAGTGTATTGCACCCTCAGTAGATAGTAACTATTTGCTGCTTCATTATCATTCTCAGGTGGTAAACATGCTATGCTGAAGACAAACTAAATGCACCTCATTTGCAATATGATTTAGGGTAAGCCACCAAGACTAAAGAAATCCTGCTCTGCATTGTTAAGTTTATCTCATTGGAAAAAAAAAAAAGAAAAGGCAAAGAGATAATTTACTTGAACATCCCAACACTGTATAAATAATATGGTGATCTAAATGGAAAGCTTTTAAAAAGTCATTCAGCCGGGCACGGTGGCTGGTGACTGTAATCCCAATTACTCAGGAGGCTGAAGCATGGGAAAGATAACAAGGCTCCCTTCTCTCTCTCTCAAAAAAAAAAAAAGCCATATGAAAAATTTCCTTCAACCTGAAGATAACATTCATTTACTTGTTATATTATTTTCTACCATGACCACTGGGAAACCTTATTCTTCACACAGCACATCATCCTCTGTCTACTTTACAATATACAGCTCTGCCAGAAGTAATGCACCTTACCAAAAAACTTCTGTGCCTACCCTGAATAGACATAAATTAGCCCCTTCTAAATCTTTGCTCCAAGCTTCTGTTCTCCGTGTACATGGCATCTGATTAAAATTTTTTTCTTTTTTTCTTTTTTTGAGATGGAGTCTCACTCTGTCACCCAGGCTGGAGTGCAGTGGCATGATCTCGGCTCACTGCAACCTCTGCCTCCCAGGTTCAAGCAATTCTCCTGTCTCAGCCTCCAGAGTAGCTGGGATTACAGGAACCCACCACCATGCCTGGCTAATTTTTTTGTATTTTTAGTAGAGACAGGGCTTCACCATGTTGACCGGGCTGCTGTAGAACTCCTGACCTCAGGAGATCTGCCCACCTTGGCCTCCCAAAGTGCTAGGATTACAGGTGTGAGCCACCGTACCCGGCCTCCTCTCTCTACTTTTATGCTTCACATGGGCAAGAGCCTGAGACCAGTTCTTTAGGTTTCTCTTCGCAGCTTTGATCCCCACCCTCCTGGAAGCGCCAGCTCCAGCTACCTTGGAGAGAGAACCATTGCAGCAGCTATGCCTGTTGCTGGTTGAAGAAAAGAAAGCACCTCTGCTAAAAATGTAAATGTTCAGTAGTATTCTTGTATCAAAGTGGTTCTAACTGAAACTGTCCGTAAAAAGTACAAGACAGGTATATACGCACTGCTCAAAGCAAATAAAAAGAAGCATGGTCTTCTGTCGAAGTTTTCACGGACCAGTTAGGACGGCTCAGGCACCAGCATTAAATGGGGGCAAACTTTTGACTGTGGTGACCTATTTTGCTGTGTCGATCAAATCTCTTGTCATTGAAATTTATTCTGTAATGCTTTTTACAATTCAAATTTTGAATTATTCATTACATTTCAGATGTATATATGTGTGTGTGACTATCTATTGTGTAGGTTTAGCTTGTGTTTCAGGTATTGGTCATTTACATAATTTATATAGATTTACTGAATTATTCAGAAATAGAAACATAAATTCAGTGTGAAAGGTAAAGTTACATATGGGCTAACCCACAGACTTCACTACACCCAATCTAATGCAAAGTTGTGTTTTGTTTTCCGCTTTTTAATTGCCAAGTTTAAATTCACAAATCAGGTTAAAGAATGTCACCTAAATAAGTGTGGCCATAAGATCAGCGAAAAATAAATAATCAATTGCCAATGAAAGTCTCGAAGTTCTTAAAGAAAATACATTTATGATCAAATTTATGAGCCCTTATTAGAAATGTAGTTTACTTCTGTGAAAGCTAAGCAAGCAAACACGAAGATGGACTGCAGATAAGGCCACAGTATGTAAAAATCCAGGTTCTGATTCTACGTGATCCTTTGTCTAAAATATTGCAACTGTAGTTAGCCCTGTTTAACGATACAACTGTCCTTTGCATCCACACTTAACCAAATTCCTGCAATAATGTTACTAAAATGTAGCAGGAACAGAGATTTCACTTATAACAAGAGATGTCTGATTCAAGCATTTAACATCTCGCCTTTGAGGTATTTTTCTGGAGGTTTTAAACAACCATCCAGGCAGTTCCTATTTTAATTTATGTGGCTCTGTGAGTCGCCATGATTGTATTCTATAATCAGCCAAAGGTCCACCAGCTCCCTTCAAAGGTGTAACTTTCCTTTCAATGCACTGGCCATGGAGGCACGCGGACAGGCACTCAATGCCTCCTTCATCTTCATGGAAATGTCGACTTCGAGACACAGTATGCTCGTTTCTAACTTTATTCAGCAGAAATGTTTGAAACGCATTTTTAACCTTTTGCTGCATACACGGAGGTTTGGAGCAGTCCCCACTACTTTTTGTCAAATCCAGTTCCAGCCAGCCCATCTGGCCAGATTGTGTCAACACAACTGGGCGAGACTAACTTCTTGTCCTTAGATTCAACTTGAAATTCTCAATCACATGTTTATTTAACCTCTAACTCAGGAAAGAATTGGCACTGTAGGTAATGCCAATCTGATTTAATATGATTGTTGTTTAACTATATTTTACCAAAAAAATTAACACTCTGTATTAGAATTTTATGTACCAGTTATTATACATCACTGGTTTTATAGTTATATTGAATATTATTGACTATTCCTCATTAAATTGTGCTTGAACTTACTATATTTAAAATGTGGTAGTATTTCAATCTTCAAAATAAAAAATGGGTATCTATTAATAATTTACTGCAAAAGATTTATCCTCACTTTCATGTAACACTTTTTGTTTGCTTATAACACTTGCCTTCCATTTAATTTTGGAAATGTTTCTAACTCAACTGAGCTGAATTGTTTATTTATTCATTTTCATGAATCAGTTGTAATCGTGTGGAGTTTATCAGTGGGTAAGTATTGTAGATAGTGTAAATTATGTATCCTGCTCGACATTAAATCCACTATTATTAATATTTTTACTTTATTTTACAGAAAACTATGTTATATTAAAAATAATTTTTAAAAGAGGAAGTTACGTTCAAGTTACGGAGCTATGTCTGAATTTGACATTTTTCTCTTTCCCCAGATACCACAACCACATGACCCTTACTTTCGTGGTGTAAAGACTGAGCACAAAGTCAGCTCCACTGGAGGAAAACGCTCTTTACTGGAACCTTTCTACAACACTGCCAGTTCAAGCAAACAGATTGCTTATCCTTAAATAAGTGTTTTTTTTAAAAAAAGAAAAGGACAATCTGTAAATATAAATTACAAAATTACAAAAGAATAAAAGCGGGGGGGCTATAAGTCCTTTTCACATGTACCATTCCTTTTTTTTTTTTTTTTTTTTTTTTTTTTTGACAGAGTCTCCCTCTGTCGCCCAGGCTGAAGTGCAGTGGTGCAATCTCGGCTCACTGCAAGCTCCGCCTCCCAGATTCAAGCCATTCTCTTGCCTCAGCCTCCCGAGTAGCTGGCACTACAGGCGCCCGCCACCACGCCTGGCTAATTTTTTTTTTGTATTTTTCGTAGAGACGGGGTTTCACTGTGTTAGCCAGGACGGTCTTGATCTCCTCACCTCGTGATCCACCCGTCCCGGCCTCCCAAAGTGCTGGGATTACAGGCATGAGCCACCGCACCTGGCCATGTCTGGCTAATTTTTGTATTTTTAGTAGAGACAGGGTTTCACCATGTTAACCAAGCCAGTCTTGAACTCCTGACCTCAGGTGATCCACCTGCCTCAGCCTCCCAAAGTGCTGGGATTACAGGCGTGAGCCACCTCCCCGGCCACATGTACCACTCTTACACTCCATCTACCCAGCTCTGTTTCTATACAGTTCCTATTGTTTTATCTCATTAGAGTGGCTCCATCTCTTTTTTCGATCACCAGTCCATGAAATAGTGAGCACGGCAGGGCTGAACACATGGGCCTGAGCACACTCTGCAGGCGTCTGTCCAGGACAGCCATGAACCAGCAGCAGCATCTGTGAAAGAAGGCCTTCAGTCAATTACAAATTCACGTGGGTGACTATACAATCTACAAGTCACTAGCTTGCCCAAAATACTCCCCAGAATGTCTTTGTCACATTTTTTATTGAAATTCATATATGACATGTTGATAGCATTTTCCAAATCTTCCTGTCTAAAAAGACTATTTTAAAAAGTAGTTAATAATCTGGTATTTCTTAATCTTAGTTAATTTATCTTAGCCTGATTACCATTTGCTTTGTGAAAGCTCATAAGCCGTTATATAATTATTCACTCTAGAATTTTATTATACCTTCAAGCTCTCTGAAATGGTGTTGTATTTTGTGGAATCGATCATGTTATTTTTTATTAAAAATCACTGCTCTCCCTTATTCTAAATCACATTTCTCACAATTATATGCCTTTCTGACACAAAGAAGGAAAATGTACTATAATAGGCAAAGTTCAGTGAAATCATTAAGTTTAAGTCTTGCAATCTAGAAATTCCTAAAATGGGGAGTGGCCTGAATTAGGCTAGAAAAAAAAAAAAAGAAGAAATAGAAGGCTGATGAGCGTTGACATTTTTTTGACAGGTGTGGTCAGCTTTGTGAAGTTTTTATGACTTTAATTGAATTGACTTAGGAAGCATCACAATGCCTGCACGTCAATGCATACATTTATATGAAAAGAGTTTATACCAGCCTAATCTATCCCGCCTACACACCGCCACTGTTTCTCTTTGTATACTCTGGAATAATATAGTACTTAACAGGATTAAAATATCAGGTTATTGTGATAAAGACTAGAAGACATAGAGTCTATTCATATCTGATTTTTCTGTTGTCATTGTTGCCATTTTAATTATTGAGAACAATCTGTTGAAAGAAACCGTATCAGAGTTAGTATACTTACCCTACAGAACATGTCTTTCTGGGTCTTATAGTATAGAGGAATTAATACCAAATACAAAAACCACTTATGAATATGGACTCCACAAGCAATGACAGCCTTTTCCTAAAAATAAATCCCTCTCCAGAGAACTTATAATACCTTATTTTGAATATTTGGAAAATTTCAGACAAAGGTTTCCAGGGGAATGTGCAGTAAAACTGTGTCGTGCTCTTTCCATACTTCAGCGGATTTGCCTATTTTAGAGTATGTTTTGGAAGCCTATTTGACATCAATCATTTTTAACATATGGATTTTGAAAACAGAACACAGATTCTCCTCAACTTACAATGGAGTTGTGTGCACCCCCTGCTCCCCATTAAACCCATCCTAAGTTGAAAATAACCTAAGTGGAAAGTGCACGAATACACCTACCATACAGAACATCACAACCATGCCTAGCCCACCTTAGATATGGTCAGAGCATTTACAGTGGCCTACAGTTGGGCAAAATCCTCTGACACAAAGCCTATTTTGTGTAAATAAAGGGCTGAATATCTCATATAACTTACTAATGACCCTACTGAAAGTGAAAAACAGAATGGTCGCAGTATGGTTTCTATTCAATGCCTGTCACTTAAGCACCATTGCAAAGTTGAAAAATCCTCAATCAAACCATTGCAAATCAGAGACTGTACATTTAATTTTAAAAGTTCATGTAGCACCCTATGTGGTTTCTATTTCAAATTTATTAAATTATACGAAACTGTGAAAACACTGATTTTATATTCATAGACCTACACCTTGGCCCCTGAACTATGTATTTCTGTTACCCTATTTCTTTTTTCCATTTCCATTTATTTATCTGTTCCTTTATTTGTTTAAAAGGTGAATGCCTAATATATGAGAACTAGTCTAGAATTAGTTTTGAATGCTAATTTTTTTTAAAAATCACCACCCCATCTCTAATGTTCTTAATTATTTCAGAACTTATATCAATAGAAGTACAGATGTATAAACCTATGATTATCTCACAGTATGATAAGTGAATGTATGTGCCAGGTAAATTAAAAGTGAAAATGAAGACTTGCCTATGCTTGCCAGGTGGGGATCATTAGACCGGTGTTAAATAAATGCTAACATTTTCTTATGGCCCATCACAGCTCCTTCATGTTTGCCACTCATAATAACTGATCCTTCTACTATTATATCATCCATCATCTCTTTGTTTCTTTTTCTTTTTTTCGAGACGGAGTCTCACTCTGTCTCCAGGCTGCAGTGCAGTGGCACGATCTCGGCTCACTGCAACCTCTGCTTCCCAGGTTCAAGTGATTCTCCTACCTCAGCCTCCCGAGTAGCTGGGGTTACAGGCACCCGCCACCACACCCAGCTAATTTTTGTGTTTTTAGTAGAGACAGGGTTTCATCATGTTGGTCAAGATGGTCTCCATCTCTTGACCTCATGATCTGCCCGCCTTGGCCTCCCAAAGTGCTGGGATTACAGGTGTGAGCCACGGCGCCTGGCCATAATCCATCATCTCTTAATTGATGTTGCAGGTTTGTGTTTCACTTCTTAGGCCAGTGATAAACATCAATGATTATAAAGAGTGCAGAAAATACTTGAAAAATTGGGAGAGTATATCTGGTTGATTAATATTAATTAATGATAATAATGTTCATGCAATTAAGACTGTACTTTCTTCCACAAATTAAAAGGATCTAATAGGAATAAACTCGCACTTGAGATTTTCCAAACAGCAAGGTACTTATTTCTTCCATTCCTCTTAATATGGTGCTTATGTTTACTTTTTATAAAGTGCATTTTCATAACAACGTGGGCACAGTTCCTCCTGCGGTTGTTTGTGGAGAGCCGGGGAACAGGCAGAACCATTTCATCTGTCGAAGACCTGCTATAATGAAGTCCCTCTCAGCTCTCTTAATGACCATGAAATGAAGAGCTTGCTGTAGCTCTATGTGGCTTACTGGCATTCGTATTCCTCCAGCATCCTTGTACATCAGACGCAGGGTATCAAGCCCAAAGAGAAATGGCTTTTTGATTGGATAAACCTTAAAGCTCATGGGTATAATGCCATGCTTCTATGACTTAGGTATTTTTTTGTAGTATATGATAGTAAACACTCAAACATTATGATGTAGGCATTGCAGTCCTCAGCAAAGGACAACTCAGGCAAACAAAAGACACCATAACTCACAGGTGTTCTATATCGCCCGTAAATTACCAGCAGCTATGGATGACAGTGAAGAGCTGACCCCCATCTGTCTCCGCATTGCCATTCAGCTCTCAGAAAGTCTAAGAGCAAAGAAGTAAAAGATGATTTATGGTAAGTTGCCAGAGACCATGCTTGGATATTGCTGTGTGTGGGGCAGGGATCAATTCACGGCTTACAAATTTGTCACAGGACACTGCATCTTCCAGTCTGCCACCTTTAAATTAAGTGTCATGATGAGAGAAAAATATGGCATTGCCTTAGGAAAAAGATGCCGCATTTTGATTAGGCTACAGAAATGGTGTGTGACAGTGAAAGGTAGAACTTTAGAGTTCTCATTTGCTCACAGCTTTCAGTCTGGTATCTAGGGTGTAGAAACAAGAGAAAATATGTAAAACACAGAGGAAAAATGAAAATCCTTACAACCAAAATGAAAATGGTGTCCAAGTCTGTAGCATTAAAAAAATCACTGATCACCTACAGGAGGACTGCCTCCCTCCAGCTCGTGACCATAGCCTCTCAGTATTTTAGAGGAAGCCAGCATGTAGCTTTTCTACTCAAAGAAATTTGCCTAGACATCACCATGCCATGAATATTTATTTGAAAACCTTAATTTATGTACTTTCTATTTTATGATCATGAGGGTAAGGCAGATCAAGGACACAGGATCAATAGTGGACGACTTTACTTCTCTCTCTATAGCATCTGTAAATTATTTTTATTTTAAAGGCTTAGGCTTAAAATCTTTCTTGGGCTAGTGTGGTAAGACAATTAAATAATTAAAGCTCTGCTGACTAACATAAGCATATTATTCTGCAGATGTAGATCTGCCTTTATAGAACATTCCAGAAGCATTGTGGACTTTATTTGCATTCATTCCGGTTGTTTATGTCAATACCTCAAGATAAAATCAGCACATATGAGCTTAGTCTTCAGATTTCTCCTGCTTTAGACAAATAGCAACAGATATATATGATCTATATCGATACATATAAAAGATCCACTATAAAATATACATAGGATCTACTATAAAAGACCTATCTATGTGTATATAAGATCTATCTAGATGTATCTATCTATCTGTAAATTAAGTGTGGGTTTTAAATTGACAAATAAGTATCCAGATATTCAGTATGATTAAATGTCTTCTTGGAGCTCACACATCTGATTTCTTTTTTTTTTTTTTTGAGACAGAGTCTTGCTCTGTCACCCAGGCTGGAGTACAGTGGTGTGATCTCTGCTCACCGCAACCTCCACCTCCCAGATTTAAGCAATTCTCCTGCCTCACCCTCCCCAGTAGCTGAGATTACAGGTGCACGACACCACATCCAGTGATTTTTGCATTTTTAGTAGAGTCGGGGTTTCACCATGTTAGCCAGGCTGGTCTCGAACTCTTGACCTCAGATAATCCGCCTGCGTCAGCCTCCCAAAGTGGCTTGAGCCATCTCTCCCAGCCGCACATCTGAATTCTTAATCTTGATCCTAAATCTGTTTCTACTCCATCTCAGTAGACATCACCTCCAGCACGCTAGGGATCTCCCGGACATCACCTTCTCCATTGCCCCCTACACACCACACTTCCCCCAGTCCTATCAGTTATGCTTCTAAAATCCATTGCTGGTGCATCCTGTTCTCTTTGCGCTGCCTGTCTCCACCGTAAGCCACCTCCAACTTTTTCCTCACCTATAACAATAGCTTCTCAATTGATCTTGCCATTTCCTCTCTCCATTCAAATGATCTTGTATAAAGTAAATCTAATTGTTTTCTCTATTTTGTAAAGCCCTCAATGTTTTCCAATTTCAGGTAAGATTAAACTACAAGCCCTTGATGAGACACATGAGGTTCTTCAGTTTCCGGCTGCTACTTACATGAGAGGTGTCCAATCTTCTGGCTTCCCTGGGCCACAATGGAAGAAGAGGAATTTCCTTGGGCCACACATAAAATACACTAACAGTAACGATAGCTGATGAGCCAAAGAAAGAAAAATCGCAAAGAATTCTCATAATGTTTTCAGAAAGTTTATGAATTTGTGTCGGGCTGCATTCAAAGCCATCTTGGGTGGCATGCGGCCCACGGGCCATGGGTTGGACAGGACTGACCCCCACCCGATTGACTTACATCTTCAGCTGAATCCCACGTGCCCCTCCCTTACTATGCCTTGGGTACCCAGGTGTCTTTTCAGTTCTGTGACTGTTTTCTACTCTTTGCTTGTGCTGTCTGTCCTCTGTGCTCAGAATCTCTCCTCCCCACCCTGTGTTCCTGAGCTCCTCACCTCCACTTTCTGTGGGAAGTTTTCAGGACGGACTTTCCCTGACCCCAGTCATGGTGGATCTCCCCATTATCTCCTCTCAGAGCATCCTGGTTTCTTATAATGCACAACTTGTATTTAAATTTTGTATTTACTTAATATTGGCTTTGCCCATTCAACTGTGGACTTTATTAAGTCAGGTGTTTTTTGTTTTTTTGTTTTTGAGACAGAGTTTCACTCTTGTTGCCCAGGCTAGATTGCAATAGCGTGATCACGGCTCACTGCAACCTCTACCTCCCAGGTTCAGGTGATTCTCCTGCCTTGTCCTCCAAAGTAGCTGGGATTACAGGCATGCGCTACCATACCCAGCTAATTTTTTTTTTTTTTTTTTAGTAGAGACAGGGTTTCACCATGTTGGTCAGCTGGTCTTGAACTCCTGACCTCAGGTGATCCACCTACCTCAGCCTCCCAAAGTACTGGGAGTACAGGTGTCAGCCACCATGCCCAGCCAAGTCAGGCTTTTTTATTTATTTATTTATTTATTTATTTTGAGACAGAGTCTTGCCAGGCTAGAGTGCAGTGGCGCAATCTTGGCTCACTGCAACCTCCGCCTCCCTGGCTCAAGTGATTCTCTTTCCTCAGCCTCCCAAGTAGCTGGGATTACAGGTGCGTGCCACCACACCCAGCTGATTTTTGTATTTTTAGTAGAGACAGGGTTTCACCGTGTTGGCCAGGATGGTCTCGAACTCCTGACCTCATGATCTGCCCGCCTCGGCCTTCCAAAGTGCTGGGATTACAGGCATGAGCCACCGCGCCCGGCCCAAGTCAGGCTTTTTTATTCACCACAATGCATCAAGGAAATAGCACACCCCTTGACACAGGGTCTGTATTCATTGACATTTGCCATGTTGTAGCTATGAATCAAACAGGAAATGCAGGTGCAAGACACGGCCATTTCTTTATTCCTTTAAAGAACGCAGTCCTCATTCTGAGCCTCCATCCCTGGGAATGTCAGGACATTTAAGTACAAACATTATAGGGCCCTCTCCCCCTCCAAGGATCATACTGGGACCCAGTTGTGACCACCTAAATAAATGGGAAAGGACCATTATTCTTAAGCCTCATTGTTCACCACTGACAACTGCATGGTTCAAGATCATGAGGACCCTTGCATCTGAGGGCTCTATTTCTGTGCCACGCGTGATGTATGAGAGTGTTGGCCAGTGCTGAGAAGCTGACAGCCTGCAGTCTCCCTGGGCATACCCTCTTTCTGGGGTCCTGTCAACTTCCCAGGCACCACCAGCATGTGGCATGTGGGTCTTCCCTGCTCACAAGCCTACCTCCCCTTCCCAGCATAAGGGAAATTGTTCTGGCCACCTCTCTATTCTTCACAGCTCCCTGCTTCTCTCTTCTTTTGTCCTCAAAGGCACTTGACTAGGCATAAAGGATCTATGAAGACTACTTAAGAGGAAACACTGAATCTGGCCCTTCCTACTACCTGGGTGGCCTTAAACCCCTCTGAACCTCAGTGCTCTCACCTGTAAAATGGGATGGCATGGGTATCCACCTTGTGGGACTTTTAGAAGATTAAATTAATACATATAACAGTCACAAGAGTCTGATTCATAGTAAATACAGAATAAATGCTAGTTTTTATTCCTATGATAGGTGCAATCCAGGCAGCTTCTGTTTTTGACTCAGCCAGGAAAATGTCTCCTGGAGCAATGAGGCACAACAGGGCCTGGCTTTAAACCTTTTCTGTCCACACACAGGCTGGATGATAAGACTCGTTTCTTTTTCACCACTGCATCTCTGACACCTAGAGCGATTCTGAGCCTATAGCAGGGACTCCATAAATGTATGGAAGAGCTCATTAAAAAATCACAGCCTAGCTTCAGGTGAGGCGTAGGAAGACGAAGCCTTCCGGGCCCACCCGTGAGGTGAAGTGAAGCAGAGACCGATGTCCCAGGCCCAGGGAGAGCGCCCTGCAGCACCGACAGGTGCAAGGTGGCCGTCCCAGCCGAGCAGCAAGCTACAAGACCCACTGCGAGCAAAGGGAGCGGCCTGGCCGCGGGCCGGCGCGAGGACAGAGGAATCCAGGGCCCTGGGGCTGAGCCAACGAGAAGCAAGTCCCTGGGAAATGGAAAGGGTCAGGGCTGCGTGAAGGCCTCGTCCGTGTCGGGCACGGGCAGATGGGGCCGGCGGCACCCCTGCTTCCTACTGCGGAGGAGAACGGAGAACGGGTCCGAGGATTAAGCAAGGGCACAATCGTCAGACTCGCAGAGGAGTGTCTGCAAACAAGGAGCTGGCAGTGGCGGTGCGGGCCACCGAGTCCTGCCCCTCATTCCACCGAGCCCCGGGAGCGGGCCAGCCCGCTTAGCAAGGCCTGGAGCCCGGGGCCCTGCACACCGCCGGCGCCCTGGCAGGTGCTCAGCCATCACCTGTTTAATCACTGAGCGGGAGGGGAGTAGAGCCGGGACAGAAACCAGGGCGTGAGCGGCCCTGGCGGGAGTGCACCGTGCACGCGAGGCTGAGGGTGACGGGGCGTCCCGGGGATAGGGAAGGAGGAAGGCAGCGCAGGCCGATCTGGGATCGCGGGGAGTTCCCGGCAGCAGCGGGGAGGAGAGACTGGCAGGTGCAGAAGGCTCGACTTTGCATGCCGCGCACATTAGCTTGTTTCTAAATGTGCATTTTTCTCCAGTCAATTAATTTGCTAACCACACTGAGGAAAAACAAAAACAAAAAGCAACCTTGTTAAGCAGTGCCCCGTGGAGTTTCAGCACACCTGATTATACAACTCGGCCCCTCGCGTTTTGTCTCTCTGGGAGAACACTACCTGTAGCAAACTGTTTCCCTCTAAGTATCCCTATTTGTTCTTACGAGGAGCAGGTGACAAGCCTGAACACTGATGCCACAATCTTCATTAGACAGGAGCTTCAATGACACTTTCAAGGGACAAGGAAAGCACAGTCAGATTTGTTTCTGCCGGGCTAATTGCCGTCACTTTGAATTTTTAAATGTTTGAAATATTTCTACGGAGTTTACAGTGGCTCACGCCTGTAATCCCAGCACTTTGGGAGGCCAAGGCAGGAGGATCACGACGTCAGGAGATGGAGACCATCCTGGCTAACACGGTGAAACCTCGTCTCTACTAAAAATACAAAAAATTAGCCAGGTATGGTGGCGGGCGCCTGTAGTCCCAGCTGCTCGGGAGGCTGAGGCAGGAGAATGGCGTGAACCCGGGAGGCGGAGCTTGAAGTGAACCGAGATTGCTCCACTGCACTCCAGCCTGGACGACAGAGTGAGACTCCATCTCAAAAAAAAAAAAGAAAAAAAAAAGAAATATTTCTACGGAGTTTAAATTCTTAGACAGTGAGAAGGCATTGGTAATTTATAAAACTAGTAAAAACTATCTTGAAACTCTTCATAATACATAATTTCTGTGCTTATCAACATATTTTTCTATTTCCTATTATATGTATATAGGAAATAGAAATATATCTGCTGCATATATTATAGTGGAGATACATATATCTCCACTAAATCTTTTTGGTGAGCAAATGAGAAAGATTTCTTTTTTTAAAAAAATTATTATACTTTAAGTTCTAGGGTACGTGTGCACAACGTGCAGGTTTGTTACATATGTACGCATGTGCCATCTTGGTGTGCTGCCCCCATCAACTCATCATTTACATTACGTATATCTCCTAATGCTATCCCTCCCCCCTCCCCCCACCCCACAACAGGCCCCGGTGTGTGATGTTCCCCTTCCTGTGTCCAAGTGTTCTCATTGTTCAATTCCCACCTATGAGTGAGAACATGCGGTGTTTGGTTCTTTGTTCTTGCGATAGTTTACTGAGAATGATGATTTCCAATTTCATCCATGTCCCTACAAAGGACATGAACTCATCATTTTTTATGGCTGCATAGTATTCCATGGTGTATATGTGCCACATTTTCTTAACCCAGTCTATCATTGATGGACATCTGGGTTGGTTCCAAGTCTTTGCTATTGTGAATAGTGCTAGAATACAATACATGTGCATGTGTCTTTATAGTAGCATGATTTATAATCCTCTGGGTATATACCCAGTAATGGGATCACTGGGTCAAATGATATTTCTAGTTCTAGATCCTTGAGGAATTGCCACACTGTCTTCCACAATGGTTGAACTAATTTACACTCCCACTAACAGTGTAAAAGCGTTCCCATTTCTCTACATCCTCTCCAGCACCTGCTGTTTCCTGACTTTTTAATGATAGCCATTCTAACTGGTGTGAGATGGTATCTCATTGCGGTTTTGATTTGCATTTCTCTGATGACTGATGATGAGCATTTTTTCATATGTCTGTTGGCTGCATAAATGTCTTCTTTTGAGAAGTGTCTGTTCATATCCTTTGCCCACTTTTTGATGGGGTTGTTTCATTTCTTCTTGTAAATTAGTTTAAGTTCTTTATAGATTCTGGATATTAGCCCTTTGTCAGATGGGTAGATTGGAAAACTTTTCTCCCATTCTGTAGGTTGCCTGTTCACTCTGATGGTAGTTTCTTTTGCTGTGCAGAAGCTCTTTAGTTTAATTAGATCCCATTTGTCAATTTTGGCTTTTGTTGCCATTGCTTTTGGTGTTTTAGACATGAAGTCCTTGCCCATGCCTATGTCTTGAATGGTATTGCTTAGGTTTTCTTCTAGGGTTTTTATGGTTTTAGGTCTAATATTTAAGTCTTTAATCCATCTTGAATTAATTTTTGTATAAGGTGTAAGGAACGGATCCAGTTTCAGCTTTCTACATATGGCTAGCCAGTTTTCCCAGCACCATTTATTAAACAGGGAATCCTTTCCCCATTTCTTCTTTTTGTCAGGTTTGTCAAAGATCAGATGGCTGTAGATGTATGGTATTATTTCTGAGGTCTCTGTTCTGTTCCATTGGTCTATGTCTCTGTTTTGGTACCAGTACCATACGGTTTTGGTTACTGAGAATGATTTCTACAAAAGAAAAACTAATACTAACTTTGTTTTGCCAAGAAATAGCTTTTTACTCTGTCAAAAACATTTATATCGTTTTCTATTTTCTGGTAGTTAAAAATGCACTTGGATTATTAACTTTTTCTTTAAATGAAGGAAAACATAAAAATTGAACGGACAAGCCTATCTTGCTATCACCAAAGTTTTTCAACTTTCAACCCCCTTCCCGCTTCCTCCTGCCCAGACTTCCCAAGTACTCTACATGCATCTCTCAGGCATTTGCATTTTCCCACTGCATTTGACTTCATGAATGCGGTTTATCTGCCCACTAAACTGCAGCTCCCTGGAAAGGGATTCATGTCCCATAAGGTATTCTGAAATACCACATGCAACAAAACAAAACAAACACACAAGAAAAAACAAAAAAAATGCTCTTGAATGAATTCAAAATGTTTAATAATATGCTTCTAAAAATATATGGGGGTTAAATCAGAATATACATTAGAATAGAAATCTATAATAAATTATATTTCAGGTTTCCAAACAAAAATGCATTCACACAAGATATGGATATGGAAAATATAAATATAAAAGAATTATATATAGGTACTCTGCCCTCTGAATGTCTTTTTAGTTTCATATCCTGAGCATCTTTCTTCATGGTTTAAGCTTAAAAGTAAGGTTTTGGTGTGGTAGCCAAGAAGAAACTATTTATAAGTTTGTCTCTTCTTTTGGCCTTGTCTTTTTAAAAACTTGACTGAAATAACTGATTTTTGAAATAAAGTACATTTTTTCCTTACTTCTTCCCTGTACAGAAAGTTGTTACCAAGCCAGGGAATATGTTTCCCTACTTCACAGCATGTAGGCACAGCCATGTGACCACTACCGCAGCGTGTGACAGCAGCCATCTGTGTCGCGGGGTTGATGCCTGCATGCCCTCTCCTGGATGCCTTCTCATTCTACTGGAGACTGCATTTCAGGTGGCTGCACCATGAGACAAAAGCAGCTTGGGCCCCTCAGGAAGGGTGAGAGCCATCGCATCAGAAGTACCTTCATTGGCCTTTAAGATATTGGACTGAGAAATAAGCATTTACTGTGATTACTATGACTAGAGGTCGTCTGTGGCAGCGGTTCACATTAACTAACCTAAAATGCCAGCAGACTTATGAACGTGTTCAAATATCATAATATCATAAATACGATACAGAAAAGAACTTGATACAGCCTGGAGCAAACCCTGAATATGTGGTATCACAATGTTCTAGTTGAAACAGGTGACCCTGGGCGAGTCAACCCTACTTACTCCACTTGCCTGATAGGGATGTAACAAAAAAGCAAAAACTGATGAGATAATGTGTGTGTGTGTGTATGTGTGTGTGTGTGTGTGTGTACATTCCTCAAAAATCAAAAGCACTGTGTAACTTAAGGTAGTCTTATGGTTATGATAAAGATGAAAACATCAATAAACAATGACACCTGAGCACACAGAGTAGAAGGGAGTGCAGCAGTGGCCATCAACAGCAGTGCAGAATCCTAGACAGTTTGGCACACAGCATGAGCGAATATTTCACTGTGAAAACATGAAGTTTCTTTGGATGTTATTCCTCTGGACCCAGTTCCTTCCCTCACCTATCTGTGAATGATTGGTTCTTCCAGCTAGGTCAACTGTGAATCTAGTCAAACTTAAGCGTCAGGACCATCTATTGCATAAGCCACTTCCAAAAGCCAACGATAGGCCGATGCGGTGGCTCACGCCTGTAATCCTAGCACTTTGGGAGGCTGAGGCAGGCAGATCACCTGGGTTCAGGAGTTCAAGACCAGCCTGGTCAACATGACGAAACCCCATCCCTACTAAAAATACAAAAATTAGCTGGGCGTGATGGCATATGCCTGTAATCCCAGCTACGCGGGAGGCTGAGGCAGGAGAATCACTGGAACCCGGGAGGCAGAGGCTGCAGTGAGCCGAGATTGTGCCACTGCACTCCAGCCTGGGCAACAGAGCGAGACACTGTCTCAGGGGGAAAAAAAAGCCAACTATAAACAATATAAACACGTTATGATTTTTTTTTTGTAAAGGAATCAGGTGAAGCATGACTTCCTGAATTCTTGCAACCGTGAAGCATTGTGGCAACACTACGGTCAGCAGGCATAGCTGCGTGACTCTAGGAGCATCCACATGCTTTTCAGAGCCCACCGTTTCAGGTCACATATCTTAGCCTACCTCATACTGTAAGAGGTGTGGAATTGTCACTAACACAGCAAAAATGTTCTCAATCTTACAGTGCTTATGCAAAAGCAACTCAATAGAAGTTTTCCAAACTTTGACAATAATCCTAAAAATTTCACATTGCCAATAAAGAGTTAAAAAGCTAAAATAATTATTTCTAGGCTGGGCACGATGGTTCATGCCTGTTATTCCAGCATTTTAGGAGATCGAGGCAGAAGGATTGTTTGAGCCCAGGAGTTCAATACCAGCCTGGACAACATAGTGAGACCTTATCTTTACAAAAAATAATAAACTAAACAGGTATGGTGGCACATGCCTGTAGTCCCAGCTACTCAGGAGGCTGAGGTGGGAGGATCACTTGAGTCCGGGTGGTCAAGTTGTAATAAGCCGTGACTGCAACAGTGAACTTCAGCCTAGGCTGTACAATTTTGGAGGTACTCTTTAAGAAAACTCATGCAAAATTATTTTTTTTTAGAATGTCTCAAAAAAATTCTTTTTGAAATTCAAATTTCGATCAACCATGCAAGAAGCAAGGCATTTTTTTCTATTGTCCCTATAGAAAATAATAATTTAAAATTCTTATTTGAAAGTAACTTTTTTTTATTTTTTGAGACAGAGTCTCACTCTGTCGCCCAGGCTAGAGTGCAGTGGCGTAATTTCAGCTCACTGCAACCTCCACCTCCTGAGTTCAAGCAATTCTCCTTCCTCAGCCTCCCGAGTAGCTGGGATTACAGGTGTGCACCACCACACCCAGCTACTTTTTGTATTTTTAGTACAGATGGAGTTTCACCATGTTGGCCAGGTTGGTCTCGAACTCCCGACCTCAGGTGATCTGCCCACCTCAGCCACCCAAAGTGCTGGGATTATAGGTGTGAACCACCACACCCTGCCAAAGTTTGAATTTTAGAATAGAAACATTTACTCATTACACCCATTCATTTGTTCACACATTTCTAATCTATTTACTTCTTTTACTGTTTAAGTTATAATAATTCAGACTGTCTCAATGATTTATGTAAATATGAGAAATAGTTTTATTTGAAACTATCAAGATCTGTGGTTAAATGAATTATTTTTAAAATATATACCTACATTTCCTAAACATGTTATTTTAACTCAAAACAAATAAATTTGCATTCATTTGCCCAACATTTGCCATAGAGCTGAGGCCTTTTGCATATGTGATTCTGACTGGCAATAGGTATTATTTTTCTGACCTAAACTAAAACCGTAATTCTTGATCTATGAATTCAAGTTTAGCTTCCTTTGAAAAGGAGCCACTTGAGAAGCGATCTGAATGCAGAACCCATCTGGGGTTTGACCCTCCTTCGTAACACGTGCCTTCTACACCACTCATGATTTTCTTACCTACTTGCTTCATCAAATATTTCCAATCCATTTTACTTAGCTGGTATAGAAACAATTTTCTTTTCCACACTCATTTTGTTACTTACATAATATTTATTTATTTATTGACTTATTTATTTTTGAGACAAGGTCTCGCTCTGTCCCCCAGGCTGGAGTGCAGTAGCATAATCTCGGGTCACTACAACCTCCGCCTCCCGGGTTCAAGTGATTCTCATGCCTCAGCCTATTAAGCAGCTGGGATTACAGGTGTGTGCCACGACACCCGGCTAATTTTTGTATTTTTAGTAGAGACGGGGTTTCACCATGTTGGCCAGGCTGGTCTCGAACTCCTAACCTCAAGTGATCCACCCGCCTTGACCTCCCAAAGTGCTGGGATTACAGGCATAAGCCACCATGCCCTGCCTACTTACATAATATTTAATAAAATTTTGTAATTATGAAATATAACCAACGTAAATCAGTTTGGGAACAACCATTCTTATTAAGCATTGTCACCAGGCAGGAATAGAAGGATGTGGGAGTCTTAGAGAGGACGTGTTCCAGGAGCCACAGGTATGCACCACTGCGTAGACCCTGGTCAGTGTGTTGAGATCAGTATGTTTCACATCTCAAGCAAATGAAAGCTTTGATTCAATAAATCAGATCAGCAGAGGTTGAGTAAAGCGTTTCTAGTGTTATGATTTTTATTTCAGCTTTTCCCATGTGGTCAGTAGATGATCTAAGGTGACTTCTGGCTTTACTTCTATTAACTACAATGGACTCTTATGAGTCATCGGTGCCCAGTAAAATTTCCCACCTGCATTTGGGATTCTTGCCTGTAGTGAGTAAATCAACAGGGTAATGCCCCTTGTAGGTTCTGCCACCCAACAATGGCTGTCCTGTTTCCTTCCCACACAGGATGGGGATGTATTCACCTGTTTCCTGCGATGAAGCCATGTTTCCCAAAATTAGTCACTCATCACTTTTCTGGAATCCTCTAGAAACGGGGAAAGAGAGAAGAAAGACTTGGTCTTTATCATGGTGATGTATTTTTCCTTTTGTTCTATATAAAAACAAGGAAAACAAAACACACATATACACTCTACTAGTTAATTACAGTAGGTAGCACTACATTAGACTGATTTCCACCGAGGAAACTACAATTTTGCCTGTTTATTTACCATTGTGTAATACTCAGTGCCTAGTCGACCGCTTGGCAGTCATGGGCATACATGTATGCCAGTTAAATGAATAAATAACTTTTATACCTTTTAGTTAATTTTTATTTTGAATGAATTAATAATGAGGAGATAGTCTATATCCAAATTACCCAAAAACAGTTGGTCAAAAGTTCAGCAAACTGTGAAGTTAGATTTTATTCTCATTACATATTTATTTATAAACTCCATTGTACATAATGAAAACACTAGGTGTATATATTTTTTTAATTGGCTGACAGGCTTAGTCAAATGTTTCTGTATTTTATGACATTAGGTAATACAAAATTACACTTTGCAATAAGAGTGTAATATTTGAAACAGCTGCTATTCACTAGAAGGGGCTATTTGAAAATGTTAGAAATGTTGAATTATTTTATGTTTGTAAGAAAATATAACAAGATTGTAAACTCTTTAGTTTTGTTGGCTATTACTTGGATTATAGATTGATACGTTGTGTTATTCTATGCTATTTTGTGCTAGGTTACATCATATTATATTATGGGACTAAGTTTTCCCTTAAAATGGATAGAATTCTACAGTGGCTATTAGCTTTTGACCTGTAGCATAAATATGACTGCCACCCTATAATGTTAACACACTGCTCCAGACTGTTGAAGACTGACTGATCTCCCTTTGTCCCAGGAGGAATTTAACCCATGTGCAAATACGGGCATAGGTATTTATCTTCTTTGATTTTGCTTTTTTTTTTTTTTTTTTTTTTTTTTTTGAGAGTCTTGCTCTGTCACCCAGGCTGGAGTGAAGTGGCACAATCTCGGCTCACTGCAACTTCCACCTCCCGGGTCCCAGCAATTCTCCTGCCTCAGCCTGCCAAATAGCTGGGACTACAGGCGCCCGCCACCACGCCCGGCTAATTTTTGCATTTTTTAGTAGAGTCGTGGTTTCACCATGTTGGTCAGGCTGGTCTCACATTCCTGACCTCGTGATCCGCCCGCCTCAGCCTCCCAAAGTGCTGGAATTACAGGCATGAGCCACCGTGCCCGGACTGACTTTGCTTTTCTCTGGGGATCCTACTTTAGGACCTGGAAGAACAGGACACGTCATGAGCTGGAGAAGACATATCATGTGAACAACAATAGATTAAACTGTGAAACTAAAAGGTGACTCCAGCTAAACTCTTTATTTCCCTTGCAATAGTGTGTTGCAAATAAATCTCAATTAAGTGGCTGCAATTCCCGTAGCCTTGAGTGAGGAAGGATGGAAAACGTAAGACAACTACAACTCAGTTTTATATTAGTTCACCTGCACCTCTTAACATTGTCTTCTCCAGTTCTATATAAGTTTTCCTTAGCCTTGGAAAATGTGCAAAAACTTTTTTTTTACTTTATTGCAAAAGCATTTTCAATGCTTGTATCCAATTATATATAAATGTTCTTGGATTGGGTGTTGGATATTATACATTAATATAATTTAAATATTTATGGAAGAATTTAATAACTAAATGGATTTGAAGTCTTTACATGACATTAGGACATTTTAAGCAATGCTTTCATGTAAGTTAATTTACAAACTAAACAAATATGTCTTTCTAAAAACCATATTATGTTTGCTTTATTCACTTATTAAAGAACACACATGGGCCGGGCGCAGTGGCTCATGCCTATAATCCCAGCACTTCAGGAGGCCAAGGTGGGTGGATCACGAGGTCAGGAGCTCGAGACCAGCCTGACCAACATGGTGAAACCATGTCTCTACTAAAAATACAGAAATTAGCTGAGCATGGTGGCGCAGCCTGTAGTCCCAGCTACTCAAGAGGCTGAGGCAGGAGAATCACTTAAACCTGGGAAGTGGAGGTTGCAGTGAGCCGAGATCGTGCCACTGCACTCCAGCCTGGCGACAGATCGAGACTCTGTTTAAAAAAAAAAGAACACAAGCTATGTTTCAATAATTCTGAAATATCAACTTTTTTAACATCTTGCCAATAAGTAAATAATAGAATATACAGCTAAACTTACCTAAACTCTAAAAAATGTTTTTCAAAATGCTTTTACAATACAGAAACAAGACAATCAATTAGAAAAACATCTTTGTAGCAAAAATTTGAATAGTTTTATTTTTTAAAATATATGCTTAGAAATGTTCAGGCAAACAGGAAGAGTCTATGAATTTTAACTGCGGTAATGATGCCACTCTTCTAAAATTATTACACATAATCAGTTTAACTGAAAAATGGAACAACTTGAAATAATCATTAATAACATGACTGATTTTTCATACATTTAAATAGGGCTAGAAATATAATCAAGTCTGCATATTGGAGGAAAATAATGATCTTACTTTGTCCCATAAGATTTTAATTTCCAGGCTTCCAGCAAATATTTCTCAGAAAGGTTGTTTTCCCTTTCTGGTGAAAAATAAATGATTGCTCATTATAGTCAGCACACTGGCGTTGTAATCCTATCCTAAATTCTAAGACTGTGGAAGAATCTCCTCACCACACATAGACAAGGTAAGAATTATCAGTATGCGTTAGGAGTCTGGGCCTTAACTATTAGTACCAACTTCTTTGCCATAAAACCTGAACCAACAAGCTTTCTTCCTGCCTTAATTCAGAGTAATCATCACATTTTGGTTATAAAACAAACAGAAAACTATTCCTGGTAACTGGCAACCAAATACAATATGTTAGCAGATGTGTGTCTTGTAAAACAACAAATGGGTTTTGTGTAGCAGTCTTCCTGCTTGTGTGTGGGAATGTTTCTTGCAGGGCAAGGATTCTAATTTTCAGTTATTATCAAAACCTTAATGTCATCCCTGACCTACTCCTTAATTTCATCCTCGGTTCCTTTGTGATGGCTATTTCAACCTTGGGCTCTAACTTTAAAACTCTCTTCAAATTCCAAAAAGGATATATTTTCTCTTTTCTTTACTTGCTTTTGCTATAAAGCATCATTTGGTGCTACTAGTATTGATAAAAATAAATGCTGGGAAACTGACTACTTCAGTTTCTGATTATGGAAGGACATCTTACACTAATCTCCCTGAACAATGATCAATTGATTACCAAGTTAGTAATTACAATCTGATTTGCTCAAAAGTCACTTCCAATGCTAAACAGATTCACAATCATTACGTCAACAGGTTCAGATATAATCTACTTACTTTTCTAGTGGCTCATAAATTCAGTCAAATATTAATGGATGATGGAGTAAAATCCAGGAAATTTTATCAAGAAATTTCACCAATACCAATATATTAGATTCCCTAATAATAACAGGGCTTTTTAAATTATATCCATCACAATAATTGTCCCTATACTAGCATAGGTGCATACTCTGTGCCAACACATTAATATACAAACTTTCTAATATCATTAAGAAATAAGTACATTTAGGCCGGGCAGGGTGGCTCATGCCTGTAATCCCAGCACTTTGGGAGGCTGAGGCAGGGAGATCACTTGAGGTCAGGAGTTCGAGACCAACCTGGCCACCATGGTAAACTCATCTCTACTAAAAATACAGGAATTAGCCAGGAGTGGTGGTGGGCACCTATAATCCCAGCTACTAGGGAGGCTGAGGCACAAGAATCACTTCAATCTGAGAGACAGAGGTTTCAGTGAGCTGAGATCGTGCCACCACACTCCAGCTTGGGCAACAGTGTGAGCAAAACTCTGTCTCAAAAAAAAAAAAAAAAAAAAAAAAGAAGAAGAAGGGAGGGCCGGGTGCGGTGGCTCACACCAGTATTCCCAGCACTTTGGGAGGCTGAAGTGGGTGGATCACCTGAGGTCAACAGTTCAAGACCAGCCTGGTCAACATGGTGAAACCCCGTCTCTACTAAAAATAAAAATAAAAATTAGCCTTGCGTGGTGGTGGGCGCCTGTAATCTCATCTACTCAGGAAGCTGAGGCAGGAGAATTGCTTGAACCCAGGAGGCAGAGGTTGCTATGAGCCCAGGTTGTGCCACTGCACTCCAGCCTGGGCAAGAGAACAAGACTTTGTCTCAAAAAAAAAAAAAAAAGAAAAGAAAAGAAAGAAAGAAATACATTTAAAAGTGACTTTAAAGTGACCATAAAACAATCAAAAGATATTCTAGACAAGCCAATGCTTTTCACAAATAATTTATAATAGCCTATCTTTTTACAAGATATCTGCCCTCTATCGGAGATACCAGTATTTAAAACAATAATATGCTAATAGAATTTCATCAGATGGTATATTTTAGTGGGCCAGGAAGATGGGAGTTACATGAGTTTCTCCCCCAAAGATCAGTTCTGGGAAAATAGATTCTCAAAGTGTGTTTGGGAGGGTGAAAGAGACTCGAGAGAAATCATTTTTAATTTTGTGTGTGTTTTAGAAAAGGACATGCAGGTTTCGTTACTTAAATGAGTTTGTATTTTTTGGAGATCCATACTGATATTTATAGATGAAATGATATTTTTCCAGTAAGCGTTCAATGAGAGAAGCAGAACCCCTAGGAGAGGTAAACAGTAAGGGTCCTAGGGGAGCTGGTCACACCATTTATGCCAGGCTGCTGCTGCTGCTGGTGGGGCTGCTGCTGCTGCTGGTGCTGGTGCTGCTGCTGGTGGGGCTGCTGCTGCTGCTGGTGCTGGTGCTGGTGGGGCTGCTGCTGCTGCTGCTGCTGGTGGGGCTGCTGCTGCTGCTGCTGCTGGTGCTGGTGGGGCTGCTGCTGCTGGTGCTGGAGACTGAGTGTTCAGGCGGGTAGCTGGGCAGGGAACATGATGTACAGCGGGTGAACAGGGGCGACACTGGAACTTGGGAGAATGGGCCAGAGCCCACACAAGGACAAGCTGTGAGCCGGGTTCATCTCTCGCCACGTTCAAGCCTTCACCCTCAATGCGCAGGTGCCTGCAGGAGAAGGTGACTTTTCACATGGAGCTAGACCCTGGCCTGGGCCAGAAACCAGAGAAGCCGAAGGAGGATCTCACGGAGCACGGGGAGCGGCAAGGCCCGCTCTGCCTGTGACGGAAGAGAAGCAACAGCATGTCTGGAAGCGGCAGCCTCATGCCCCGCACGGACCCCCCACGCATCAAATCAACCTGGCCCAGCGCTCTGCGGCCTTCCGGATCTCACGCAGCTCCCCTGTGGGCCAGGCTCCCTGGAACTGTGCCGCAGAAGAAATTCTAGGAAGTGCAATAGCGGCTTTGCTAAACTGACGCGGTGCAAATTCACCACCGGTGTGATGCCCCGAGGTGGCTTTCGGCATCGATCAGGAGCCTAGCAGTGTTGGCCACGAGCAAATAGTGTTTAACTGGGAGGAAGGGGACATGGGGGCATGACAATATTCTCTGCACATCGATTTGGAATTTCCTGCAATTAAAAATGTTATTTAAGGCCGGGCGCGGTGGCTCACGCCTGTCATCCCAGCACTTTGGAAGGTCGAGGCGGGCGGATCACGAGGTCAGGAGTTCAAGACCAGCCTGACCAACATGGTGAAACCCCATCTCTACTAAAATACAAAAATTAACCGGGCGTGGTGGCGCGCGCCTGTAATCCCACCTGCTCGGGAGGCTGAGGCAGGAGAATCGCTTGAACCAGGGAGGTGGAGGTTGCAGTGAGCCGAGATCGCGCCACTGCACTCCAGCCTGGGTGACAGAACAAGACTCCATCTCAAAAAAAAGAAAAAAAAAGTTATTAAGAAAGAAAAGGAAAGAGAGGGAATACCTGAGAAAAGTAAAAGCTGTGGCAGGGAGGAGGGAGGAGGCGGGTGGAAGGCTGAAGGTGGTAGCCTGGGCATAGGGAGGAGGGAGGAGGCGGGTGGAAGGCTGAAGGTGGTAGCCTGGGCATAGGGAGGAGGGAGGAGGCGGGTGGAAGGCTGAAGGTGGTAGCCTGGGCATAGGGAGGAGGGAGGAGGCGGGTGGAAGGCTGAAGGTGGTAGCCTGGGCATAGGGAGGAGGGAGGAGGCGGGTGGAAGGCTGAAGGTGGTAGCCTGGGCATAGGGAGGAGGGAGGAGGCGGGTGGAAGGCTGAAGGTGGTAGCCTGGGCATAGGGAGGAGGGAGGAGGCGGGTGGAAGGCTGAAGGTGGTAGCCTGGGCATAGGGAGGAGGGAGGAGGCGGGTGGAAGGCTGAAGGTGGTAGCCTGGGCATAGGGAGGAGGGAGGAGGCGGGTGGAAGGCTGAAGGTGGTAGCCTGGGCATAGGGAGGAGGGAGGAGGCGGGTGGAAGGCTGAAGGTGGTAGCCTGGGCATAGGGAGGAGGGAGGAGGCGGGTGGAAGGCTGAAGGTGGTAGCCTGGGCATAGGGAGGAGGGAGGAGGCGGGTGGAAGGCTGAAGGTGGTAGCCTGGGCATAGGGAGGAGGGAGGAGGCGGGTGGAAGGCTGAAGGTGGTAGCCTGGGCATAGGGAGGAGGGAGGAGGCGGGTGGAAGGCTGAAGGTGGTAGCCTGGGCATAGGGAGGAGGGAGGAGGCGGGTGGAAGGCTGAAGGTGGTAGCCTGGGCATAGGGAGGAGGGAGGAGGCGGGTGGAAGGCTGAAGGTGGTAGCCTGGGCATAGTCACTGGATGGAGCAGTCAAAAGGTGGGAGAAAATGCTTTTCGATGATTCCTGCGTGACGCTACACTGCAAAAATGCTAAGGACAGCCCACACCACCTATGCAGGTGTCCTTGGGGTAACGTGAAGGTTTAGGAAATCCTAGCTGGGGCAAAAATCAGCGAGAATGGCCACCTGCTCTTAGACCTTTCCCTTCCATCCTCTTCCTCCAAGTCCCCAGACTGGTGCATTTCCCCTGAGGCGGGGCCTCCTCCAGCACCACTTCTTCCCAAGGGCCGTGATGTGCTGGAAGCAGTGGCAGCAGATGGCAGTGGTCCACCAGAGTTCCAGGGGCCTGGGCTCTCCACACTGGGCCTCACCCTCCCTCTCTTTCCTAAACCCACCAAGCGGGGTCTGGTCTTTAGGACGTGGTATGACCTTGCAAATATGTGTTCACAGGCCCAAATTCCAAGACAAGAACTAAAACTCCCTCAAGAGAAAGAAAACAAACTAAACAGCATAATAAAGATCAGATATTTATTGACTGCTTACTAGAGCGTTGTTACTGGCATTGGAGAAAGAGCCAAGAATCCTAAAAAGAAACAGCCCTACCTCCACATCCCTCCCTGTGGTGCTAACCCTGGCGAGGAACGGGGGAAGTCAGTACATAAGATATATAACAACAGAAGGACGCTAATCAAGCCGCTCCAAATTAACATGACATTGGAGGTCCTAGCTAGCACAATAAGCGAATAAAAAGAAACAGAAGGCATGCAGATTGGAAAGAAAGAAACACGTCACAATGTGTAGGCAGCATAATTGTCTTTGTGCAAAATCCCAGAGAACTTGCAATAAAAGCTGCTAGAACAAAATAAGTGACTTCAGTAAGGTTGCAAAACACAAGGTCAATGTACAAACATCAATCAGATTTCTATATATCAGGAATAAACACCTGGAGAGTAGAAATTCTGTAAAAATACTGCCCACGCCCGTGCCCACGGTTCAACTTGTTGAGGGGCTTCATCTTCATGACTGTCTGCCCTACGTATATTGAACTAGCTTAGCCAGCCTCCACAGTTATGTAAGCCAATTTCTTGTAATAAATCTCTTTCTCTCTTGCTGTCGAGAATAGATGATCTAGATAGAAAGATAGATGATAGATACATAGATAGATAGACAATAGATAGATAGATTTTCTACTGTGTTTACATTTGTGGTTGAACTTTGATTAAATCCATAAAAGAAAAAGGTGATAATTAAACTTCATCAAAGGTAAAAATCTCCGTTCTTTGAAAATTACTTTTAAGAGTAAAAATACAGGCCAGACATGGTGGCTCACGCCTGTAATCCCAGCACTTTGGGAGGCCGAGGCGGGCGGATCACGAGGTCAGGAGATCGAGACCATCCTGGCTAACACGGTGAAACCCCGTCTCTACTAAAAATACAAAAAATTAGCCGGGCGTGGTGGCGGGCGCCTGTAGTCCCAGCTACTCGGGGCTGAGGCAGGAGAATGGCGGGAACCCGGGAGGCGGAGCTTGTAGTGAGCCGAGATCCCGCCCCTGCACTCCAGCCTGGGCGACACAGTGAGACTCCGTCTCAAAAAAAAAAAAAAACAAAAAGAGTAAAAATACAATCTATAGACTGAAAACTAACATTTGCAAATCATTTCGCTGATAAAGAATTTACATCCAGAGCATATAAAGAACTCTCAAATTTAATAAGAAAAACCCTAAGTAAGAAAATGGGCACAATATTCAAACAGATTCTTTATCAAGAAAAACATCAAAATGGCAAACGAGCTCATGAAATAATGCTCAGTATCATTAATGATTACAGAAATGCAAATTAAAACCATGGGATACTACTAAATACCAATTAGAATGGCCAAAAAAAAAGAAAACCCTCATAATGCCAATTGCAGCTGTCAGCGGTGAGCACCTGAAACTCACACGTTTTGTATAAAAATGCAAAATGGTACAGCCAGTTTCAGAAAGAGTCTGGCAGTGTGTTATGACAATGAGACTGTTTATATCATTATTGTGATGGTGTTTCGACTTCTGTATACATCTGTGAAAACACACAAAACTGTATACGAAAAAGGGAGAATTTTACTGTATGTAAATGTACCTTAATTGATACATAGGATAAACAGGTATATATAATATTAGGTTGTGATGGATGCTAAGAAAGAAAAGTGAATTAGGGAGGGGAGCTATAAAATGGTCAACAATGTTGGTGAAATTTTAGATGGGGGTGAGGGAAGAAAGATGACTTTTGACAGAAGTCCTGAAAGAAGTCTGGCATATTGAGGAAGAATAAGATCAATGTGGGCAAAACAGGGTGAGTAAAAGAGAGAGGTAGAGGCTGAAGTCAGAGGGTTGAGTCAGAGGTGAAGGGGGATGGGCATCAGGTAGAGCCCCATAGGTCACAGCGAGGCTTTGACAATCACTGTGAGTGAGACACAGCTGTTAGACTGTTTGGAGCAAAAGGCTGACATGATCTGGCCTGCCTGCTAACAGACTCTCCTCTGTCTGCTGTGTTGAGTAGAAAGAGGCAAAAGTACACTAAGAAGACCGGCTACGGGGCCAACGCAGGCAAAACGTGGTGGTCGGGGTCAGAGATAAGGCAGTGGAGTGGTATAATGTGGTCACATCCTGGATATACTGTGAGTGTAAAGCCAACAGCTTTCTGGTAAACTGGATGCAGAATATGTACGAAAGAAAGGAATCAAGAATGTGGAAGGTAGAAAGACGTTTGGTCTGAATAACTGGAAGAATGAAATGTCTTCACTGAAATGGAGAAGACGACAGGTCAGCTGGCACATGTGCAGAATGCTTGGATGTCAGTCTGGCACATTGAGGTTGAAGAGGCCTGTTATACAGACAGCAGAGATAAGAAATAGGCAGTGGGATATCTGAGTCTGGAACTCAGTGAGAGGTTCCAACTGGGGGTAAACATGTGGGAATCATGCCATAGCAATAATATTTAAAGCCATGAAGCAGGATGAGATCACCAGAGAAAGAGTATAGATAGAAAGAGAAGTTCAGGCCAGGCACGGTGGCTCACCCCTGTAATCCTAACACTTTGGGAAGCTGAGGCAGGTGGATCACCTGAGGTTCAGGAGTTCAAGACCAGCCTGGCCAACACAATGAAACTTCATCTCTACTAAAAATACAAAAAATTAGCTGGGCGTGGTGCCAGGCACCTGTAATCCCAGCTACTCAGGAGGCTGAGGCGGGAGAATCGTTTGAATCCGGGAAGCAGAGGTTGCAGTGAGCCGAGATTGTGCCACTGCACTCCAGCCTGGGCAACAAAAGCGAAACTCTGTCTAAAAAAAAAAAAAAGACAGAAGGAGAAGTTCAAAACTGATCCTTGAGACAATCTATGCATCAGAAACATAATTACAAGAACACACAGATCAAGGAGCTCAGCTAAGCATGGTAAATATGCTTATGAGATAGGGAGGACAATAACGGTATCAAACAGGAGCAAAGCATCTCTAAACCTGAACTAGGTAAAAATGTAAGTATGAACAATGTCACAGTTGAAATGAAGAAGAAATGGTTCATATAAATAGTAGGATAGACGTAAGATAAGTGGTGAAACCTTCCAGAGGGCAGCAATAAAGGACACAGAGGAGATAGAACAGAAAATCTAAGAGAAATACAGGCTAGAAATAAATGTGCCAGCATCGAAATTATGAGTCTCAAGAGTAGAGAAATAAAAATGAAGCTGAGGAAGTATATAAGAAATAATGGAAATGAATTTCTCAGAATTCAAGAAAGATGAATGATCTTAAGTAAAAGAGCTCACAGAGGACCAAACAACTGAAAGGAAAAAAAAAAGCACACTCAGATAAATTCTAGGAAAATTTGAAAATATTGTATACAAGAACAAACTTCAAAAAACTTTTAAATAGAAAAGATCATCTACAAATGAGCAAACCAACACATTGAATGCAAACAGATAATGGAAACCCATTTTTACCATTTTGAAGGAGAATCATTTTAGCTAGAATTTTCTACCCAGCTATTTAGTCCATTACTTGTAAGACTGTAATAAAAATATTCTCAGGCATACAGTTTTTAAAATGTTTGCAATGGACAGATATGTACTTAAGAGTATCCTCAAGAAATTGAAGACAATATTCAAGTATGTTATAAGTGATATAGAAAGTAGAGGTTATACCCAGTAATATGGAAAGTAGAAGTTATTTTTTAAATTGTTGTCTAAAAAAAAAATAAAGCCAGGACAAAATAAAAGAAAATGTATTCAAGTTAATCCAAAACTAAAATGAAGACATTATCAATATGATATAGCTGTGGTGGGGGTGTGGACCAGTAGACCATAGGACATAAATATATGTTAAAGTATTTTCTGATTCAGGAAAAGGAAGAGGTAGATATCAAAAACAGGATAACTGAGGCTCAAAGGATGGAAAAAGAGAGACTAAGGTAATATGAACCAAAAGAAGGCAGGAGTAGAAATCTCAGTATCTGACAAAGATTTTACAGTAAAAATGTCATGCTGGAAAAAAGAATGTTAAATATGTATAAAATATTTCAGGGAATAATAGAACTGATTCTCCACCATGCCTACCACAAACAAACACATATGTAACTAACTATAGGATTACAGTGTATCAAGCAACAATTAAATTGTAGGGAGAAATCATGACATCAACAATTGTAGTTGGAGATTACAAAATACCCTTTTCAGAAAGTGGTATATCAAGCAGGCAAAAAAAACAGAGGTATTGAAACCTATCAATAAAATTAAGACACGTGAGCTATAATATACCATATACAGAACACAGAATCTTTGAAGTCTCACTAAATACCAAAGAAGAAATTTAACATCTCATTGCAAATCGAGTAACCATAATTATAATAATTTAGTTTTCTAATCAATATCTTGAGCTCATATGTTGTATATTATTCAATTTTACAAAAATTACCTGACAGTAAAGATTGAATGATGTTAAAAATAGCTATAATGTGTCAAACCTTGAGAAAAATAATTATAGTTATTTTAAAGTGATTATAAATAATAAGACACAAAAAATTACAAAATTTTAAAATAGGAGTGATTGAATGTTCCCACAAGTACCCATCATTTTTATGGCAAGTTTAAATTATATTTGTCTTAAAGAAGAATTTAGATTAATTGAAGGAAATATTAGGATTACATTTTTTTTCTGAGAGCTGAAGTTGTTGTGGAAATATTTTAGCTGTTGAGTTAAATATCAAGATCTGACACTGAATTTACATACCATCCTGTCCTTTACTGAAAACACAATGGATCTGTCCTTCATTTCATCATGCGCCAAACCAGTGGGGTTAATACTGTTCATTCTAGAGTCAGCGGCTATCTTATGCTCACCTCACGGATTTTCGCAGGGCTTCCATTTATCACTTTAAAAAGCAAAGACACAAAGTTACATAGCAGCCTGCATTCATCTGTAATATCACAGCTAATGTCCTCTCTGGTATGTGGTTATTAAGTTCATTGCTTTCAGTAGCCCCTTCACATTTACTGTCTTTGAATACCAGCTGAGTAAGATTACAAATTCTAGTCACAGCAGCTTATCTCAACCCTACGTGCTGCTTTCTAAAAAGCAGGTTCCAAGTGAGCAGGCATCATTAGGTATATTTTCTTCCCCTACACTAGTTTTAAAAAGCATTTGGATTTTTTTAAAACAAGTAAATTTCTTATTGATGGCAAAAATAATAATAATTTTATGTTGTACAGTATACAATCAGGTGATAAAATCAATACAATGGTAAGAAGCAAAGCAAATACATGACATCACCCATTAATTCCAGTGGAAGGATAAGAGCAAAAATACTTCATTTTAAAACAGCCCATGTGTTAACTAAAGTAATATGCAAATACTCTGACAATTATTGTCTGCTAACTGCAATAAGAGTGATTTAAAATATTACAAAAGGGCTGTTATAATCTATCAAATTATTCATAACTACTTACTTGCGAGCTCTAATTTCACATTAATATTTGCCATTTGCCTAAGTGATTCTAACCAAAATGAAGTCCAAACCATTTAAAAGGTTATTTATTAATTAGGCAGTTGATCGATGATTATAGACTGGAAAATTGTGACTTAATGTTTCAAAATTCTTGCTTCTCATTGTAAAAATGACAATTTTTCATTCAAAGACTCTAGACTTTCCTACGGTGATCGTCACGAAATTTATTCACTAGTCTGGTAGTTACTGGGCCTCTGTAATAAAACATTCTGTCAAGTTCCATTTACTTAAAATAAACAACAGAAGAAGTTGCTTAATCTCAAGCTTTCCACTGAAATAATATTTTTCTGTAATGACTCAAACAGAAAATACAGGTCTGTGTGTCATAAAGGAATTCAGCGCTGAGCACTTGCGGGCTCCCTTCAGGGTGATGAATCCCATCACATCATAGGTGCATAGGACTATCCTACCCTCCACGCCAGGGCTGTGGACTTCCTCAGCAGTGAGAGCAGGCAAACTTCCTGAACCGTGCACTATCCAGCAGCAGGCGGCTCGTCTTTAGACCCTTCCGGTCCAATATCCACCCTTCAAGCTCCTGGTATTGGCATGCTTAACTCTGACTGATTATACACATAGAAAATCAAAAGGCTCTGCAGATGAACATGTAATTAATAAGTGATTTTGGAGAAGTTGCTGGATATGTCAATACACACAACCAAGTGACTGCTGTATACCAGCAATTAACAATTAGAAAATTATCTTCTTAAATTTCATTAAAAATAGCATTGAAAATATCAGTGCTACTTTTGTGCCACTTCACCATGAAGATGCGTTCTTAGCAATGCACTATTAGACAGTTTCGTCATTGTGCAAACATAGAGTGCACTTACACACACCTAGATGGTGTAGCCCACTACACACCTCAGACCTCGGCTGTGTGGTGCAGCCTATTGCTCCTAGGCTACACACCCACCTGTGCAGCAGGTTACTGCACTGAACGCTGTAAGCACTCGTAACGCAATGGTCAGTATCTGTGTATCTAAAAGAATCTAAACATAGAAAAGGTACAGCAAAAATACAGTATTTTAAAATCTTATGGGACTGCTGTCATACATGCAGTCTATGATGGGCTTTAAAAAAAGGTATAAAACAGCCAGGTGCGGTGGCTCACGCCTGTAATCCCAGCACTGTGGGACTGTGTGGTGGGCAGATCACGAAGTCAAGAGATCGAGACCATCCTGGCCAATATGGTGAAACCCCGTCTCTACTTAAAAAAAAAATACAAAAATTAGCTGGGCGTGGTGGTGTGCACATGTAGTCCCAGCTATTCGGGAGTCTGAGGCAGGAGAATTGCTTGAAATCAGGAGGTGGAGGTTGCAGTGAGCCGAGATCACGCCACCGCACTCCAGCCTGGCAACAGAGTGAGACTCCATCTCAAAAAATAATAATAATAAATAAATAATTTTAAAAATAAAGGTATAAAACATCTTTTCTCTGAAAACTGCAAAATATTATTGAGAGATATTAAAGAAGACCAAAATCAATGCAAAGATATACATTGTTTCTAGGCTGGGAGACCCAGTACTGCAAAATATCAATGTTCCCAATGTGATTTACAAATTTCACCACAACGCCAATGAGAAGCTCCACCTTTTTTGTGCACCTGGATAAACTGATTCTAAAATATAAATGCCCAATGCAGTAGGCCAAGAATGGCTAAGAAAATCTTGAATAACAAAGTTGGAGGGCTTACAAAACTGACAATCAGACCTTATTTTAAAGTTGAACTATTCAAATCAGTGGGTTATTGGTGAAAGAGTAATAAATAGACCACAGGAACAGAAGAGAGAGTTCAAAAAATAAAAAAACACACACACACACACACAAAAAACAGGTATAGATATTCAATGTATAGCAAAGATGGTATTGTGGGGAAAAGCAGTGTTTTAATAAGTGAACATAAATTGGAAATCTATGTGAAAAAAGTTAATATTGACTTCTACGTTAGCCATAAGCAGAAGAATAAAAGACCTCAATTTGAAGGGAGAAGAAAATAGAAAAATATCATGTGTCCATAAAGTGGACAAAAACAGGACCCAAAAATCACTACTGAGAATTAGAATTGAATTAAAACCTTCTGTTTATCAAGATCCTGCTGCAAAGTAGGAGAAGATATATGTCATCAATATAACTGAAAGTTCATTATCAGAATATACAAGAAATTCCCACAAATCAATAAGAAAAATGCAAACAACCTTATATAAAAATAAACGAAAGACATAAACCTGGCTAGACCCCAAAGAGAAGACCGAAATGGCCAATCAGGGACACTTTAGGACGTGGAAAGAGGAGCGGTTGATTATTTTACCATGACAACTGATGTCAACGGAACTCTCTTGGGCAGCCTTCCGGCAAACATATGAAGAGTCTCAACTTAATTAGGGATCAGTAAAATGTCAACCAATGCCACAATGTAATACCATTACCAGAATATCTAATTTAAAAGAAAGTCATACCAAGTGCTGCCTAGCATGTGGTAGAACTAAATCTCCTACACTGCTGCAGGAGGGCTAATTATATGTTGGAAAATGTTGGCATTGTTTACCAAAGTAAAATATACATTTCCTGTGGTTCACCAGTTCTAGTCCTAGGGATATGCTCAACTGAGTTGTGTGCTAATGGGAACCCAAAGAAATGCACAAAAGTTATCCATACTAGTATTAGGCATAACAGTAAAAGAAACTGGAGGAAAGCTCTCTATTCATCATCAATACTGCCGATAGATTCTTAGATGCCCCATGCAATAGAAATATTATTCAGAAACGAAAACGAACCACTGCTGCACATGATCCCCAAAAGCACACTATTGAGCAACAGCAGCCCAGCTAAAGAGGAAGCATCCTTCTGTATTCCATACACATAAAGTTCTGAAACAGCCCAAACTCACCCCTGGAGGCAGCAGTCAGGGGAGCGGTCGCAGGGAGAGAAGCGAGGGTGAGCGATGGCAGAAGGAACTGCAATGGCCTTGCAAGAGCTTCCAGCAAACCCGTTTGGGAGCCCCGATGTGGACGATAATTCCTTTTTTTTTTTTTTCTTTTTTGAGACAGAGTCTCGCTCTGTCGCCTAGCCTGGAGTGCAGTGGCGCGATCTCTGCTCACTGCAAGCTCCACCTGCCGGGTTCACGCCATTCTCCTGCCTCAGCATCCCAAGTAGCTGGGACTACAGGCGCCCGCCACCACGCCCGGCTAATTTTTTGTATTTTTAGTAGAGGCGGGGTTTCACTGTGTTAGCCAGGATGGTCTCGACCTCCTGACCTCATGATCTGCCCGCCTCGGCCTCCCAGAGTGTTGGGATTACAGGTGTGAGCCACAGCACCAGGCCTTTTGTTTTCTTTTTTTCTTTTTTTTTTCTTTTTTTTTTTGTGAAGATGGGTTTCACCATGTTGGTCAGGCTGGTCTCAAACTCTTGACCTCAGCATGCATTTTATATTCTTCTTTTTTCTTGGTTTTGACTTTCTATTTATATTTTTGTTTTTACTCATTTATAATTTAATATTTTATTGCATATGTTCTTGTTTATAAAATGCTTGGGTAGAGAAAGGCAAAAATGAGGCAGGAAATTATTAAACATAGAAATAATAAATAATCCCAAAAAGTACCACTCTAGATTTTCATTTTAAATGCCCTAGCTTTTCAGCTGGCAATGTGACCTAAGGAAATGCAGTTATTTTATTGTGGTCTAGTTTCTTTCCCTAAACCAGGAGGGAATTGAGTTGGATACTGTCTGAGGTCCCTTGTACCACCAGGACTTAGCCATGAAATTTATGTTCACGTAACTTGGTATAATATCCTGAAAACATTTTCTGTTAAGTAAAGGATTTCATTCTTGGAAACTTATAGCTAAAAAATATTGATTGAAACTCTCAAGAGAGGCTGTGCTATTTTTTATACAAATAGCTAAATATGAATACTATGAATATTTCCCAACAGAAAAATGTGAAGAGTTGGAATCTTGTAGTCGTAGAAATGAGAAAGGCACTAGAGATTTCATGCTGCATTTTGCTTAGTTTAGGAGTCACGTCGTGGTTTACAAGAATTTAATACACAGAATAAATAGCACATAGCTGTGAGACAAAGTGCGTTACATTGTGACTTGAGATTGAACTAGATAAAAATAACTTCTCCCTACATCTTTGCACACAGAATAATCAAGGGAAAAAGTAATGTAGCTCATTTGTCTGACACTAAATAAAGTTTGCCTTCTACCTGAGGGATACATGGAAGGCTTTATTTATTTTATTTTATTTTATTTTATTTTTTGAGATGGAGTCTTACTCTGTTGCCCAGGCTGGAGTACAATGGTGTGATCTTGGCTAATTGCAACATCTGCCTCCCGGGTTCAAGCAATTCTCCCGCCTCAGCCTCCCAAGTAGCTGGGATTACAGGGATGCACCACCATGCCCAGCTAATTTTTGTATTTTTAGTAGAGACAGGGTTTCTCCATGTTGGTCAGGCTGGTCTCGAACCCCTGACCTCAGGTGATCCGCCCACCTCGGCCTCCCAAAGTGCTGGGATGACAGGTGTGAGCCACCGCACCCGGCCAGGAGTGCTTTATTGACATATCCATACCATCTAGTATGTGCCTTGAGATCAATATAAGGAAATAATTGTATACAAACTTTCCTTCAATCAAAAAATTACAATATTCTTTGGCAATCCTTTCCAGTTCAAGAGGATGCTTCTAAGTTGGCTTAATAAAGGGGTTGCAAACATTTGGATTAAACTTCCCAGTTAAGTGAGGTATTGAGAGCCATAGCTACTGCGGTTGATACTGATAATGACCATTACTCTCCTGAACAAGGGAATGTCCCAGGCTGATTGCAGCCTGCATTTTTCTTTTCCTTTCTATTCCTTTTTTAATATTTTGTATCTTTTAGGGTATTTTTTTGTTTTGTTTTTATTTTCCTCTCCCCAGCTCTTCAATATGCAGCTTGAATTTTTTTATCTATCGAACAGAGCCTCCCAGTAACAATCTTCAGACACTTTCCAGCTTTCCCCAAGTAGAGATATGGGTCATGCATAAATCTGGTCTTCAATGTTAAGCCAAGAGTTTTCAGTCCTCATGGACAGGTGCTAAGTAGCTGCACAAAATACCAAGTAATATAAAAAGAAGATAAAAGGAGACCTCTGTTCTGAAGAGTCACCAACTTAAAGTCACAGTCATTTGCAGCGGCTACTCACTTTCCATTTATTCCAACAATGCTCCCTACCATCCTTTTATGTAAGTTAAGATGTCACATTGCTTGTGTCTTGAGACCACAGTGAAAGCATGAGGATGGGGGAGTACCGTACGTAAATGAAGAGTAGATAGGCTTCAGTCTTTACTTTGCTAACTCCAAGTACCATTGTTTCTGAAAGAAAGTCCTGATACTACTAATGAAAACCCAGAGTTCTTACTGTCACACAGGCATCTGATTACACAAGTACTCTTGGAATTCAAATAAAAAATCACAGAATGTGGCTAAATGAGGGCTTTAGGACAAGCCCTCCTAAAAAGCAAGTTCCTCAGAAGAGAAACTCAGATGTGACTCCAATTCCTGATAACTGCCTCTACTGATCTATTCTAAGGCCCTTTGTACAACAAATAAAGATATAATTCTTCTTATTCACCACAGTTCATGTTAATATATTTGACAAATCATTTAGAACTTTTTCCAACTTTAATGAGTCTTCCTCAGTTCCAAAAATTGGATCTGAATGGAGACAAAAACAAACATATATAACATTTAAAATATCGACAGTTGAGTTTGCTATTTATGAAACCTTAACTATTTGCTGCTTATGTTGCATAGATAATTCATCTGAGTCGAAAAGTTCTTATTTTATAAATTGTGCTTAACTGCAAACTTCAAGAAGTTAAAAAATTCAACACCATATACACTCATGCATTGCTTAATGATGGGGACAAATTCCAAGAAATGCATCATTAGGCAATTTTTGTCCTTGTGTGAACATCACAGAGTGTACACAAACCTAGATGGTACAGCCTCTGGACACCTGGGTTACGTGGTACAGTCTACTGCTTCTAGGCTACAAACCTGTACTCAACACTGTGGTTAACTGTAACACAGCGGTAAATATTTGTGCATATTACCATATCTCAACATAGAAAAGGTAATGCTTTGTGATATGTCATTATGACAGCTATGATGCCATGAGGTAATAGAAAATGTGCAGCTCTCTGTATAATCGTATAGGACCATACTATTTAGGTGGCCTATCACTGACTACATGTGCACGTCTTTAAAAAGAGTCTAAGAGCCTTAAAGATAATGTAGACTCTTTCCCACTCTTTCCCTTTACTGATTTCCCTCTGAATATATCAGCACAGCCTTTCCTGTGGCTCTAGACTCTAAGGCTTCTTCTTGGTTCTTTGTACTTTTCCCACGTGCCACCAGACCCGGTGGAGAACAGTTTTGTATTCTTGATTACATAACCTCCTGATTTAGTTTTCCTTTGTAGTTAGCTGTTCCATCTCTCTTACCCTTACCCTGTCTTCCAATAAAACTGGACAATGAATACCTTGGAGTCAGGAGGAAGATCTGCTGTCAAGACAACAAAAAGCCAAAGCCCGGGCGAGGCTATGAAGTTCAGTTGCATTCAGAAATGCTAGTTAGTATCAGCCTGAGGTGACTGAGTACTTACCATTTTCCAGGGCTCTTCCAAGCGCTTTACATGTACAGAATCATTTACTGCTCCTATATTTTCACTGAATTCATTAATATTAGTTTGCCATGAAAGACTGGAAAACAGAAGTTAAATAATTTGTTCCAAGACACACAACTAGAAAATATCAGAGTCAGTTTCCTATGCTAGGGTGACTAGCTATAGAACCTAAGCTGTTAAACACTAAATCATATAAGCACTCTAAACAAATTAAAAATATTCCATCCATATTTTCCACTCTGCATGGCAGGTTGTGGAGTAGGAAAAGTGATGAGAGGAAAAGAAGAAAGTAGAACAGGAGGAAAATGTCATTGTTCGAAAGGCAGTCAAAACTTTAGAAACATCCAGTGAGGAACGGAAAAACAAGGCATTCTGGATTTTCAGCTCAATTTCCCAAGATAGTACAAGAGGGAGGCTGCAGATCTACTTAGATCCCAGCTCATCTCTATAAGTTGAAACAAAGGACAAAGAGTTGGTTACAAAGGGTGACAAATAAATGAATCTAAAATATCATATTTTGGCTGGGCACGATGGCTCACACCTGTACTCCCAGCACTTTGGGAGGCTAAGGCAGGTGGATCATTTGAGGTCAGGAGTTCAAGACCAGCCTGGACAACATGGTGAACCCCCGCCTCTACTAAAAATACAAAAAAAAAAGCTGGGTGCGGAGGGTGTGCCTGTAATCCCGTCTCCTCGGGAGGCTGAGGCAGGAGAATCACTTGAACCCGGGAGGCAATGGTTCCAGTGAGCCAAGATCGTGCCATTGCCCTCTTGCCTGGGCAACAGAGTGAGATTCCATCTCAAAAAAAAAAAAAAGGCATGTTTTCTTATAAAAAAGATGCAAAGCAAACAGGCTGGGCGCGGTGGCTCATGCCTGCAATCCCAGCACTCTGGGAGGTTGAGGTGGGTGGATCACGAGGTCAAGAGATCGAGACCATCCTGCCCAACATGGTGAAACTTTGTCTCTACTAAAAATACAAAAATGAACTGGGCGTGGTGGTGCACACCTGTAGTCCCAGGCACTCAGGAGGCTGAGGCAGGAGAATCACTTGAACCCGGGAGGCAGAGGTTGCAGTGAGCCAAGATCGCGCCACTGCACTCCAGCCTAGTGACACAGCAAGACTCTGTCAAAAAAAAAAAAAAAAAAAGATGCAAACAGACTTTGAGGACTTGTGGCTGAGACTGGGAGAAGAGACTGCAGTTTATGTGGATTTAGGAGTGGAGACTAATAGCCAGAATCACCATTCCAGTGGTCAGTGTCACACACCAACCAAGGATAGACATACAGGTTAGTGGAAGGAACTCAGAGTCCAGAAATAAACCATCCGTTGATGGCCACTTGATTCTCAGCCTCAACCTGCTAGGCTTACACTGACCTCAGCCCCACAAGTAGCTGGGACTACAGGTGCATGCCACCATTCCTGGCCGATTTTTAAAAACTTTTGGTAAAGACAGGGTCTCACTATGTTGCCCAGGCTGGTCTCCAACTCCTGAGCTCAAGCAATCCTCCCCTTCAGATTCACAAAGTGCTGGGATTACGGTCATGAGCCACTGTGCCTGGCCCCAAAAGTACTTTATATTTTTATATATGCTTTAAAAAATTTGTCAGCAGATGGGGGCTCTTACTGGTTAAATTGTGTCTGCCAAGAAGATATGCTGAAATCCTAAACCCTGGTACCTAAGAATGTGACTTTATTTGGAAATAGGGTTGTTGCAGATATAATTAGTTAAAATGAGGCCATTCTGGAGTAGGATGGACCTTCGTCCAATTAACTGGTATCTTTGTAAGAAGACAGAGACGCACAGGGAGAACGTTTATGGGATGACAGAAAGATTAGGGTCATGCGGCTGTGAGTCAAGGAACACCCCCAATTAACATTCACTACCAGGAGCTAGGAAGAAGAAAGGAAGGATTCTACCCAGAGTCTTGGAGGTGGGCGTGGCCCTGCTGATGACTAACTTTTGCACTCCTGGCCTCCAGTGCTGTCAGAAAATACACTTCTGATGTTTTAAGCCACACACGTGTGGTATTTTGTTACAGAAGCCCTGGAAAATGAACTCAAGGGTTCGTAGAGAAGATCAGATGAGCTACAGAGGTGTAATTGTGTGTATCTGAGTATTGCATGAGCAAGATGAGGACGCTTGTGCAGAAGAATGGCATCTGAAGTGAGCAAGCCATTACTGTGTGCCTAGCACTGCTCTAAGCAGTTTATAACCCCCATTTGATTTAATACCAAGTACCATCTAGCACTCCAGCCATATGAGTTAAGTTCTACCGCTATCCTCAGTTTAGAGACAAAATATGCACTAATTCTGTTGAAATAATTATCCTTTCAAGGGATGTATTATTCTGCTCTCGGATTCTTTCTGGTGAATAATGAAGCTTTTTGCCATTATGCAGCTTTCATGGTATTAAGTACTAGAAATTTAAATGTTCAATTTCAATGAGAAAAGTAATTGGCAACCCTCTTCTTTCTTCAAAACTTGTTATATCAAAGTTAAATCTATAATAAAAAGAACAATACAGACCTGGTCTGTCATACATTCTGTATGAATGTATAGCACGTTCATGTAATGTGCTAATAATCACCATATAAAATAAATTAAAATGACTCAAATATTACCCTGATTACGATGCACAGAGAAAAGCCTTTTTAAACTATTATCTTCAAAACAAACACCTGCTTTAGGTATACTGATTACAGGTTTAAAAAAACTAAAACTATAATTTAAATTAAACCCCCAGAGAGCATTCTAGCTTTTCTACTTTAGGAAATATTTCAATTCCTTGATGCCAATAATTATTGGATGTTTTACTCTTATATTCTACCTATTTCTATTTTTACTTTCTTTGTTCATAAAGTATTTCAAAACAGCTACAAAATACAAGAAAAACAGAAGAGCTAAGAATCTTACAATGCCGATGTGTCCACACCATGCTTGGAAAACCAGAGGATCTCTCAGTTCCTCCAGACATCTGCTTTACAATGGAGTGGTTTCTTGCTGAATGAATATTAACTTCAGAGAGAGGCAGCAAATGCCATTTCTCCACCTCCAGATTTTTCTAATTCATATTCTTCGTGCTGAAAGCAAACACATCGGTTTGAATTTGCTTCATTCTTGCATACCCTCATTTCAAAATATCAAGAGCTTCCATTGTTGGGCAAGCCCTAAAGCCTAGCGATTGATTTTTGCCATTATTATTCGTTATTATCAGTTTACACACTCTATCAACGTCAGCAGAGTGGGCTTTAGAATTTAACTGTTTAACAATAAACATGAAGTAACACAAGCACAGGCCCCAGGTTTTACACTTGCACATGTATTGTGCCTCCGAATTTACAATTTTTCCTTTGCTGTAATACAACATATAATACATCTATAGAGTGATAAAGCTTTGTAATTATTATATAATTAAGCAGATAAAACACTGATATATACAGCCAATAAAGTGCTTCTGGAATCTAAAACATTGTGAATTATAAAAGACAGTTAGATTGATAGAAACCACACAGTGAAGAACTTTGCTGTGCAGAGAAGTTATAGGACACAGGCCTGCAGAACAGCTTCAACAGGAGCTGGGCCACGGCTTCTGACAGGAACTGGTATGAAGACGCAGAAGACCACATGGTCATATCCCTTTAGCTTTCCAACATAATGGAATTACCAGCCTTTCCCCTCCACCCGCCCCCCACAAGCAAAAGGAGACCACAAGAACACACTTTTGTCCCAAGCTGAACAGTACAGAGGACTGGAGATCAGTGGCTTTACATACACAAGTATATTTGTTCATACATTCAATTAACAAGTATTTATTGTTAGGTAGTAATGATATTAAAATACAAAAGACACTGTTCCTGCCTCTAGGAGATCACTCCCAAGTTAGCAGAGTGTGTAGCCATCTCAATGCAGGAGTGTAAGGCATGGATTAGCTATTAATTGCTGAGTAACAAATCACACCAAAACGCAGCCATTTAAAACAGCACACATTAGTGACTCAGAGTTTCTCTGTGGCTTAGCAGTGTCCTGTGTCTTGGTCTCTCACAAGGTTACAATCAAAACGTCAGCCCGACTGGGCAAGGTGGCTCATGCCTGTAATCCCAGCACTTTGGGAGGCCGAGGCGGGTGGATCGTGAGGTCAGGAGTTCGAGACCAGCCTGGCCAAGATGGTGAAACCCCATCTCTACTAAAAATACAAAAAATTAGCCAAGCACAGTGGCAGGTGCCTGTAATCCCAGCTACTTGGAAGGCTGAGGCAGGAGAATCTCCTGAACTTGGAAGACAGAGGTTGCAGTGAGCTGATATCATGACACTGCATTCCAGCCTGGGTGACAGAGTGAGACTCCATCTCAAAAAAAAAAAAAAAAAAAAGGTCAGCCCGAGGTCTGCAGCTTCATCTGAAGACTGAACTGTGAAAGATTCCCTTCTAAGCTTACTCAGTGATTTTTGGCAGCAATCAGTCCCTGTGGGCTCCTAGACTGAGGGCTGCAGTGTCTGCTGTCTGCTAGCAGAGGCCACCCTCGGTTCCTTGCCATGTGGGCCCCTCCTACACAGCAGCTTTCTTCATTATTACATGCAAGCCAAGAAGGCGGGAGAGAAAGCCTGCTAACAAGCTGGAAATCATGGATTTTCATAAACTAACCACATAAGCAGCATTTCATTTATTTTGCTGTATGTATTGGTTTAGAATTGAATTATTACTTACAGTCCACCCACAAGGGCAGATTACACAGGCATAAATACCAGGAGGTAGAGATTACTGGAGGCTGTTTTAGGAGTCTGTCTACCAAAGGCACTAAGATGATCTCCATCCCACAGTTACTTTTACCACCAGTAATCCATGCTCTCTAAGATCTTGACTAGCGGAGTCGCTTTGGAGCACTGTGAACCTGCGTTTTCTAAGGCGTCCTTTATTTTGAAAGTATACTACAGTGGCTAGGTTAGACTATTAGCTCTCCAGTAAGTGCCAAGCTGTGGGACACAGGAAAGAAAACCTTTGATGAGATGCAGTGACAAAAAAAAAATATGTATCATGGAATACGAGATGGTGGCTGAGAGAATGGGCCTGGAGCATAGCCTATGGAGAGGAAGGGAAATGGGAGGAGAGGTAGCCTGAAGTCTTTATTGACTGTCTGATACAGATATGAAGGATAAGGCTACCCCTAAAACCAGCTTGGCCGTGGTCCCTTGGTATTTCTTTCTGCCACTCGTGCCTCTATGCTTGTCACTGGTGATTAGATGGGTAGAATTTGGAACCATGGGGGAGCTTCTTTATCATGCCCCACTCTATAAGCGAAGAGAGAGAGATGAGTGGTGTCAGAGCTTCAAGAATAGAAATGCCAATTACAGTTTTCCTTAGGAATTATCATTTAGTGCTTTAAAAATGGTTCTGCCTATGATGAATATTTAATTTTTACCAAACAGCCAGTGCATGCTTGACTGGGTTAGCGAACTCAGGATGACAACAGTGCATTGTTCAGCATGTACGGGCCCAGGACTGAGAATCTTTCGCCAGTCACAGCTAGGTGTCATTCCCGCCAATACATCTACTCAGGAACTGATTTTCAGTTCTGCTACTAAAGGTAGGCAGCCCACCCTGCATCCTTTGCTTTTCTCTTTGCTACGAATGTATGCAGTGCCAGCTCTGCAGTGGAAGAGGGTGATGGTGCCATATGTGTGTCCCTTCACTAGACCGTAAGCTCCTATTCATCATCGTGCCCCTATTTCTGATGCATACAAGCCACTCATTAATGTTACAGAGGAGGTTAATGGATCATGGTGAAATGCAGGTCCTAGAAGCAAATGGAGCAGCTTCCAGGACTTCCAAGGTCTGTTTCTGTTCTTAATGAATTTGCTAAAAATAAGGATTTGATTTACCAAGGTCACTAGAGACACAATTTCTGAAATGATCTACTTGACAAAACCATATTATAATAATCTTTTTTTTTTGAGATGGAGTCTTGCTGTGTCACCCAGACTGGAGTGCAGTGGCACGATCTTGGCTCACTGCAACCTCCACCTGCTGGGTTCAAGCAGTTCTCCTGCCTCAGCCTCCCAAGTAGCTGGGGTTACAGGCGCCTGCCACCACGCCCAGCTGTTTTGTATTTTTAGTAGAGATGGGGTTTCACCATGCTGCCCAGGCTGATTTCGAACTCCTGACCTCAAGTGATCCGCCTGCCTCGGCCTCCCAAAGCTCTGGGATTACAGGCATGAGCCACCGCGCCTGGCCAATCAATTTTTTTAAAGAGATAGTTATTGGTTTCATATTTTATAAATTAGGGATCATTGTCTCATCCCATGTGACTTCCATTATAATACTTAATTTAGGAAGCTATAGCATAAACAAATACTTTGATTTCCAAGACATTGACTATGACAAGTTAAGTGTATTACAGACCAGTCACTGTCATATGGCTCAGATCAATTACAGAGGAGTATTGGAAGGCTGATGAAATACATCTTAAATTATCTGTTTCCTCAAAGATATCCATTCAATCATGGTAACTTTAATTTTTTAAATCAGTATTCCTAGGAAAAAGATTAACTTTGAATATATTTTCAAATAAACAGTATTTAACTAGACTTCTTCTCTAATTCAACTTTGCTTAAGTTTGGACTAGATACCCATTTGCCCACAGTAGATAATTTACAAAAAACAGACAGAAAACACCAATGCCTTTATTTTACATCGAAAGTTTAAACGTAGCAATACTACTTTGATCTTAACTAGTGAATCAAGCATGCATACTATGGCAAAGGTTAATCATTGTTCTCCCAAATCTGTGTTGTCATTTTCTCTCTCTCTCTCTCTTTTTTTTTTCTTTTTGAGATGGAGTCTCTCTCTGTCGCCCAGGCTGGAGTACAGTGGCGCAATCTCAGCTCACTGCAACCTCTGCCTCCTGGGTTCAAGCAATTCTCCTGCCTCAGCCTCCTAAGTAGCTGATATTACAGGTGTGCACCACCATGCCTGGCTAATTTTTTTTTTTTTTTTTGAGAGGAAGTCTCTCTCTTGTCCCCCAGGCTGGAGTGCAATGGCATGATCTCTGCTCACTGCAACCTCCGCCTCCTGAGTTTAAGCGATTCTTCTGCCTCAGCCTCCCACGTAGCTGGGATTACAGGCACCTGCCACCATGCCCTGCTAATGTTTGTATTTTTAGTAGAGATGGGGTTTCACCATGTTGGTCAGGCTGGTCTTGAACTCTTGACCTCATGATCCGCCCTCCTTGGCCTCCCAAAGTGCTGGGATTACAGGCATGAGCCACCATGCCTGGCTCATTTTCTTTTTATGTAAGAAACGAGCCTGCATCTCCCAACCTCCCTTGTGGCTACGAGCTCTAGTCAATGACATCTGAGTGCAAGGGACACGTTCCACTTCCAGATCTTGTCTATAAAACTCACAAACACACTCACCCATGTTTGTTTTCTCTTCCAGATACTAGGGATGAAGGCAATTAGGACAATCTTTGAAGCCATTATGACAGTCTTTGAAGATGACAGTCTCTTCCACACCAGCTGCCTAGGCGATTATATAGGAGAGAGCCTCCCAATAGACACCCCCATCCAGGACTGCTTCATGAGCTTCAAATGAACTGTTATTTGTGAGGATTTTTTTGTTACAGCAGCTAGCATTATGATGACTAACATATGCACACAATTATGTAGGGATTTGGATCAGAAATATCCAAGGCTTAGAGTAGTATCTCTCAGTTATGCAAAATGTGTTCATTCTTGTGGATTATATTAATAATTTGAATTTATTTATATAGATAAGACCTACACAGGAAAGTAATTATTATCAGGTTGTTACTTCCTTTAAGAAAGCATATCAAATATTTATATATGCCCAGGAGTAACAAACGATATCACTGATTAAATATTTTGTATAGCCCCAAAGAAAGAAAAATTTTAAAAATCTCTCTGGTCATTTGTCTTCCATACTGTGGGAGAAAAAAAAGTGGGGAGGGGAGGGAATTGCTAGCAGACTCATATTCCCTACAGTCATATGAATTTAGAAACTGTAATTTTGTGGTATATTACAGCAACATAAAAAAACTTCTTAAATCAGAATTAATTTTTATTGCCAAATAGAATCTCTCTGGAAATAGAGTTTATAATGAAATTACTGGTAGATTTTTAACCATAATGGTGAAAATGAAAAGACTGCAGCAATTTAAAAAGAGTTTTTTGGTTTGAGGTCTGTCAAAACAACAAACTGTATGTTTCTTATTTGGTTGGTTGTTCATTAATGCTTTATTAAATATTCAAAATCTGCGGTTCCAGCTAATTTGGTTTTACCTCGCCCAAGGTATTAAGCATTCGGTGTTATTAAACTTTTGAAAGGGCATTTGTCACACTAGATGAGCAAGCAGTAAAGAAATATGCAGAAATGAGCTTCCTACTGAGTTATTTACTTGGAATAAGCGTATCCTATAAAGTGTTCGGCCTAAAGTATTTAACTATAGCAACCCAAGAACCACTAAAACTGCGGCTGCACAGAGAGTTCACCAAAATTTAGTACAGACAACAGCACAAAGAAAAACTTAACTCTGTGTAACTGCAAAGCAACAAAGTCAAAGTACTAAAGGCAAAAACAAAACAAAACCAATAAAAAGGTGAAAGAGTATTAAAGCAAAACTTCTGCAATTGCACTAATCATTGGACAAATAAAGAAAGTTGAAATGTAATATAACAGGTTACTTTTTATTAGTATTTCCCAGTTTACAAAATTCACGTTACTTTTATACTCTAGGTAAAACAGAAATTATCACTACTTTACAGATAAACTATTTAATGGTTCTCTAAAATATCGTTTATGCAACAAAAGTAATAATTTTCAATGCTTTAGGTCACTTACCTTCTGACTCACTCAAGGAACAAAAATAAGTGATGTTTTCCATCTTAAATTACAAACTATAATTTTATGGTTCATTTATACCACAAACATAAAAGTGTTGAAGAGACTGAGGAATTTAGTCAACTTCTCATAATTGGTTTGACTAAAGCCAAAGTTTTCTTTCTGATTTCTAATCCAGGCTTTTGCCACTAATAGCCTGCTATGAAAAAGACCTGTCTTTTTCTCAATATACCACCTGAGTTAGATGACCCCCTAAAATGCATATATTCATTAATCAAATCATTCCTGTCACCTCCTATGTAACGAGCAGTGAAGGAGACCAGGTACCGAAGTCACAATGGCGCAGATGTGGTGCTTGTCCTCATAAAGCTTAGAGCCTAGAAGTGCACATTTTCTAAAGGAGATACTGGTGGCGTCTATGTGTCAAGACAGCGAGACAGACTTAATTTCCTCTGTATCATGTTCCATTTAGAATGTAATTTCCTGTGATAGCCATCATCATTCTTCAAGTTTAGGTTTGGAGGTTAAATGTTTCAGGCTCAATATTCCACAGACATCACACCTGAGATGGGGCAGTTGAAACTTGGAATCTTGGATGGTGGCTATGAGGACCAGCTTGTTTAACTCTGGGTGGAGAGAGCTGAAAAGAAATATGGTAAACTAAACGGCATCTCTTCCATTGACAGATAAGCCCTCACAGAAGAGGAGTGCATTTATCTTACTTGCCCTCCCTAATTCTTCCAGCGAGGGGCATACTTGTGCCTCCCTAAGTTGACTCAGAGTCCTGTCACAATTCTCCCACTAATTCACACAGCCACGCACCCTGTTAAGACATACTGAGCACCTACTCTGTGCCAGCATCCATTATACAGCTGATGATGACAGTGACAACACCGTGAACGAAACAGATGCAAAATCCTCTCCTTGTGAAGCTTCCGTGCAGTCAATCAACACGTCCTACGGGCAAAATGAATATTAGGTTAGTGGCAGGTGCAAGAAGTGCCTAACGCAGAGGTAGGAAGTACAAACCGCAGGAGCTGGGGACAGGGCCTGTTTGAAGTTCAGACGGGGAGCAGGAAGGGCTCCGTGAGGGGACCTTGGTTCACATCAGCAGGTGCCTAAGATAAAGATTTCCCTTAAGTAAACATGGTTAATGCAGGAAATGCACCGCTGCCTGGGTCCACCCCTGTGAACCGGCCTCCCCCAACTGCAGCGCTGCCCAACTGCAGCCTTCCACAAAGTTTCTGCCCCCCTCTTCCATCCAGACCTTTATCCTATGACCGGGTTGGTAGCTCTCTCCCCTGCCCTGCGTCCCTGCTCTCTTTAAGACCCCGTCATACTTGACATGTTAACACGTTAATCTTTCACAACATGCCATGCACCAATCCACCACATGTTACATACATAACATACACTTAATCTTCACTACAACCCCGTGAAGTAGTCACTGTTAACATCCCTTGTTTACAGAGGAGGAAACAGTTTAGACACTGCATTAGGTCACACATAAGTAAGAAGCAGGACTGGCATTTGAACCGGTTGGAATGAGTGAATGCTGTTATATTGTCTTTTGATCTAGGAGTGATGCGGCACCAGGGACTGGGTCTTTTGTCCTGACAGGTCTCAGGAAACAATCCCGCAATTGTGGTGCTTGGCCTGGGAGTACATTGAACTAAAGGAGATTGGAAGGCCTCAGGAGCAGCCTCAGCAGCAAAGTGGCTCTCTGACCTTCTCCCGTCCTCCTGCCTCCCACTGCTCTTTCTCCCCCAAAGCGAGTCAGAGCAACCAGAATTCCTCTTCCCCAAGGCAGGTCTCACAAACTAGGACCCCTCTCCCCAAAAGACAGCCTTAAAACCTTAAACAGTCGTTCTCTCTCCCCTCCCTTGAAGACCCTCATTCTAGAGGGTCCTGCCCCACACGAGGAGGAAGGAGCGCTGTGCAAAGAGGCCAGGAAGAGCCTGCACCGACAGGTCTCCATCTGTTACCATCAGATCAGACCCTCCTGTCCGGTCACACTGCTGCACGGCTGTCCATCCGTCATCTAACTGAAGCACAAAAATGGTTTTTCCTGAGTGTTTGGATCCTCATTTCTGAAGGCTCCTGCGTCACATAAAAGTTGGATTAAATAAGTTTGTTATGCTCCTCTCTTGTTAACCTGTCTTTTGCTGTAGGAATGTCAGCCATGACCGTTATGACAGGTGAGGAAAGAGATCATGCCTTTCTGCCCCTGTAATCCTTATTGCCGAATCGTGGCACAATGCTCATTGCAGGATCCTGGTATAGACCTGCCGTTCTGAGCCACACCACAGCGCGGTATTTTGACCCCATGAACATATTGTCTGGACAGACAGCCCGATGCTGTCATCTAACCCCCGCACGGTGACTTCCTGGCTGTGTGTGCTACCTAGTGACAAGGTATCTCTTTCCAGTAGTTCCAGGTACATGGGAAAGACTGGAGAGACCTTTGGATTCCAGAACTGGCATGATGCATCTCAGAGCAAGGCCTTCTAGCTGAGTCTTCTTTCTCTGCATAATGCTTGTGTGAGAGAATAGCAGGGGTGTGGTGGGATGGGGCAGGGATCCCTACAAAGACCTAGATGAGAAAGGGAACAGCAAGAGCTGAAGTTATGTGAACGCTCATTGCTACCAGGCACTCTCCTAAGTACTGTTCACGTAGTAACTCACTTAAAGAGGGATGAACCGGCTGCGCGCAGTGGCTCACGCCTGTAATCCCAGCACTTTGGGAGGCTAAGGCAGGCGGATCATGAGGTCAGGAGTCGAGACCAGCCTGGCTAACATGGTAAAACTCTGTATCTACTCAAAATACAAAACAAAAAATAAAAATAAAAATAAAAAAATTAGCCGGGTGTGGTGGTGCAGGCCTGTAATCCCAGCTACTTGGGAGGCTGAGGCAGGAGAATCACTTGAACCGGGAGGTGGAGGTTGCAGTGAGCCAAGATCATGCCTCTGCACTCCAGCCTGGGTGACAGAGCAAGACTCTGTCAAAAAAAAAAAAAAAGAAAGAAAAAAGAAAAAAAAGAGGGATGAACGTAGAGGCCGCTGTGCTGAGTGAGATAAGGCAAATACTGCTTGATCTCACTTGTACGTGGAACCTCAAGAAGTGTAACTCATAGAAACAGGGAGCAGAGGGTGATACCAGAGGCCAGGAGGTGGGGCGGGAATGGAGAGGTGTTAGTCCAAGGGGACAAATTTGCAGGCATCAGATAATTAAGTTCTGGACATTGAAACATACAGCTTGGAGTTAATAACAATACATTATCTACTTGAAAATAGCTGAAAGAATAAATCCACACATTAAGAGATGGTGTGAGGTGATGAATATGTTAATTAGCTTGATTGTGGTCATCATTTTATCATGTGAATGTATATCAAAACATCACATTGTACACCTTCAATAGATAGGATTTTTAGTTGTCAATCATATTTCAAGAAAGCTGAAAACAAATTTTTTCAATAGGGATATTGACCTGCCATACCATCTTCACAGGGGTAATCTGTGAAGCAGGTTTAAGCAAATGAAGGAAGATTATGAAGTGGAGAGTGGAGAAGTCCAAAACACTTTGATCTTTGAAATATGAATGGAGATACAAGAAGAAAATACTTTCAAAACTGAGAGCAATGCTCTGTTGACCAAAGGTTATTAGATGTAGACATAGATATAATAGGTATATACATACACGCATATATATATATATTTAACATTTGGTACACCCACACACACACACACATCATACCTTTGTTCTGGGAAATCACTCGAATGAATAATTTAGCTATGCAAATGAAAAGGAGCAATATCTGTGGCTCCAAGGAGAAAAACTGCTCTGCACAAGCATGGGGAGAAGTTGCGTGAGTAGTGGGCTGAATTGCATCTATGCACACTGCTGCTGTTGTTACCAACAAACTGAAATTTGCATTAGGTATAAACTGAGACCACCACGCTCCTGAAAACTATTAGTTGTGGCCGGGCGTGGTGGCTCACACCTGTAATCCCAGCACTTTGGGAGGCCAAGGTTGACGGATCATGAGGCCAAGAGATCGAGACCATCCTGGCCAACATGGTGAAACCCCATCTCTACTAAAAATACAAAAAAAAAAATTAGCTGGGTGTGGTGGCAGGTGCCTGTAGTCCCAGCTACTTGGGAGGCTGAGGCAGGGGAATCACTTGAACTTGGGAGGTGGAGGTTGCAGTGAGCCAAGGTCACACCACTGCACTCCAGCTTGGCGACAGAGCAAGACTCCGTCTAAAAAAAAAAAAAAGGCCAGGCACAGCGGCTCACACCTGTAATCCCAGCACTTTGGGAGGCCAAGGCGAATGAATCACCTGAGGTCAGGAGTTTGAGACCTGCCTGACCAACATGGAGAAATCCCATCTCTACTAAAAAAAAAAAAAAATACAAAATTAGCTGGGTTTGGTGGTGCATGCCTGTAATCCCAGCTACTCAGGAGGCTGAGGCAGGAGAATCGCTTGAACCCGGGAGGCAGAGGTTGCAGTGAGCTGAGATCGCGCCATTGTACTCCAGCCTGGGCAACAAGAGTGAAACTCCATCTCAAAAAAAAAAAAAGTATTAATTGTTCAAGTGAAGAGTTTATCTTTTCAAGCTGATGTCAGTAGAAAATCTGAAGCTAAGAGTCCTGAGGAAGCTACGGGCGCATGAGCAGAGCCCTGGGGGACTCTGATCCCAGTGTTCTAGGTCTGCACCCAGCTGGCAGCACAGCCCGGCAGGGCAGAGGGTCTCTCTGCCTATCACTGCAAGAAAGTTGTGCTCACAGCCCTGTCGTCAAGGGAAGCATATGGAGGTGGAGGCACTGGAGAAACCTTGGCATGGCCTTGGCAGCCTCATGCATGGAACAGTGCAGTGATGTTGCTCCTTCAGGCAGCTTTGAGGACAGTGACAGTATCTCCAGCCACCTGGGGCTTGGGAAGAGACTGTGGCTCCAATCATGGGAACGATGCTGGAAGGGCTGGCCTGTGAATGCCCATAGTACACACCATATCACTTTGGGAAATTCCAGTAGGTAGTATTTCACAAGGGTTGGGAATATCCAGAAGTCAAGCTGTCCTTGACCTTGGCATAATTGTAATGCAGGCATTAAATACTGGTGTATCCCATTTGCACTCCCAGGAATAAGCCTAAGCTCTGTGGTTATACAGCTTTTTAAATGTCACCTTTATTAGGGTCTGAAACAAAACAGTCTCTGTTCACTCTGATGTCTTCAAAGGGAAGAAGGAGTCAAAGCCTTAAAACTCTTCTTCAACTTCCCAAACAAAGCTTTAACAATCTCTGACCTCAGCCTTAGCATTCCTCAGTTGGAGAGCAATTTTATTTCCCTCCTCTGTGGTACGTTTCTGACGTGTTTTTATTTTCCCAGTAACTGTATATTTCCCATGTCATTATTTTTAAGCCCCCAAAAATGAGGGAAAAAATGAGATTGTCAATATCTATGCATATATAAAGAGGGCCAGTGCAGTGGCTCACGCCTGTAATCCCAGCACTTTCGGAGGCCAAGGCAGGCTGATCCCAGAGGTCAGGAGATCGAGATCAGCCTGGCCAACATGGTGAAACCCCATCTTTACTAAATACACAAAGTTAGCTGGGCGTGGTGGTGCACACCTGTAATCCCAGCTACTCGGGAGGCTGAGGAAAGAGAATTGCTTGAACCCGGGAGGCGGAGATTGCAGTGAGCTGAGATCAAATCACTGCACTCCAGCCTGGGCGACAGAGTGAGACTCCGTCTCCCAAAAAAAAAAAAGGGAAAGAAAGAGAGTAACACAATTTTCTGTGTGTTTTTTTTTTCTGTTCAACATTTAAAGAAAAATTTTACAAACAATTGTTTTTAGCAAGTTTTGCTCAATGGATTTCATACATTAACATTGATTACAAGCAAAATATGTCAGTTATTCTCAGAAGATACAGACACACACAAATTCCTACATGGATCCAAAGAGCTATAACAACAACAGAGTGTGATGCTAAGTTATATAATTGTGAAAATGTTAAAGTGAATGAAGGGGATGCTGACCACTCCGTTGCATGGGTGATCCTCTGTGGAAGTTTATATTTAAGAGGCCAGAATTGTTTCTTTCTCGACCACAGTAAACACACATTGCTATGTAATTTCCGGAGTGAAGATACTAAATATACTTTCTAAATTGTATCCCCAAAAGCCCGGCAGAAGCAAACACTAAGACATATGGAGGGCTAAGCTGCTAGGGAAAGCAGGGGTGATGATAAACAAATGCGCAATAGGTTTATTTATTTATTTATTTGAGACAGAGTCTCCCTCTGTCACCTAAGCTGGACTGCAGTGGCATGATCTCAGCTCACTGCAGCATCTGCCTCCTGGGTTCAAGCGATTCTCCTGCCTCAGCCTCCTGAGTAGCTGGGATTACAGACGTGTGCCATCACGCCTGGCTAATTTTTGTGATTTTAGTAGAGATGGGGTTTCACCATGTTGGCCAGGCTGATCTCGAACTCCTGACCTTGTGATCCGCCTGCCTCAGCCTGGCAAAGTGTTGGGAGTACAGGCATGAGCCACCACACCCGGCCTATTTATTTATTTATAAGACAGGGTCTCTCTCTGTCGCCCAGGCTGGAGTGCAGTGGCATGATCTCGACTTACTGCAGCCTCTGCCTCGTGGGTTTGAGCAATCCTCCCACTTCAGCCTCCTGACAATCTGGGACAACAGGTGCCTGCCACCACTCCTGGGTATTTTGGGGTTGTTGGTTTTTGTTTTTTGTAGAGACAGGGTTTCACTATGTTGCCCAGGCTGGTCTCAAACTCCTGGGCTCAAGGGATCCTCCTGCCTCAGCCTCCCAAAGTGCTGGGATTTCAGGCATGAGCCACTGTGCCCGGCCTCAGTAGGTTTTAAAATGTCAGCACGAGACATCATAGCACCCTTGGGAACCCCTCACCAGTACTGAGGTGAAGCGTTCATTTTGAGTAGGGCATATGTAAGATTTTTATGGTGATTTTTTGACAGTGGCAGTAAATTTGGGATAAAACTTTTTGTAAGTCATTTAATATTTAATAAAATGACGCATTTTACAGATTAAGCCTTCAAGATAAATAGGTAGAAAGTCTCCTCATCCACATCTTCACTCTCCACATATTTTCCACAAAGATTTTATCCTAAAAATTTGCCATAAAAATATTCTGGGGGTTGGAGAAAACTTCTAAACTAAAAACCCAGCCAGGCGCGGTGGCTCACGCCTGTAATGCTGGCACTTTGGGAGGCTGAGGTGGGCTGATCACCTGAGGTCAGGAGCTTGAGACCTAACTGGCCAATATGGTGAAACCCTGTCTGTACTAAAAATACAAAAATTAGCCAGTCGTGGTGGCATGTGCCTGTAGTCTCAGCTACTGGGGAGGCTGAGGCAGGAGAATCACTTGAACCTGGGAGGCGGAGGTTGCAGTGAGCCGAAATCATGCCACTGCACTCCAGACTGGGTGACAGAGTGAGGCTCTGTCTCAAAAAAAGAGAAAAAAAACCATAAAAGACATATTTAATTGTATTTCCAAAAAATAAAATTGCACCAAAATATGTCATACAACTTTAAAATATTGGAAAATAATTTTTGTACTTTTTTCTGCAGATGATACTTAATGGTTAATAACCTATAATAAATATATAAACAGCTCTAAAATTAATATGAAAAAGACAACAGAAACCAATAGGAAAATGGGCAAAGGGTGTGAATTGGAAAGTCCTAAAAAGACAATTCCAAATGGCCGGTAGATCTTTCACCAGATGTTTCAACCCACTAGTAGTCACAAAATGCAAATTAAATTAAAAATCAAATATTATGGCCAGGTGCAGTGGCTCACACCTGTAATCCCAGCACTTTGGGAGGCTGATGCGGGCGGATCATGAGGTCAGGAGTTTGAGACCAGCCTGACCAACATGGTGAAACCCCATCTCTACTAAAAATACAGAGGTTGCAGTGAGCCGAGATCACACCACTGCACTCCATCCTGGGCGACAGAGCGAGACTCTATCTCAAAAAACAAAGAAACAAACAAAAAACACAAATATTATTTTATAGCACCTATGCATGCAAAAAATTAAAAGAAGCATTAAACCTATTGTGAGAAGGTAAAAGAGTTTGTTTTTTGTTTTGTTTTGTTTTTTTTGAGACAGAGTCTGGCTCTGTCTTCCAGGCTGGAGTGCAGTGGTGCGATCTCAGCTCACTGTAACCTCCACCTCCTGGGTTCACGCCATTCTCCTGCCTCAGCCTCCCGAGTAGCTGGGACTACAGGCACCTGCCAACCCGCCTGGCTAATTTTTTGTATATTTTGTAGAGACGGAGTTTCACCGTGTCAGCCAGGATGGTCTAGATCTCCTGACCTCATGATCCGCCCACCTCGGCCTCCCAAAGTGCTGGGAGTACAGGTGTGAGCCACCGCACCCGGCTAAATTTTTTTGTATTTTTAATAGAGATGGGGTTTCACTGCGTTAGCCAAGATGGTCTTGATCTCCTGACCTCGTGATCTGCCCGCCTCGGCCTCCCAAAGTGCTGGGATTACAGGCGTGAGCCACCGAACCTGGCAGGTAAAAAAGTGTTCTTATCTAATGCTGGTATCATATGAGCTTTGCATCTGACTGCATCTATTAAATTTTAGAACATGCTTTTTCTCCTGGGAATGCCATCTTTAGGAATCTTTGCCAAAACAATGAGAACAACAGTTGATAATGATATACGTGCAATGATGTTTACTGAAACGTTGTTTATACTGACAAAACAAGATCAAGAAGAAAAGTGAACACCCACCGCAGCAGGGACTGATTAACTACAGACATTTTGGTCAGTGAGGGCCCACCTACATATCTAACTGTGATCCCATAAGATTATAGGGCCCACCTACGTATCTAACCGTGATCCCATAAGATTATAGGGCCCACCTACATATCTAACCGTGATCCCATAAGATTATAGGGCCCACCTACATATCTAACCGTGATCCCATAAGATTATAATACCATATTTTTACTGCACATTTTATACGTTTAGCTATGTTTAAACACACAAGTACTTACCATTGTGTTACAACCTCCTGCAGTATTCAGTGCAGTAACCTGCGGTACAGGTGTGTTACCTAGGAGCAATAGGTATGTCATATAGCCCAGGTGTGTAAGGCTCTGCCATCTAGGTTTGTGTGAGTACACGGTATCATGGTCATATAACAAAAATCACTACTAAAGGACACATTTCTCCAAATATATACCCATCACTAAGCAGCACAGGACTGTAACGTCGCATCCGTGCCCTAAATACCATGCAGCCAAAACAACGAAGAAATTGCTTTCTGTACTAACTTAAACAGATTTCCATTACAGATTACTGAATAAGAAAAATAAAATACAGAGTGTATATAATAGAAGACACATTTTTAAACAATGACCAGAAATACTCTATAAATTCAAATATATGCATATACATTAGTATAAATAAACAAATTTTACATGTGATACTATGAGTTTTGAGAAAAGTACAGAATCATCCACATCATGTTGTTACTATGGGTTACCTGGAATGACAGCTGGGATAAGGGAGGATAATACAGGTGAATGTGGAAAGATTGCAGGAGCAAGGGAACAACGGAAAAAGACTAGCATTGATAGCTCATCTGCGAAAATAGTGTATTTATGTCTGTGTTTATAGTCATAAAAAATTAGAAAATATTTAAACACTTAAGGTCAATTGTCCTGTCTGAGAATTAGATGAAAGCTAAGCACCCAATTCCCACAAAAGCCCACATCTGCACACAGATACAAAAATTTGCTTCTAGTTTTAAGGGGATTTACAGAGGCTTTAGAATTCATCCGTGGATACCAGACTCAGGCCGCCTCCATCACTGTGTGGATGCGTGGACCAGGGACCGTAGCCCAGTCAAGTTTACTCCACCAACCTGACATCTGAACAGATAAAGTGGTGCTTTGGCCAAATTTGACTGCCAGAGTCAAGATACTTCTCCCGTTTAAATGCAGCCTGTGTATACTTAGCTGGTTCAGCCCGATGCATTTGATGAGATGTATACGTCTCCCTCACAAGCCATATGAAAGTCCATATTGTTTTTCTTTATGGCAGAAGCCTCTTTGGGCTTGAATCTTTATGCAAGAAAGGTTTTAGATTTCTAGATAAATTATTCTAGTGAACCACATCTAATTAATGCATTCTTTCTGGCAACTGAAGCACAGAACCTCAGCTTAGAGTTAACTCTTTCCGTTGTTATTTGCCTATGTCAAGCTATTATCCCTTGGGCAGTACACAAAGTACAGGAAACCAGCCACAACCATTTTCCATTAAAATGTCCAGGTAGAAAGGGAATAGAGTTAACTGGTTCGGAAATCCAGAGGCAAAATCCTAAAGGTTAATGCGGAACTGGATATTTGAGTCCGGCTTTGCCTTTTCAGTTGTAATGCGGAAGTGCCTTTCCAAAGTACAACATTTTTAGAAAAGGCGGCTTCAGAGGGCCGGGCAGTAAGACCTACTTTCAATCACAGCCCGCCAGGAGCATCAGGTCCTACGTGAAGTGCCAAGGCAAGAAGCTGTATTTTCTCCTTGCTTATTCGGTCCCGAGGCCACCTCGATGAAAAGTTGCCAAGTTACATGGGACTTGGTAATGGGACTATTATAGACAAGGCACTAAATGAGTTCGAGAAACTCATTCATCTTATTGACTGTGCTTGCAGTCTTGCAGTCTGGAGAGAATGCATTTACTTTGAGTACAGTACAAATAAACTTCTATAGCACCTTCGACTGAAACCCATCTAAGGAACTTTTCAGCAAAGTGCGACACCAAAATGTGCAAGTGCACTGTCACAGAAAATAGACCAGTTCCATCATGTACAATTTCGGTTTGAATAAGGCTTTCCATTTAGCATTTTATTTTCTAGGTTAAATCACATTCAAGAATAGGCTGAAATTATTAGTGCATGATTAGGTCCTGGAAGATTCCACATTCCTCAGCACAAATCTTGTATCGATGATCACGGAAATACCCTGCAGATATTTTATTATTGACCTCTGAAATCTGCATTTCATAACATCTGTTTTGTGTAAGCACTGACGAACTGGCAGTACAAATTACTCTGGAAGAGATTCATTTTGAGTCTGAGTTATCTGGTTTGGCTTCCTCGGTCGCCTGAGCTAGATAATTTTCAAAGGTCGGCTTCCTTTTTGTTATGTGGACATGGCCCAGCCCACCCTACCCAGAAAATGTTCTGCACATCTTCCTAGCTTCTTCCCAATTTGTGATGGCAGAAACAGGAGCCAGTGTTTTCTTTTCTTTTCTTTTCTTTTTTTTTTGTTGTTGTTGTTGTTGAGATGGAGGTTCACTCTTATTGCCCAGGTTGGAGTGCAGTGGTGCGATCTCGGCTCACTGCAATCTCCACCTCCCGGGTTCAAGCGATTCTCCTGCCTCAGCCTCCTGAGTAGCTGGATTACAGGTATGCACCATCATGCCTGGCTAATTTTGTATTTTTAGTAGAGATGGGGTTTTTCCATGTTGATCAGGCTGGTCTCAAACTCCTGACCTCAGGTGATCCGCCCGCCTCAGCCTCTCAAAGTGCTGAGATTATAGGCATGAGCCACCTTGCTCACCTGCCAGTGTTTTCTTGTACTCACTTGCTACTGAAAGCAACTCAGGAGAACCTTCAGAAAGGTGCTATTTCCTAATGGTAACACCCAGTATATTTTCAACATTCTATGGATACACTGGCAAGCTCCTCCATTTTAGCTTCCCCAAAATGAACATCAGTATAAGACACATCTTTTACATTTCAACACTCTGATGATGCACCAGATGTATTTGATTTTTAGGTGAAATTTATAGTTTTTCCATCTGAAGCTGGTGTCCTCCACCGATCAAATGAACTGCATCTTTGCCAAAGAGTGATTCACATTGTGTTGTATGCATATAGCTAATGAAGATAGGCAGAATTGGTACAGGTTTTTGATGCTTCTCCTTTACTCAGAGTTATTTAATATTTTACCATTTTATAATTCTGCAGCTTATCAAGCTAAATACTTACAATTCTGCAGGCTAACAAGAAATCTATGCCTGTGCTGCCGTATTATCTTTTATATGCTGAATGTTAACATTTTCTGGAGGATGGCAGGAGTGTTAACATGTCAGTATTTAGGTGGAGCCTTGAACTTGAAACGTGTGGTCTGATAAAATGTGCATTCCTGATAAATAATAAAGGGATTTGTGGGCACAAGCATTCAGAACAAGGGTGGTATGTATGTATGTATGTATGTATGTATTTATTTATTTGAGATGGAGTCTCGCTCTGCCACCCAGACTGGAGTGCAGTGGCACGATCTCAGCTCACTGCAACCTCTGCCTCCCAAGTTCAAGCAATTCTCATGCCTCAGCCTCCCAAGTAGCTGGGATTACAGGTGCCTGCCACCATGCCTGGCTAATTTTTGTATTTTTAGTAGAGACGGGGTTTCTGCATGTTGGCCAGGCTGGTCTTGAACTCCTGACCTTAGGTGATCTGCCCACCTCGGCCTCCCAAAGTGCTTGGATTACAGGTGTGAGTCCCCAAGCCTGGCCCAAGGGTATTGTTTATGATACAGTATTTTTATTTGCTTTCAAATATTTGCAGTAATAAAGGAGTTATAAGAAGATACAGAATGGGCTCCACATGCCGTCCATAAACCATCACATTACTGATTTTAACTGTGATTTCACATGATGATTTGACCATCTGATTCCTGAGTTGAAGACTTGCTTCCGAACCCTCTCTTTAAAGCCATAATAGTTTTCTTCATATAAGCTGAGCTCCTAAAATCTGTGAACAGTCTATGTGTTTTCTTGTTCTTTTTTTTGAGACGGAGTTTTGCTCTTGTTGCCCAGGCTGGAGTGCAATGGCACGATCTCAGCTCGCCGCAACCTCCACCTCCCAGGTTCAAGCCATTCTCCTGCCTCAGCCTCCCAAGTAGCTGGGATTACAGGCCCCTGCCACCACACCTGGCTAATTTTTTGTATTTTTAGTAGAGACGGGGTTTCACCATGTTGGGCAGGCTGGTCTCAAACTCCTGACCTCAGGTGATCTGCCCGCCTCAGCCTCCCAAAGTGCTAGGATTACAGTGTGAGCCGCCACGCCCGGCCTGTGTTTTCATTTTCTAATACTGTTTAACAAATCACCACAAATAGTGGCTTTACACAATGTAAACCGGTTCCCTCACAGTTTCTGTGGGTCAGAAGTCCGGGCACAGTGGAGTTGGATTTTCTACTCCCGGTCTCACCAGGCTGAAATCAGGTGTTGGCCAGGTGTGGCACTCCCCGGGAGCGTGAGGTCCTGGTCCAACCTCCCTGGCATGGATGGGGTCATTTCCCCACAGCTGTGGGATGGGGGTCCTATTTTCCTGCTGGCTGTCAGCCAGGGATGCCTCCTATGCCCCAGAGGCAGGTACCATTCCTACCACATGACCTACTCCACGGGCAGTGTGTATGTGAATGCTGGCTCTTTCAGACCAGCCGGAGGACGTTTCTGACTTTCTCTCTGTGACCAGCCAGAGAAAATTCTCTTCTTTTAGAGGGGGCTCATGTAATTAGGTCAGGCCCATGTAGATAATCTCCCGGTCTTAAAATCAACTTATTTAGACCCTTAATGATATCTTCACACTCCCTTCCCAGCAGTAACTAGATGAGTATTTGACTGAATAACTGGAAGGAGGTTCCAGGGGCCACGAGTCTTGGGGGTCCATCTTAGAACTCTACCAGGCACAATCCGTAAGTCTCTTTATAGACACTATGACTGAAATTACAAGCAAGTAGAATCAGAAATCCAGTCAGGAAAGCCTGTCCCTCTACCCGCTTCAAGCATTAGATTTTCATCTGAAACATGGAGATCATCAGGCCTTGAAAACTGTTGTGAAGTATGACATGAGACAAAGGAGAAGGTCGGGCATTCTACCTAGGTATGATGGTGAAGGGGTGGGGTGAACGGAGCAGCCCCCCAGGCACTGGTGGGACGCACAGGGAAGAGGATGTCTGTGGACAGCCCCCACCCCATTATTTCAGGAGTTTTTTTTTCTGGTTGTTGTTGTTGTTTTTGAGACAGAGTCTTGCTTTGTCACCCAGGCTGGAGTGCAATGGTCTGATCTCAGCTCACCGCAACCTCCGCCTCCTGGGTTCAAGCGACTCTCCTGCTGCAGCCTCCCGAGTAGCTGGGACTACAGGCATGCGCCCCGATGTCCGGCTAATTTCTTGTGTTTTTAGTAGAGACAGAGTTTCACCATGCTGGCCAGGCTGGTCTCGAACTTCTGACCTCGTGATCCTCCTGTCTTGGCCTCTCAAAGTGCTGGGATTACAGGCATGAGCCACCACACCTGGCCTCAGGAGCTTTAAATGATGGAAGCCAATGCAGGCACCCCCCTCTGAGGCTCCAGCCCAGGGGTCCACCATGGGCTGCCTGCAACCCAGAGCCCTGAACCCACCTTCCAACAATTGCTAAGTGGGGCCACGTGCATCCAGTCTCAATGCGGCTCCCACACACTCCTGACCGCAAGGTTCTTCCCTTGACTTTTCACAGGACTAGCTCCTTGGCTCCCCTCACGCAGGAGCTCAGGATTCCTTCAACATCCCAGTGACATATTACCCCCATTACCTTGATTTATAGACATCTAACTTTGTAACAACCTGAATTCTCTTGTACGTATTCATCTCTCCCAGCAGAAGAATAAACACGATGATAGACTTTGTCTTTCTTGTTCATTACTATGGCAGAGTGCTCAGTTCCCTTCACTGGATAATTGAAGAAATGAATGAATAAGAAACTCAGAGGTCCACAACCTCTCCTGGGCAGAAGCCCGGTCTGTTCACGCTTCTTTCCTATGTGTGTAGGCGACATACTTGTAACTAGCTGGGTTTACATACTTTCTGTGAATGTGTCAACATTCACGGCCCTGCCCTGGAGACACAGTAACATTTAAACAAAAATTGTAAGCTTTACCTAAATCTACACTGCCTAGGAGGTTGGGGCAATTTTTGAGAAGCTGGGAGATACTACATAAATGTAGGAAAGAGATACACAGTTAGGATATAGACATGGGCTTTGACATCAGGCAGACATAGGGTTAAATCCCACTTTTACAAATTTCTCTAGTTGTATATACTTAAGCAAGATCCTTAACATCTCTGAGACCCAGTATCCTCCCTTACAAAAAGTTAAGAAGAGGCAGGGTGTGGGTGGCTCACGTCTGTAATCCCAGCACTTTGGGAGGCTGAGGCAGGGGGATCACAAGGTCAGGAGTTGGAGAGCAGCCTGGCCAATATAGTGAAACCCCATCTCTACTAAAAAATACAAAAATTAGCCGGGCATGGTGGTGCGCACCCGTAGTCCCAGCTACTTAGGAGGCTGAGGCAGGAGAATCATTTGAACCCAGGAGGCAGAGGTTGCAGTGAGCCAAGATCGTGCCACTGCACTCCAGCCTGAGCGACAGAACGAGACTCCGTCTCCAAAAAAATAAATAAATAAAAAGAGAAGAATATCCTAAGATGAAAAGATGTCCACAATATATGTATGTGAGTACGTGTATGTGAGTGTGAGTGTGTGTATGTGAGTATATGTATGTGAGTGTGTGTAGGTGAGTGTATGTATGAGTGTGTGCATGTGAGTATATGTATGTGAGTGTATGTATGTGAGTACATGTATGTGAGTGTATATATGTGAGTGTGTGTGAGTGTATGAGTGTGTGCATGTGAGTGTATGTATGTGTGTATGTGAGTGTATGTATGTGAGTGTGTGTATGTGAGTGTATGTATGAGTGTGTGCATGTGAGTGTATGTATGTGTGTGTATGTGAGTGTATGTATGTGAGTACGTGTATGTGAGTGTGTGTATGTGAGTGTGTGTATGTGAGTGTGTGTATGTGAGTGTATGTATGTGAGTATGTGCATGTGAGTATATGTATGTGAGTGTGTGTATGTGAGTATATGCATGTGAGTATGTGCTACAGGTTTCTAAAGTAATGATTTGCTAGGTACCAAAAGGCAATTATGTTGGTGCTCCCAAGTGAGATCCTATGTCAATGTGTGCAGATATTCAAAGGGAGTTTTTGAGCACCATCTCCACAGCTATTGGACTCTTCAATCGGGCCAAGGACATTCAGAGATCTGAGCAGGAAGGAGGAGACTATCCGTGCCGTTATTTCTTTAGAGAGCATCCCTGAGTTACCAACCCCAAGTCATTCCCTGGGGAGGGCAGTGCCCCCTCCTCCTGTCCTCTAGATTGGAGAGAGAGGGCCGGCTGCAAGGGGGCCAATGGAGAGCTTGCTTTTAGTTGCAAGCTTTTTAGTTGAGTTGCTGGTGGCCTGGGGCCTGGAGCTAGCCCAGAAGATGTAGAGGGAAAGGGAATGGCTGACAAGTGGTGATGGCACTGGGGAGCGTTTCTGTGCTGCTGACTCGGTGCTGGTCAGGTCTGGCCTCTCCCACTTTGCCCACCTTTCCACCTGTGCTGCACCAGCTGAAGCTCCGGTTCGCTAAGGAAGAGAGGAAGAAATGCACAAGGCAAAGATGTGGAGGGGACAAGCAGACTCCCCTTTCACAGAGCACACTTCCAGCCTGCAGCAGCCCTGATCTGGGAGAAGAAAAGTTTTATGGCCAAGCCAAGCTCAGAGTTTCACATTTCTTGACCTGAGTATTTTATTTGATGAATCGAGGCTATATGGCAAGACTAGAAGAAGAGGTGAAGTTTAAAAACAAAACAAAACAAAATAAAAAAACCTCTATCCACTGCTCTATTGTGTAATTTCCTAGAGAAAATGTACTTGCTACTTTGATAATTAGAGTTTAATTTGAGGATTTAAATCATCTAATAACTGACATTACCAAGCCAGTACATAGTCTGTACTAAAATGCATGCTCACTTTCTCCCCGAAAACATTTTTTGACAGAAATTGCTATTGTCATGATATATCTATATATAATATAGATATAAATATATATAAATATATATATATATATTTTGCATCGTCTGGAATAACCACAAATTCCAACGAGAGCCACATTCATCAAGAAAGAAGATTGCTCCCAGAAGGTATGAGTATAACCCTTCTGCAGATATTAAATAGTCAGAGGACAGAGAAAAGGTCATTTAATGTGACATTTAATAGATTGTTAGAAATCTTTGAAAGTGCAGTTTCTGAGGAGTTCCGTGGAAAGAGGATACATTGCAGTGAATGAATAGAGAACAAGGAGGAAGAAATGGAGGCAGTGGCTGTTGACATGCCAGAGAAGGAAGGCAGCAAGATAGGATGGCGGCTTTTGATCAGATCAGAGAATCAAATGAGGGGCAGGTTGTTGGGAGAATGGAGAAAGGCTGCTGTATGTCTGAAGGCCCGCAGGAAGAAGCCAGGGGCAGGAGAAAGATTTAAGATGCAAAAGAAAGGAGTAATAAGGAATGCAGAGATTTGTACTTTTTCATTAAAAAAAGTACGAATGTTGATTTTTATTTTGCACCAGCTGAATAGAGACATTTTGCTAAGCATTTCTATAAGGCATCTCCCAGCAATCTAGTGAAGTAGGTACCATTACGCCCTTTTTCATTTTTATTTTTATTGTTTTAGAGACAGGGTTTCACTCTGTCACCCAGGCTAGAGTGCAGTGGTGTGATTACAGCTCACTGAATCCTTGAACTCCTCGGCTCAAGAGATCCTCCAGCCTCAGCCTCCCATGTAGCTGGAAATACAGGCATGCACTACGGAGCCTGGCTAATTCCTTACTTTCCAAAGAGAAGGGGGTCTCGCCATGTTGCCCAGGGTGATCTCAAACTCCTGGGCTCAAGCCATCCTCCTGCCTTGGCCTCTCAAAGTGCTGGAATTACAGGCGTGAGCCACTGCACCCAGACCATTATGCCCATTTTAAAAATGAGAAAACTGAAGCTTACAAGGTTGAATTACCGACTTACTTAGCCAAGTTTAGCACAATCTCAAATTTCTGCTCTTCCCTCTACCCCACTCTAATATTTTTTTTAAAGAAAGGAGACCAGAAAAATAGCTGACAAAAAATACGCCAACATGCTGGGCGCGGTGGCTCACGCCTATAATCTCAGCACTTTGGGAGGCCAAGGTGGGCAGATCACCTGAGGTCGGGAGTTCAGGACCAGCCTGACCAACATGGTGAAACCCCGTCTCTACTAAAAATACAAAAATTAGCCAGGTGTGGTGGTGCACACCTGTAATTCTGGCTACTTGGGAGGCTGAGGCAGGAGAATCGCCTGAACCCGGGAGGTGGAGGTTGCAGTGAGCCAAGATCATGCCACTGCACTCCAGCCTGGGCGACAGAGCAGGACTCCATCTCAAAAAAAAAAGCCAAGAATAATGTGGGGGAAATTTAGTAACCTCCTAAATAAATAATTTATATTCTTCCAAATAAAAAAGCTAAACACGGAAGAAACATGCAATTGAAAACTGAGGAGGAGAGGAGGCTTGGAATAGTCACTGTGGAAAATATGTTAGAGAAGCCACAAAAAATGTGTATTAAAAAGACTGTGACCTCTTATCTCTGCCAAAAATGAACGAACCTCTAAAATGCATTGCACACGAGCTCCTGGGTGATCTCGCTCACTTCAGTAATCACCCCACTGTAGTCACATGTGCTATTGGTCTGACACTCTAAACTTCTTCAGATTGTGAACTGAGGTTCAGAGATTATGAAAGGTAAGTGGCATGTGCTCTTCAGAGTTACAAATCGAACCAAATTAATCCAAGGTATGAAGTGCTTTTTTTTAACCAAACATACAATTTTCTTGTCTGGAGAAATTGATTGACTTCCTAAAGTTACTTTGAAATTGTTTTTTCAAGGGGTAAGAAGACTTTGTAAAAATATGGCAATATGTTTTGAGAGAATAAATAGAACAAAATGAGATTGTTATTAACCTTTATAGTCTGTTCATTAGTCTCATCTTTCTGACTGTGAGAGAAATGGGATGCTAGTAAAATGCTTTCTTTGCATTTTTGCTGACCTAACAGAAGATGCTTTTATTTAAATTATAGTTCATTTCATTGCCATGGCGTTATATATTAGAAATTGATTACCCCCTTCTCTTCTGTAATAGCTTCATATATTTGGGGAAAGCTTTTCTTTTGTTTTTAAAGAAAAAAATAATGAGTGTATGAAAGTGAAATCTTAATTTCTATTGAGTCTGCAATTTCAAATAAAGCATTCTGACTATAATCATAGCATTAAATTGAATTTCCAGACAATTATTGTTTTCTGAATAAAATGAGATTGCTTACAAGGTTTTTTTTACAATCAAATATCAATTATTACCAACCTTCTAAAAGCATTATAATGAGTCTGACACCCACTTTTAAGCAAATAAAAAGAGAATTGATCGAAGTTGCAAACTATTTCCAGTGCTATATCTCGTCAGTGATTTTAAAATGCCCCTTAACTGTGGAATAGTTGCCATCTGTCATGATTTTCTAAAATGTTTTCAAGCTTTTAATTAAGTTATTATTCAGTATTTTTTATAGCTGAGCTGGTAAAAGTTTGACTTAAGCTCATAAATAATAAAGTTTAACGAATTCCTGAGATTTGGAAGAAAGAAAAAGGTTGAAAATAAGAAAAAAAAAGCATACGTTAAATGTAAAATCATTTTTCTGAATATTGATCATCTAGCCGTGTTTTCCTTTTTTTTTTTTTTTTTTTTTTTTTTTTTTTGCCACGGAGGGGACAGAGTCTTGCTCTGTCGCCCAGGCTGGAGTGCAGTGGCGTGACCTTGGCTCACCACAACCTCCACCTCCCGGGTTCAAGCGATTCTCCTGCCTCAACCTCTGGAGTAGCTGGGACTACCGGTGTGCGCCACCAAGCCCAGGTAATTTTTGTGTTTTTTGTAGAGATGGAATTTCACTATGTTGGCCAGGCTGGGCTCGAACTCCTGACCTCATGATCCACCAGCCTTGGCCTCCCAAAGTGTTGGGATTACAGGCATGAGCCATCGTGCCTGGCCCTAGCCTTGTTTTCAGTCGGCTTTTTGAAATTTATTAAGTGAGGTATAAAATAGACCAACGTTGCTGTCCCTGTCCTTAAAGAATTTATAGTCAATGAAGAGGTTCATGTATAAGTGAAAATACCAGAAATAACTCAAAGGTAACATATTATCACACTCATCGTTATGTGGGAGAGGCCACTGGATCCATGGGTGCCCTGGATATTCCTCTAGGGATTTGCGAACAGGCGAATGAACACCTGGAGGCAGGGTCAGTTATCACCTGCCCCAGGTCAGTTCCATGAGGGGGTAACCGGAAACAGACGATGTAAATTGGGGCCGACTTCCCAAAGCAGGATTTCTTCCTGTGATATATTCTTCATTAATTTCCCCAGGCAACATTTAATCTACTCAAAAATTCAATCCTCATAGAGTTCCCTTAATTTAAACGATATGCTTTATTTTTTGAAAACTTTTTCATAGAATTTCATAGAATCAAGTGTGTGCTTTTCTTCATTCAATTACCACTTGAGACGCAGATATGCTACTTCCATTAACAAGAGATACTCAGTTTAGACGATGGTTGGCTACAAGTTCTAATGCGAATTATAGGTACCACTTAGAGAGCAAGGGTGAAACCACTACTGTAAAAGACAAATTTTATTTTTTTGCCTGAAGATTCCCTAAGGATTCTTAAAACTCCATGTTTTTAATTAATTTCATTCTCTAACAAGAGTCTGACAGGATTCTCATGATATTGAGAAGCAAACATAAAGATTAAATAGCCTGTAATCCCAGCACTTTGGGAGGCTGAGGCGGGTTGGTCTCGAGGTCAGGAGATCGAGACCATCCTGGCTAACACGGTGAAACCCCGTCTCTACTAAAAATACAAAAAATTAGCCGGGCGTGGTGGCGGGCGCCTGTAGTCCCAGCTACTCGGGAGGCTGAGGCGGGAGAATGGCCTGAACCAGGGAGGCGGAGCTTGCAGTGAGCCGAGATCGCGCCCCTGCACTCCAGCCTGGGCGACAGAGCGAGACTCCGTCTCAAAAAAAAAAAATAAAAAAAATAAAAATAAAAGATTAAATAGGTACTACTATCAGTCTTCGTAATCCTCTTCTAGAAGCAGCAAAGCTATCAGGTTTTACATTAGTTTTGGACACGGATGATATTAACCAAATATTTACCAAACCTAATGGCTGCATTGTGTCAAGCCCAGGTCTTGCCTCTTTGCCCTCGCTCTCCACAAAACCATGACTCTGCGATCAGAGACTGTAACTGTTTTATTCCTGTGCCTGGGAAGGAGTCGGTGCATCATGAGAAACATTGATGAGAACATACATGAAAGAAAGAAAGAATAAATGAATGATGAAAGCTACTTCAGGGGAAGGGAGAAACATGGAACAAAAACTTAGTTGTGAAAAGCTCTTGGCACCGAACTAGTAATACAGTTTCAGAAGAAAAACAAAACCCAAAAGAATAAGCAAAACAAAGAGAACTCTCAAGTGACCGTCGACAACAGTTTTTTGCTTGTCGGGACCCTCTTGAGTTCTTGAATAAGCACCAGCTTTCTCCGCAATCCTTGCCTTGTGGAGAAAGAAGGACTTTATCCTGCCAGTTACAGTATCAAAGAAGATAAACCAGCATTTTAGGATTAATTAGAGCTCATCAATACAAGTTCATTGCTGTTGTCTTTTATCTCCTGCGTATGTAAATAGCAGCAGACCTACGCAGTATTAGGCATTTGGAATGGAAGGTGGAAGAATTTGGTTTCTTTCTTTCTTTTTTCTTTTTCTTTTTTGAGACGGAGTTTTGCTCTTGTTGCCCAGGCTGGAGTGCAATGATGAGATCTTGGCTCACCGTAACCTCTGCCTCCTGGGTTCAAGCGATTCTCCTGCCTCAGCCTCCCAAGCAGCTGGGATTACAGACATCCACCACCAGGTCCAGCTAATTTTGTATTTTTAGTAGAGACGGAGTTTCTCCATGTTGGTCAGGCTGGTCTCAAACTCCTGATCTCAGGTGATCCGCCCGTCTTGGCCTCCCAAAGTGCTGGAATCACAGGCGTGAACCACCACGCCCGGCCTGTTTGTTTCTTCTCTGTAGAGACAGGGTCTTGTTTTGTTGCCCAGGCTACTCTCAAACTCCTAGCTTCAAGTGATGCTCCCACTTTGGCCTCCGAAAGTGCTGGGATTACAGATGTGAGCTACCGTGCCCGACTGGAAGAATTTATGAAAGCTTCCCATAGAACTGTTACCTCCAAATGCTAGGATTTTTCTTAAAAGAAAATCAGTATCAGGAAATCAGTCATACACAATGTGCAGAGGCAGTTGTGACTCTCCGGCACAACATCCATGAAGGAATGAATTTAGGAAAGTATTCCACTCACTTTTCCTGAGATGTAAGGAAACTTGAGACTTAAGCACCCCACATGAATGACATCCTTGGATCCAAGAAGCAAATACCTTGAATACTTGGCTCAGAAGAAGCTCTTCACATATTCTTCAAATCACTTCAAAGCTTATTTTGTAAATAAAGATTCATCTTCATACAACATTCTGAAAGTCTTGCAGGATGCTAATGAAGGACATGTAGACCTTCGGAATTGTACTGAAGAGCCTGGAGAAGTCTTCTGTGCCTGTGTCGATTAGCCCCAGGAGGTGTTCAACAACATTAATATTCAAAAGCCGTCAAATGCATGCATCTTTGTTGGCTGGGAAACCAGGCTGTCTGTTTATTACTATGAGGTTTGATTAACAGGGCAGTCTTGATGATGGCAAAGCTCCTACAGGTCTATTCAAGGAAATAATGAAAACCAAGCATTCTAGCCAGGCGCGGTGGCTCACACCTGTAATCCCAGCACTTTGGGAGGCCGAGGTGGGTGGATCACCTGAGGCCAGTAGTTTGAGACCAGTCTGGCCAACATGGTGAAACCCTGTCTCTATTAAAAATACAAAAATCAGCTGGGCATGGTGGCGGGTGCCTGTAATCCCAGCTACTCGGGAGGCTGAGGCAGGAGAATCTCTTGAACCCGGGAGGCAGAGGTCACAGTGAGCCAAGATCGCTCCATTGCATTCCAGCCTGGGTGACAGAGAGAGACTCTGTCTCAGAAAAAAAGAAAAGAGTTCTTAGAAGGTGGAAATTAAAGATATGCCATAATGTCAGAAATCAATTCAGAAAGAGGAATGACCAGGAAATGCAATTAGTCAGCTAACAGGCGAGTACACTGGTAGAAACATCCACGTGTAGAAAATGCTAGACCCATAGATGGTCATTAATAGGGGGACTACAGAAGTTCTTTGCCTAAGAGAGTCCTGGTTTCTCACATTGTACAGTGACCCAGCTGGCTTTACATTTGTCCTAGAAATTGTTATTTATTTAATGAAGAATCATTATTATTATTATCTTTTTTTTTTTTTTTTTGAGATGGAGTCTCGCTCTGTCACCCAGGCTGGAGTGCAGTGGTGCGATCTTGGCTCACTGCAGCCTCCACCTCCTGGGTTCCAGCAATTCTCCTGCCTCAGCCTCCCAAGTAGCTGGGACTACAGGCACATGCCGCCACACCTGGCTAATTTTTGTATTTTTTAGTAGAGACGGGGTTTCACCATGTTGGCCAGGATGGTCTTGATCTTCTGACCTGGTGATCCAACTGCCTTGGCCTCCCAAAGTGCTCATATTACAGGCGTGAGCCACCGTGCCCAGCCAAATAATCATTATTCATAGTTGCAATAAGAGAAGCCAGAATGCTTTGGTGGACTTTCACTCTGTACTTCCAGCTTCTGCCAACGTCCCATCTGAACTGTGGGAGACCCATGTGCAATGAGCCGTCCTCCCAATAACAGGTGCTTACATCTGAAGGCCTGTGACCCACCTCTTTCCCGTCTTTCCCAGATGCACCTGTAAGTAATTCCTTCCTTTCAAGAGCAGTTTGTTGGTTCTCTGATAAAGTAAAATGCTCTCTAATCAGCAGCTGTGGTTAGCGATTCCTAGGCTTAGTGTTGATAGATGTAATGCATATTGCTGCCCTTGAAGGACAGCTGGTGTAGCCGACCAACTGCTGACCACAGATATTTGAAAAAAGTAAAATAAAAAATAGCAATACAATAGCAAAAAACAATACAAATAAAAATGGATACAGTATAAGCACTACATAGTATTTACATTGTATTAGGTACTGTAAGTCATCTAGAAATGACTGTATACAGGAGGGTGTGCATGGGTTCCACACAAATCCTACACCATTTACACCAGGGACTAGAGTATCTGCAGATTTTGGTATCTGCCAGGGTCCTGGAACCAAGCCCACACATTTGCTGAGTGACTATTGTAATTTCATCCAAACCAGCTTCTGTATTCCACCAATCAAAATTGAAGCTGTACTAGCTGTAGTTACACAGTCACATTGCCATACAATCAGAGTGATTGAACTACAAAACTTCCAGGATGAAGCTTAATGTGAAATACACACACACAAATCAGTCAGCATGCTAGAAGTATACACATTCTGTCTTTGCTACCCATCATCAATCAGAGTTTAGAAATATTTGAGAACTTGGAGAACTTTTTTTTTTTTTTTTTTTTTTGAGACAGAGTCTCACTCTGTCGCCCAGACTGGAGTGCAGTGGCAAGATCTGGACTCACAGCAACCTCTGCCTCCCAGGTTCAAGGTATTATCCACCCCCTCCCCGGCCTCCCAAATAGCTGGGATTACAGGCATGAGCCACCACTGCCCAGCTAATTTTTGTATTTTTAGTAGAGACGGGGTTTGACCATGTTGTCCAGGCTGGTCTTGAACTCTTGACCTCAAATGATCCACCCGCCTCAACCTCCCAAAGTGCTGGGATTACAGGCGTAAGCCACCACACCAGGCCAGAGAAATATTTTATTTTATTATTATTAGTGAGACAGACTCTCGCTCTGTCGCCAGGCTGGAGTGCAGTGGTGCAATGCAATCTCTGACTCCTTGGTTCAAGTGATTCTCCTGCCTCAGCCTCCCGAGTAGCTGGAATTATAGGCATGTGCCACCATGCCCAGTTAATTTTTGTATTTTTAGTAGAGACAGTGTTTCACCATGTTGGCCAGGATGGTCTCGATCTCCTGACCTCATGATCCACTGCCTCGGCCTCCCAAAGTGCTGGGATTACAGGCATGAGCCACTGCACCTAGCCCAGAGAACTATTTTATACATCAACCTAGAAGGAAGCACTTTGATAAATGAGTTCTTTGGATTGTAGCTTCATATTTTTTCAAATCAGTTATAAGTATTCAATTTAATTACTCAGTTGGCTGGGCGTGGTGGCTCATGTCTATAATCTCAGCACTTTGGGAGGCCGACGCGGGTGGATTGGATCACTCGAGCCCAAGAATTTGAGACCAGCCTGGACAAAATGGTGAAACTCTGGCTCTACAAAAAAATACAAAAAATTAGCCAGGTGTGATAGTGTGCACCTATAGTCCCAGCTATTCGGAGGCTGAGGTGGGAGGATTGCTTGAGCCCAGGAGGCAGTGGTTGCAGTGAGCAGAGATTGAGTCACTGCACTCCAGCCAGCCTGGGTGACAGAGCAAGGCCCTGTCTCAAAAAAAAAAAAAAAAAAGATAAAGAAAGAAATACTCTATGGATAGACCTGAAAGACCTGAAGCTTCCAATTTGGAAGCTTTTAGAAAATTTTAATTATTGATAACAAAGTGTGCATTTAGAAAGACAATGAAATGTATCACTCTTTTTCTTTTCACTCATATGTTAATCACTATGATATTTCATCACTATGGTATTGCCGTCCGTCAGCATGGATTAGTCCTAACAGTCATTTTTGAAGTGTACCCATGTCTTCACCGGATGTTTTTTGAAAACAATAAAGTGATTAATACTATAATTTTTGTAGAATGGTGCCACACCTACTGTACGTATTATTCTGTAATTTGCTTTTACCATTGCTCTGCAACTTGTATGAGATTTCTCTGAAAGCATGAGACATGTAGTTCTACTTCATTCCTTTTATCTTCTATATGTTATTGCATTATATACCAATGATACAATTAATTTATTTATTCTGACAAAGGAAATTTACTCTGTTTCAATTATTTTGCTTTTACATGCAATGCTGTGCACCTTCCTAAACACTTGTGCAAGAATCTTTCTCTCAGGTGTTTACCTGAGAGTGAAACTGCCAGGTTTTGGGAGTGTACATTCCAGCTTTACCAGATGCTGCCAAACCGCTCTACACAGTGGTTTCACTTACTTCACTCTACCAGAATGTTTGCGCATTACCTGGATCCACATTCTCATGGTTATTGAGTGTTGTCATAATTTCTTTCTTGTTAGCCTGATAGAAGTAAAATGGTGTCTGGTTACTATTTTAATTTGCATTTACTTGATTCTGTCAGAATTTTTTAATTTCAAAAGTGGGGCTTTTATTCATATAGATTCTTCAAAATATATATCTTGGTTTGAATTCCAGATGTGTCCTACCAGCTCAATGACCTTGGCCATGTTTCTCAGTTTTCCTCATTTACAATTTTTTTTTTTTTTTTTTTTTGAGACAGGGTCTCGCTCTGTCGCCCAGGCTGGAGTCAGTGGCGCAATCTCGGCTCACTGCAAGCTCCGCCTCCCGGGTTTAAGCGATTCTCCTGCCTCATCCTCTCGAGTAGCTGAGACTACAGGCGCCCACCACCACGCCAGGCTAATTTTTGTATTTTTAGTAGAGATGGGGTTCCACCATGTTGGTCAGGATGGTCTCGATGGTCTTGACCTCATGATCCGCCTGCCTCAGCCTCCCAAAGTGCTGGAATTACAGGTGTGTGCCGCTGCACCCGGCCTCCTCATTTAGAAAATTTTAAAAAATACATTGCTGCTAATGTTACAGGAGTGAGTTAAAAGATGGATGAGTTAATATAGGTAAAGCAAGCACTTACAACTCTACTTGGTACAAAAGTTATATAAGTTTTATGTATTACTGCTCACTAAGCACCTATTGTACATTAGACATTCTACAGGATCTAAAGTCAAAGTTTGCATAGCCTTCCATTCTAATGAGTCTAACTCTTGATTATAGTATTTAGAACTGATGAAGAATGTAGCTTTTTCCTCTGCTCTCAGTGAAAAAAAAATCAAAAAGGTTCAAAAGAATTAATAGGAAAAGTTATTTTTTAAAAATACCGTACACATTAAACACACAGTCCAACTGGGCATGCTTTTTATTTTATTCCAACAATTTCTAACAAGCAGCCATTGTTGATCACGTGAAAACTTTATCCAGGGAGAACTTGAGAAACAGAACTAACCTATATATAGAAGATAATAGCTTCCATTTATTAAGAGCTGACGTTGTTCCAGGCACTGTTCTAAGCACTTTCTGAACCTAAATTAATTCTCACAAGTCCAAGAGATCTCTTCCAGGTTGGGCCAGGGTCCAGATGTTAATTGAGCTCCCTGGTTTCACTCCCCTCAGCCATCCACAGGGTAAGCCGAATGTGGAGCAAAGACCTGGAGGCTGACTCTGCTTCCAAAAGCACTCCTGATTTTGGTTTTGGTTTTCTGTAAGCAGCTCAGGGGCCACAGAGGAGGGTGCTGCTGGGTGCTGGTAGATGGGGAAAGGGGACTACTAGGGCAGCAGGGGACCAAGTTCTAAAAGAAGATAAAGCCTCCAACCCAGATTACAACCCCTCAGATCATACGCTCTGCGAAAGGAGCAGGTCCCGATCTGGGGCTCAAGGAGACACAGGAGAAATATGAAAGAGCAGCGACAACAGCAACGCAATCAGCTTGGAGGGACCGCCTCGACAGCTTCATGGCGGGAACAGACTCCACTCCAGAGACAGCCACCAGGCACACAGGCCTGAGGGTAGTAATCCCCCCATCTGGACTCAGTGGGAATCTGTTTAGACTGGATCTGATACATAAGTGCTGGGAAAGGAAGAGCGTGGTCCCTTTAAATAATACCGAAGCCAGGAAGGGAAGTGCTGGGTAGAGGAGGGAATGGTCCCTGGCTAGGGCTCCACCCCCACGGACCTAGGTGAGGACAGGTGTTTCCTGCCCAAATGTTGCATTTTCCAAGACCACCCTGGCCTGCCACGCCCCCATCCCGGGCCTATAAAAACCGAGACCGTGGGCGGGGTGGGGAGGTGGCTCACGCCTGTGATCCCAGCACTTTGGGAGGCCGAGGTGGGCGGATCACGAGGTCAGGAGATCGAGACCATCCTGGCTAACACGGTGAAACCCCGTCTCTACTAAAAATACAAAAAATTAGCCGGGCGTGGTGGCGGGCGCCTGTAGTCCCAGCTGCTCGGGAGGCTGAGGCGGGAGAATGGCGGGAACCCGGGGGGCGGAGCTTGCAGTGAGCCGAGATGGCGCCACTGCACTCCAGCCTGGGCGACAGAGCGAGACTCCGTCTCAAGAAAACAACAACACAAAACCGAGACTCTAGCAGGCAATCACACAGACGTCCAGAGGAGCACATGGACAGAAGAAGGTGCAAGCGGCTGGTCGTGGAGGGGACCTCGGGAGGAGCACGCTGGTGGCCATCCACTGGCAGGACGAGGCGGAGTTTGGCCGGGGCCACCGAGCGGCCCCACGCGAGGGGAAAACCATCTCCCTTCTGCCTCCATCATAGGCTGAGAGCTACTTCCACTCAATAACACTTGACACTCATTCTCCAAGCCCACGTGTGCCCCGATTCTTCAGGTACCCCAAAGCAAGAACCCGGAATGCAGAAATCCCTCTGTCCTTGCGATAAGGAAGGGGGTCTATTGAGCTGCTTAACACGAGCCGCCTATAGACGGCAAACTAAGGGGGCGCCTTGTAACACGCGCCCCCGGGGCTTCAGGAGCCGTCAACACTCACCGCAGACACCGCCGTGGGGAGGAGCCGCACCGCCCTCTGTCTGCGCCCGCGGGGCTTTGAGCAGCTCTGAAGAAGCGAGCCACCCCCACGCCGCGCCCCTGCTAGGGTCGCAGGGGAACGTTTTCCGTCTCAGGTCTGCTAATTGCCGTGGTCAAAACAACGGTCCAGAACACAGCAACTGTCTTTGCTGCTCCAGCCCCTGGTTCCAGGCGGCCCCACCTCCACACCCTGGGAGCGCTTCTATGCACAGGAAGAGGTCCAGATGGAGGTTGCTTGGAGCCAACACTGGGCCATCTTTCTTTTCTACCCTGTTAGTTTAAAAATAGATTTAGTGTTCCCCAAGATTCAGATAGGCGTGGTTTGCATGTAATCATCCTGCAAAGCAGCTGCTAATCACACGAAAACCATTGTTAATGCGTAAATGTTAACACTGAGAGGTGACGGTGGATGGTATTGTTTTCCTGGCTACACGGGTGATTTTCATGTTTTTCTGGCTACCTCAGACATTATACCGTTATAATTTTTACATGTATTGTCAGTGTAATGCAGTGTCTGAATGTATTTAATCAAATAGAATGTAGGTGATATTGAATATGCCTTCGAAGGTCTGTATTGAACAGCAAACATTAAGTATTGTTCTCACTATACCAATGAATATTTGTATCATGAGTAGTATCTGAAGAGAATAAAATGCAGTATATGCAAAAACAGATTGCACTGATGTAATAATAATTATTAAAGTCAGCCATAATGATATACGTTATAACAGGGAAATACATAAAGGGTCAAATGACATGAACAAAAGATTCAGAAGTAGGAATGAAACATATAAACACTTACAAAAAATTAAAACGCATGCAAATTAAAACACATTACCCTTTAAGATCTCTTCAATTAGAAAAAAATGGCTTAAAATGATAATTTCTCATGCTGGCAAGGGAATAAAGAAATGGGTACTCTCACACGTTTCTGATTGTGTTTTTAAATGCTCCAGTGCTTTAGGGAAGCAATTCGGCATTACATTAAGAGCCATAAAAATATTCATACTTTCTGGGCCAGAACCCCATTTATGTAAATATGTCTTTAGAAAATAATCTAAAACAGGGAAGGAGTTATAAATTCAACTGAGCATTGTTTATCATAGCCCTCAAATAGAAATAAATTAAATGTCCAATGATTTAAAAAATTGTTTTAGTACATTCGGTCATTAGAATACTATGCTTCCCAATAGAATTAATAATTACAAACATTTATGCAAGCAATATGGAAAATGCTCACGGCATAAATGGTAAATGAATAGCTTTCTTTTTGGAGTAATTGGTAGAAATACATTAAAACGAACTGTAAATTTTGCAAAAAAACTTATTTGTACAATTCTATAAATGTAAGTATGCATGTGAGAAAAGATTAATTTACCAAATGGACCTAAAGTTTTACTTTAGCCCGGTGGGGATGGCTTTTTCATTTTTCTGCATAATTTTTAATGTAATTATACCACTTTTTAAATTCCAAATGGAATCTGTAGAATTTTTTAATTAATTGTATGAGTTTAAACACCAAATACCATATACTGGAAAATTTAAAAGTATTTTTCTAAATAATAACTTGGTCAAGAGAAAATTGAATACTTGATGACATATTGTTTAGAAAACTGTGAAAATCAAAATACTTTGTATCATTTCCCACGGAATCTAATCAAAGCAGTGCTTAACATTATAGTTTTAGATTTAAACACTTTTTCTAGAAGAAAGTTAAAATAAGTAAGCGATTAATTAAAGAACGTTTTAAACACACACCCCAAGTAGAGCAAAGAAAGGAGGGAGGGAGAGAGGGAAGAAGAGAGGGAAGGAGGGAGAGACGGAAGGAGAGAGGGAAGGAGAGAGGGAAGGAGGGAAGGAAGGAAGGAAGGAGGGAGGGAGAGAGAGAAGGAGGGAAGAAAAGAGGGAAGGAAGGAGAGAGGGAGGGAGAGAGGGAAGGAGGGAGGGAAGGAGAGAGGGAAGGAGGGAAGGAGAGAAGAAAAGAGGGAAGGAAGGGGGTAAGGAAGGAAGGAGGGAGAGAGGGAAGGAGGGAAGAAAAGAGAGAAAGAAGGAAGGAGAGAGGGAGGGAGAGAGGGAAGGAGGGAGGGAGAGAGGGAGGGAAGGAGGGAGGGAGGGAGAGAGGGAGGGAGGGAGAGAGGGAAGGAGGGAAGGAGAGAGGGAAGGAGGGAGGGAAGGAGGGAAGGAGAGAGGGAAGGAGGGAGGGAAGGAGACAGGGAAGGAGGGAAGGAGGGAAGAAGAGAGGGAAGGAAGGGGGGAAGGAAGGAGGGAGGGAGGAGGGAAGGAGAGAGGGAAGGAGGGAGGGAAGGAGGGAAGGAGACAGGGAAGGAGGGAAGGAGGGAAGAAGAGAGGGAAGGAAGGGGGGAAGGAAGGAGGGAGGGAGGAGGGAAGGAGAGAGGGAAGGAGGGAAGGAGACAGGGAAGGAGGGAGGGAAGGAGACAGGGAAGGAGACAGGGAAGGAGGGAAGGAGGGAAGAAGAGAGGGAAGGAAGGGGGGAAGGAAGGGGGGAAGGAAGGAAGGAGGGAGGAGGGAAGGAGAGAGGGAAGGAGGGAAGAAAAGAGGGAAGGAAGGAAAAGGAAGGAAGGAGGGAGGGAGGGAGGGAAAAGACAGGAAGTAAAAACAAGTAAGACGAATCAATATATTTTCTATATTTCTTGCAAAATGTATAGCGATTGATATCTAAATCTAGGGTCAGGTAGAAAGTGAAACGTAACTTTAAAATGTATAAAGCATAAACTCTGTATCACCTAGTTTAATGGGGATTATTAAATTATATAAACCTTTTCAATGGTTGGAATTGGCACCCATTTTTTCCATTTCCTAATTTATTAAAACAGTTAGCTGTTACAAAAGCAAGAATGGTTTTATCAAAGCAAAATCAGTATGCCAAAAATTCTCCCAGGGATTTCATGTTGGGAAGTGTCACAGTGTAACAAGCTAACGTGTATTACTTCATTTGCCAGCTCTGTGTGATCTCAGAAGTCGTCTAACCTCCCTGTGCTTCCGTTTTCTCACTTACAAAGGAAATAGTATTAAGTTGAATCCTATTAAATTGCTGACATTGAATCATCTTTTTAACCTATAAAAATGACAATTTATTATAATTCAGCCTTATGATTTTACATTTATATAAAATCATAGAGATAATTATAACCACTAGCCTTGCCCTGTGACTTTCTGGTGAAGTAAAGCCACTCCTAATCAGCATTGAAGTATTTATTTTCTGCACAAGGGCAACACTCCTGCCTTTTTGTTTCCAGTAAGTGATGTGGGCATCCCTTTTAGAACCTCATTGCAGCCCATCAGCATGTATGCACCTCTCGTTACACCGCTATAAGAACCTTCTCAAAAACAGGCTGGGGTCATTCTTGCTTATGTGTATGAATAGAAAGATTTGAAGTTTTAGTAGAGTGGGAAAATAATATAAGCCAACAGTTTCCAGAATTGGGCAAAGGCCTTACTCAAAGTGAGCCAACGGTTAAAGCAGAAGGCAGAAGAGGATTCAAGGACGAAGATGAAAGAACCAACTGACCTTTAATCAAAAATGTCAACATGACTCAGCAATGACGAAGATCTAAGGACTGAGAAATTTCATTCTGCCGCAACTTTTCCACAACCCCATTTTGTACTACCGTTAGGTATGGGAGATACTTGTATTCTGTGTATCTGTGGTACAGTCAAGGGAGTTGTTTCATTATTCTAACTGTATCCAAAAAGTAAACTATAAAAATTGATGTAACAAAAACCCACAGTTTTCATAAGGTAGACTCATAAATAAAGTGAAATATAAAACATTTTCAAAGCACTTGAAATATGTGCAGCAAATTAGATTTTATGCTACAATGTTCGTGTCCAAAAAATTAATTCTAAAAATTAAACCCCTGTGTAACATTGTAGAAGTTGAAATGTTACCTAATTGATTCCCGTTGGCAAACATATATTTCCAAACCTTAATAAAATAATGTCTAAAAATTATACACCTATGTATGTTGAATATATCTGTAAAAAAAAATCAAAGAAAATACTAATGAAGACTTTTTAGTAATAGATTTAATTTTTTAAAATACTGTGAACAAACTGAATTTATTGCAGGAACATAATCATTCAGCAACAAGAACAAGAAACCACCTATTATTATAAAGTGCACCATTCTGCAGGAAAACTCATATTGGAGACATTCTAGAATGTAATAAATGAGTCCATGTGAAAGGGGAGGAAAAAAACCAGAGTGGATGGGGCCAACCAAGTGGGACTAACACACAAGTCATCACAGCCTCCTCAGAAATTTTGCAACAGACGAATTCGTGTGCAAAGGCCTGTAGCAAATTTCAACTCCATCCTATAGCCGAAGGAGCACGATCTGGCAACTAAGCTGCGGAGGAAAAAATAGTCTATTCATTCTGGAGCAAGGTTTCAGCAAACAGGATCTGCTCTGTGGGTTTTCTGGGAAGTGGGATCAGTCAGAGGAAAGTAGAAATGGAAAATGTGGTCAATATAAAAGAATGGAAGACTTCAGACTACAGCCAGGTGAGCGTGGTTCCAGGCAGGATCTGGTACTCCTAAGAGAAATCAACGTGCACTCAGGAAAGCAAAACCATAGCCACTGTCTTGGTCTGTGTTTTTTCAACTGGAAACTCTGAGGCAAGAATTGGGTTCAAATAGTTTATTGGGGAGCTTTTCAGATAAGCTGTGAGGTGTATTTCAGGAAGCCTCACACCATCATTCTGAGAGATGGAGGTGGACGAAGAAGGAGTTGTCACCAAGCTGCATCAGACCTCCACAGTGGGCCAAAAGAATATGGACAAGTCACAAACAGGATCTGCTACACTCTACTACAGAGAGTAAGAAGCAGAGGGCCAGGGAAAGAACATACACGCCGGAAGTTCACTGCGGGCACGCTGGATGAATAACAATCGTTTCAGACACCGGGAATGGTCCAAATCCACTCCTACGCTGCCTCCACTCGAACAGGGCAAGATAGAGAGCTTGACGGTCTTAAGCATCTACAGCTGAGTGAGAATAGAGCAATCTGAATAGACACCATTACCATAGGTTAAAAAGACTGAAAGAAGAAAACAAATATATATATACACACACACACACAATACACACACACACACACATATACTTTCAACTAATATCAGAAAAATATATATATTTTGGAGATGCAGTCTCGCTCTGTTTCCCAGGGTGGGGTGTAGTGGTGCGATCTCGGCTCACTACAACCTCTGCCTCCAGGGTTCAAGCAATTCTACTGCCTCAGCCTCCTGAGTAGCTGGGATCACAGGCACCCGCCACCACGCCCGGCTACTTTTTTAATTTTTAGTAGAGACGGGGTTTCACCGTGTTAGCCAGGATGGTCTCGATCTCCTAACCTCGTGATCCACCCGCCTAGGCCTCCCAAAGTGCTGGGATTACAGGCGTGAGCCACCGCAACCGGCCAGAAGAATATTTTTTAAAAGAACAATATTCGTTCCCAATTTAAATATTTTGAAAAAGGAAAAAATAGTTTCTCTTCTGATGAAACAAAATTATTTTAAACTAAAAGTTAATGTTAAACTTCCTCCAAAATCCCAGTCATTCTTTTTAAAACTGGGAAGAAATCAGTACGGCAACAACTGCCACAAATGTTAGTGTTTTAAGAATTCAGACGATACACTTAGATATAACCAAAAACACTGGGAACAAATAGTGAAAAACAAATGAACGAAACATTGTTGTTTGATAACAACAACAACAAAAATTCAAAAATGCTATACGAATTCTAAAATTGACTTTAACAAAAAGAAAATGATATAAAATAAATAAAATCTCAATAGTGTGTATGACTGTCAGCAACACACAGCTAAATATAATCCAAATTAATATTGTATTTGGCCGGGCGCTGTGGCTTATGCCTGTAATCCCAGCACTTCAGGAGGCCGAGGCAGGTAGATCACCTGAGGTCAGGAGTTCGAGACCAGCCTGACCAACATGGCAAAACCCCGTCTCTACTAAAAATACAAAAATTACCTGGGCGTGGTGGCAGGTGCCTGTAATCTCAGCTACTTAGGGGGCTGAGGCAGGAGAATCGCTTGAACCTGGGAGGCTGAGGCGGAAGTTGTAGTGAACAAAGATCGCGCCATTGCACTCCATCCTGAGCGACAAGAGCAAAACTCCATCTCACAAAAAAAAAAAGAAATATATATATATATAGTATTTGTATTAGAAATGTTGAGAATGAAAGTAACAGTAAAATATGTGACCTACAGAAAGAAAAAAATCAAAACCTTCTAGAGAATTTCTGTTTAAAAATCAGTAAAAGTTTTCTAGCTTACTGCTAGATAAAAGACTTTCACCTTTATTACAACACAAAAAAATACTCATATTAAGATCATTTGTGGACTCCCTTTTCCAAACCCAAGGTGTTCATTTCAGATCTCACACCAGTAGGCATCTCCTCAGATTTGTATTTGTTAACCATGCCTTGCTTTGAGAATCTTTCTTCTTTTGAAATCTTCAGAATTTTCTCTCTCCTAGTTTCCTCCAATCTCCAGTTTCTACTTCCCACTTTCTTTCCTTGGCCTCCCCTCTCTCTATATAACCTAATATTGAGATCCTTTCATGTTTTTATGTTTTCCTTATTTTCACTTTCAAAACCCAAATTTCCACCTAGTTCACACCTCAATATACTGTAATTTGACTTTGAACATGTCCAACACATCTGCTCCTAGACTGCAAACTTTACCAAAACAAAAATAAATATCTAATTCATCTTTGTATAACCAATGCCGCATTAACACAGAGCTTGGCATATAAAAGACTTAATACATGTTTGTTAAATAAATGAACAGATTTAAAATTTGTTAAATTTATGACAATTTATAAACTAAATTCATTTTTTAAATGTGGTAAATATATATAATGGAATACTATTCAGCCATAAGAAGAATGATGTCCTGTCATTCACGGCAACATGGATGAGCCTGGAGGACTTTATGTGAAGGGAAATAAGCCAGGCACAGAAACACAAATACGTTCTCACTCATATGTGGGAGCTTAAAAAGTTGATCTCATTGAAAGAGAGAGCAGAATGCAGGTCACCAGGGGCTGGGAACTGGCGGAGAAGGATGAAGAGAGGTTGCTTAACATGTACAAACATAATTAGACAGAAGGCATAAGTTCTAGTGTTCAATAGCACAGTAGAGTAACAGTAGTTAACAATAATTTATTGTATATTTCAGAATAACTAGATTTAAAATGTTCTCAACGGCCGGGCACAGTGGCTCACGCCTGTAATCCCAGCACTTTGGGAGGCCGAGGCGGGCGGATCACGAGGTCAGAAGATCAAGACCATCCTGGCTAACATGGTGAAACCCCGTCTTTACTAAAATACAAAAAATTAGCCGGGCGTGGTGGTGGGCGCCTGTAGTCCCAGCTACTCGGGAGGCTGAGGCAGGAGAATGGCGTGAACCCAGAAGGCGGAGCCTGCAGTGAGCTGAGATTGCGCCACTGCACTCCAGCCTGGGCGACAGAGCGAGACTCCGTCTCAAAAAAAAAAATAAATAAATAAATAAATAAATAAATAAATAAATAAATAAATAAAATGTTCCAACACAAAGAAATGAGGTTTGCGATGATAGGTATCCTGACATGTTCACTGCATTGTATGCAGAGATCAAAATATCACCTATGGCCAGGCACGGTGGCTCCCACCTGTAATCCCAGCACTTTGGGAGGCCGAGGCGGGCAGATCACTATGTCAGAAGATCCAGACTATCCTGGCCAATACGGTGAAACCCCGTCTCTACTAAAAATGCAAAAATTAGCTGGGCGTGTTGGGGGACGCCTGTAATCCCAGCTACTCAGGAGGCTGAGGCAGGAGAATCACTTGAACCTGGGAGGCGGAGGTTGCAGTGAGTCCAGATGGCGCCACTGCACTCCAGCCTGGAGATAGGGCGAGACTCTGTCTAAAAAAAAAAAATAAATAATAAATAAATAAATAATCACATGTACCCCATATATGGGTATGATTATTATGTATCAATTTTAAAAAATAAGGAAGTTGAAAGAGTTCCATCAGACTATATTACACATCACCAAAAAAGCCATTTGGTAAAACTGCAATGAGATACAACTGCACACCCACTAGCATGTCTAAAGCTAAAACAACTGACTGTACCAAGTGTTGCCCAGTATGTGGAGGGACTAAAACTCTCACATGCTGGTAGTAGGAATGTCGAATACACGGAACTTTGGAAAAGAGTTTGGCGATTTCTTACAAAGTTAAATACACACCTACCGTATGACCCAGCCAATTTTAGGTATTTATCCAAGAAAGATAAAAGTATATGCTCATTGAAAAAGCTATCCACAAATGTTTATATCAAGTTTCTTTGTAGAGGAGAAGACCAGAAAAGTCAATGGGATAACTTTCTACATAAAACTGTTTATTTTAAGCATTAAGCTTGCTAAGATTGGGGGGACAGATGCATTAGGGATTTAGGAATGGGGGAAGATGTGAGGGTCTTATCCAGCATGAGTGCCTTAGCAGGTTAGTGAATAGGATGCACGCATCCGTATTCTGCCCTCAGCTTGGCTGCGTGCTCTTGTGATCGGTTGTGTTAGGAGATACAGTTGCAAGCAGGGATGTTTGTTTGGGGAAACGCCTGTGAGACTGACTGAAAGGAAAGAAGAATGGACTGTCTGAGGAAACAACATCAATCTGAAATTAAATCTTCCTTGACATTGCCCAGAGTAACTTATTCTGGCTTTCCAAGGGTGAGATGACTGATAGCAAAGCTGAAAGTACATGATTCTAGTTTTTTGTTGTTGTTTTTTTTTTTTTTTTCAGATGGAATCTCGCTCTGTTGCCAGGCTGGAGTGCAGTGGGGCGATCTCGGCTCACTGCAAGCTCCGCCTCCCAGGTTCACCCCATTCTCCTGCCTCAGCCTCCGGAGTAGCTGGGACTACAGGCGCCCGCCACCACGCCCGGCTAATTTTTGTATTTTTAGTAGAGACGGGGTTTCACCATGTTAGCCAGGATGGTCTCGATCTCCTGACCTCGTGATCTGCCCACCTCGGCCTCCCAAAGTGCTGGGATTACAGGCGTGAGCCACCGTGCCCGGCCACACGATTCGTAAATAAATTTCTTTGCATGGTTCCAATTTATGCTACTCCATGTATTACTTCTGATACCCAGAGACACAAGGCTGCTGCCACACCTGTGCAGCATGAGACCACCATACACACTTCCGTGCACTTCTCTTTCCCGTACTCAGGCGTGACCTACAGAATTATGTATTCCCCACAATATTCCAGGATTGCACCACGCGACACGGAATGTGCCACAAGCACAACCATGAAAATGTAATATAAGTGGCAAATCTGAGGCCAAAGCAAAACAAAAGTAAGAAGTAAGATGAGCTGGAGCTGTGGGTGATAAACAAAGATAATGGGTACGTAATTTATCACCTAAACACAGAGCACTTCGGAAAGGGCAGGGAGTGAGTCTCCACCAACATAAATAAATGACTGCACAGCACAAGTAAATAAATGAATGGGGAGAAGAGACAAATCTCCTTAACAGAAGGATTCCTAGCAATCGATGGACACTGCACCTGCAGAAGGGAAGCGTGAGTCACTGCTCCGTACGTGTGAGCTGCACACAGTGACCTCCCTCTGAGGAGTTCAGTGTGGGGTGGGGGGAGTGGGTCTGCAATGAAGAAACCTAACCAACGCTTCTCGGCAGGGGATCGAGGTCAACATCCACTGTGAGGAATCCTGTAGTATGCACCTCTGATGTGAGGCGAGAGGAACGCCGCTTTGCCGCTCTTGTCTTCCTCTCCAGAACTCGTAATACCGATCAAATGATGAGAAGAACATCAGATAAATTTCAACAGAGGGCATCCTGCAGAATGATTGACCAGTACTCCTCAAAACTGTCAAGGTCCTCGAAAACAAGGAAAATCTGAGAAACAGCCCCAGCCAAGGAGAGCCTGCGGGGCGTGACAACTCAGGGCAAGGTGGGATCCTGGAACTGAAAAAGACATCAGGTAAAACTAAAGATGTCAGAATAAAACACAGACTTTAGTTAATAGGACAGTAAGGCCTCACTTAGACCTCCTCAATAGAGGAGGAGACCTTAGACCTCCTCAATAGGTTCTTGGAATAATGAAACCAATTTTCCAACAGGCTAATTGATATAGAGAAGAATTCAGTTCTATAGCATATTTCTGGTCACAAAAACATCCTTCTATCAATTATTCTAGTATTTTATTTTATTTTTATTTTTGAGATGGAGTCTCGCTCTGTCACCCAGGCTGGAGTGCCGTGGCGCGATCTCAGCTCATTGTAATCTCTGTCTCCCATGTTCAAGAGACTCTTCTGCCTCAGCCTCCTGAATAGCTGGGACTACAGGTGCCCGCCACCATGCCTGGCTAATTTTTGAATTTTTGTATTTTAGTAGAGATGGGGTTTCACCGTCTGCATCAGGCTGGTCTCGAACTCCTGGCCTCAGCTGTTCCTCGCGCTCCTAAAATGCTAATTACAGGTGTGAACCACTGCACCCAGCCTACTTTTATGTTTTTTTTCTGTTTCTTCCAAACTACCATTTCTCTTCATTAATTATCTCTCTATTTTCTAGTTTATATATATATAAACTAAATAAATATAAATATGTAAACATAAAGTGTATGTGTGTGTATATATACACACACACACACACACTTTTTTGTGGGGGCATGGAGTCTCGCTCTGCCTCAGCCTCCGGAGTAGCTGGGACCACAGGCGCCCACCACCACACCCGGCTAGTTTTTTGTATTTTTAGTAGAGACGGGGTTTCACCATGTTGGCCAGGATGGTCCTAATCTCCTGACCTCGTGATCCGCCCACCTTGGCTTCCCAAAGTGCTGGAATTACAGGTGTGAGCCACTGTGTCTGGCCATATTCTAGTATTTATTTAAACTACTTCCACCACACTGAGCAAAAATGACCTTATAGTTAATTTATGTGTGTCTTATTTTCTATGTTACATTATAAATAGCTGGAGAACAGAATTATTTCTTGATCCATTTTTGCCATCCCCATGGAATCTGGCCCAGTTCCTCATGCGCAGCAGCTCTCAGTAACCACACATGCAAATCCTCTCTAAGGTAAGTCCACCTTGGCCATAGGTTCGTGGAAACTGTGATTTGAAGCTAAATTACTGTAACAAAACAAATTTTCCCGTAGGCTAATGCCACAGACCAGGGTGAAGTTCCTGTAGTGTATTTCTGGTCACAGAAACATGACTGAACTTCTAAGTAAAGACCAAAACAGTTCTCATATTAAACATTGAAATAAATGTCAGCTAGATGTACATTTAAGAAAGATTAATAAAAACAAGTGAGATAATGACTTACCTGCTTATCCAGTTCAGGATCGCGGGTGGCCACAGCCCATCCCTGCAGCTCAGGGTGCCAGGCAGGACCCTTCCTGGCCAGGACGCTCTCCCAGGGCAAGATGACACCCTCACCCAAATTCACACTCACCCTCACATTCACTCTCACCCTCACATCCACACTCACCCACCACTCACTTTCACTCACTCACACTCACCCACACTCATCCACTCACCCTCACATCCACACTCACCCTCACATCCACACTCACCCACCACTCACATTCACTCACTCACACCCACCCACACTCATCCACTCACCCTCCCTCACTCATATTCACTCACATTCACTCCCTCACACTCACACTCACCCTGATTCACTTACATTCACTCAGCCACACTCTCACTCACCCTCATTCACCCACACTCGCCCTCACCCATCCACACTCACTCTCCCACACCCGCACTCACCCACACTCACTCACCCCAGTACCATGGAGACGTGCTGGTGAACCCAATGAGCACAGCTTTGGGAACTGGAAGAACCGTGAGAACCTGAAGAAAATCCACACAGACATGGGGATAACCTGTAAACTCCACACAGGTGACCTTGCTGGGAAGCCACTTTTAAAAAATTAACATTGTAGGCCAGGCGCTGTGGCTCACACCTGTAATCCCAGCACTTTGGGAGGCCAAGGTGGGTGGTTTACCTGAGGTCAGGAGTTCGAGACCAGCCTGGCCAACATGGCAAAACCCTGTCTCTACTAAAAGTACAAAAATTAATTAGCCAGGAGTGGTGGTGGGCCCCTATAATCCCAGCTAATCAGGAGGCTGAGGCAGGAGAATTGCTGGAACCCGGGAGACAGAGGTTGCAGTGAGCCGAGATTATGCTGCTCACTGCACTCCAGCCTGGCCAACAAGAGCCAGACTCCATCTCAAAAAAAAAAAAAAAAAAAAAAATTAACATTGTAACAAACTAACATTGGGAAAAACATGTTATTCAAGGAACTGCTTTAATGTATCAAAATTGGTTTATTAATTGTAACAAAGGTTAAGAGGTTGATAATAGGAGAAACCAGGTGCAGGGTATGAGAACTCTGCATCTCTCTATTTTTCTGTAAATCTAAAATTGTTCTAAAAATAAAATCTCCTTTTTTTTTTTTTTGAGATGGAATTTCACTCTTGTTGCCCAGGCTGGAGTGCAATGGCACTATCTCGGGTCACTGCAAACTCCACCTCCTTGGTTCAAGCTATCCTCCTGCCTCAGCCTCCCGAGTAGCTGGGATTACAAGCATGCACCTCTATGCCTGGCTAATTTTTCGTATTTTTAGTAGAGATGGGTTTCACCATGTTGGCCAGCTGTATCCCAGCTACTCGGGAGGCTGAGGCACGAGAATCACTTGAACCCAGGAGGCGGAAGTTGCAGTGAGCCAAGATTGCGCCACTGCACTCCAGCCTGGTAACAGAGTGAGACTCCGTCTCAAAAAAAAAAAAAAAAAAAAAAAGTGCTCAGAGGCCGCGAAAGTAATAGCACATAATGCATTAATTAATATGCCAGATCTGCCAACTTGCCAGGTTACATTGGAACAGGTTTCTTAATTTTGCTTCTCCTCAATTTCTCATCTCTAAAACTATGTTAACATGTGTACCTAAGTAAAAAGCATGTGTCATGTTGGGATGTTATAAATATGAAATACAAACATACACTGACACACGCACACACACATCTATAGTGTATTCATGTTGTGTCAATAGGTAGACTATCTATATGAATATATAGAGAAAGTATATATATACATGCACACACACACATATATATACACAAAGAGAGAGACAGAGATTATCATGTTGTTTATTCTTTAAAATGATGGTGATAATTTTAAGTACTATGGTAATGAGAAGGGTTAAAGAATGACCTCAGTGATGCCCTGGCTATCAAGTAACCAGGCGGTTTCCAAACAGCAGTCATTAAAAAGAGAAAATCTAATAAAGCTAAATTAAATCCAAACATAACTATAAGGTTAAGTAGATAAACTCACCTTTTTAAAAAAGGGGGAACAAGTTTCGTATTTTTTTTAAAAAAGCTATAGTAAAAAAATATTCTGCCTAGAAGGAAGGGACGAAGCAGTAAAAAAATATTCTGCCTAGAAGGAAGGGACAAAGCAGGGCAGCATGTAAACGCTAGTCAACAATACATTGCAGACGATTAAACACGGAAACAAACCGCAGTTCGGCTGCTGATACTAGACCACATTGGATTCAAGGCAAATGAAAAGAAAATGAGAAGGGCACTTTGTAATTTATAAGGAGCATAATTCACAGTGGAGAACGTAACTCTCATGAATCTTTACTTTTTCATCTCCCACACTAAAGTAAAACTGCAGGAATCAATGGAAATGTAACCATCCTAAGAAATTTCAACACACTCATCCAGTTCTGTAACAGATCAAAGAGACCAGAAATAATGGATACAACTGACTAAATATTATAATGAAAAAGACTTTGTTTATGTTTGTGTCTGTTCAATTCTGTAAGCTGAAAACAAGTGTCTGCAGAACATTTATTTTAAAGTGTATCTGAAATTACATATAAAAACATGACTTTGATAATTTCCAAAATGAAATAAATAACCACATTCTTTAACCATAATACAAAAAAGGAGAAACTATTCCTAGAAGATAAAATAGAACTGGCCAAATATGTTAAATTTGTTTTGTTTTTTTTTTTCTTCAACTTTTATTTTGTGTAAGTTCAGGGGTGCATGTGCAGGATGTGCAGGTTTGTGGCATGGGTAGACATGTGCCATGGTGCTTTGCTGCTCGGATCATCCCATCACCAAGGTAGGAAGCCCAGCCTCCATTAGCTATTCTTCCTGATGCTCTCCCTCCACCCACACACCCCCACAGGCCTCAGTGTGTGTTGTCCCCACCTTGTGTCCTCTTCATTCAGCTCCCACTAATAAGAGAGAATGTGTGGTGTTTCGTTTCCTGTTCCTATACATTAATATTTTCAAAACTCACTCTTAAGGATCTCCTGGGTCAAAGATGAAATCAAAACTAAAATAAAAGAATATATTTAAAGGAGCAATAACAAATACTAAAATGATGGAATGAATTAGCTTTATTTTTTAAAATACACTTTAAATGCTTTCATTACTAGCATAGAAAATACGAATAAAAATAGTCATACATTAAAAGGTTAGAAAAGAAAAATACAAAACAATCTATAAGAACACAATTAAAAAACAAAAATTGATGAGTAACTAAAAATACAAGTGAGATATAACTTTAAATTTAATTTAATTTTATATTTTTCATTAATTTATTTAATAAAACTAGTAAAATATTTAAACCACTCTATTAATAATGACTTTCATCTTGAAATACTCGTTTTCCTTTTGACATCAATTCTTTGGTTCTTGAAACATCTTGAATGGCACCCTTAGAAGCTGTTCTATCTCATTTGGAGTTTCCTCCTAGTATCTAACATCGCATGAATGTCGTTTTTCCTTAGTGTAACTGAGTTCTTGCAAGGCAAGAAAAAAGAAAAAAGCTGGCTCCGGCATTCTAAGCAGGAAAGGACTTTGTTGGAACCATATCTGTAACTCCCTGGCTGTAAGGGAAGGCTTAAGAAGCAGAATTATGGGCCGGGCGCGGTGGCTCACGCCTGTAATCCCAGCACTTTGGGAGGCCGAGGCAGGCGGATCACAAGGTCAGGAGATCGAGACCATCCTGGCTAACACGGGGAAAACCCGTCTCTACTGAAAATACAAAAAATTAGCCGGGCGTGGTGGTGGGTGCCTGTAGTCCCAGCTACTTGGGAGGCTGAGGCAGGAGAATGGCGTGAACCCGGGAGGCAGAGCTTGCAGTGAGCCGAGATCCCGCCACTGCACTCCAGCCTGGGCGACAGAGCAAGACTCCGTCTCAAAAAAAAAAAAAAAAAAGAAGTAGAATTATTTATAAGAGGATGGGAAACCATGAAGCCTCAGGAATCTGAGCAGCAAGAACTCATGCGAGAGCCTCAACAGTTTTCCTGATCTAAAATAAATACTCTACAACTATTGTGCCTTTTCCTGTCCTTGTGCTACTCTACTCAAGACAAAATGATCTAGGAGATTTTAATCACATTCCTCAGCTACAGCAGGGCACAGCAATTGATTTTTGATACACCAAGGCTGAACACAATGGGGAAAGATGTAATTATCCAAGAGATCAGAATGCTGGTTATCCAAAGAACCAACCACGTACCTGGGTGGGGCCAACGAACCCTCCTCACGCTCAGTGTTCTGTCCTGCTTCCTATCCTCCCTTCTCCTCTTCTGTCTTCTCTTCTCGCCTCTTCCCATTCTGCACACACTCTCCAAATATCTCATCCCCTCCAATGGTTTTAGTTCTCATCTATATTCCAAAAATTCTCAAATCTGTATCTCAATCCCAGATCTCTTCAAGCTTCAGACCGTTATATCTATAAATTTATTCATAGATAAACAAGGGTACTTCAGACACCTAATGTTCCAAATTAAATTCACTCCCCATCCCACCGCTCCACCCCAGTGTATTTTGTGGAGTGGCCATGGTGACGGTGTGAGTAGTGATTATGAGAAAGAGCAGACTCCACTTGAATTAATATTATTGGTACAGATTCTAGGAAGGTTTCAGGTAAAAAGGTGTCTGAGAGGAGGCTAAAGGGTGATTAAAAGATGACCCCATTCAGACAAGGCAGTGTATTGGAGGCAAGAGAAGAGGCATAGGACAAACAGGGAAGTTTTCTGAGCAAATGAGACATGAGCAAAAGGGTTGACATCAAAAGAGAACATGAATTATCCAATATGGGTGAAGTGTGGAATGAGAGAGAGAGTGTGTGTGTGTATAGATAGAAGCAGTAAGATAGTGCAATATGGCCTCTCAAGATACAGGCTGATGGATCATGAGATATGGGACCTCTTTAAGAAGCCATTGAAAATTTATAGGGAAGAAATTCATCTATAAGACTTAATTTTTGAAAATTCTAGAGAATGAATTGGAATGAGAATGACTGGAAGCAAAACCAACTTGGAAATTAATGTAATGATCCAGTTGAGAAATGACCATAGTTAGGTCAGGGAAATGACAGTGCAGTTAGACAGAAAGGAAATTCTTTTCTTATTCATGTATTTATTTGTTTTTTAGAGATGTGGTTTTGAAACTGACCCAATTGTCTCATAGACATTTTTTTTATATAAACACAGAAATTGACCCGCGTGGTCTTAAAGCTTGAAACTTATTAACATATTTTTTTTCTGAGTTTATCCCTCAGGAAAAGACCTTCAGGCCTCTCAAAAAAAGAGTATCAAAGAACTGAAAGTCACCAGATCAGCACATCCAATGAGATGCTGAACGCCTCATTCATCATGATGGCTTCCTTGCCCCTCCCTGGTTCCTGTTTTCTTACGCACTGTTACATTTCTTCCCTGCTATAAAAACCTCTGGTTTTAGTACCACAGGGAGATGGATTTGAGACTGAGTTCCATCTTCTTGGCTGCAGCAAAGATTAAAGCCATCTTCCTTGGCAATACTCATCGTCTCAGTCATTGACTTTCTGTGTGGCGAGCAGCAGGACCTACACAGAGGCTGAAGTGTTTCAGTAACTGTCTTGCTATGTTGCCCAGGCTGGACTTGAACTCTAGGCTCAAGGGATTCTCCTGCCTTAGCCTCCAAAGTAACTTGGACTGCAGGCTCTTGCCATCATGCCTGACTAGGAAGGGAATTCTTTTAAGAGCAGCTTCAGAGACTGAATTTTCAAATTTTCAGAATGAATTAGATATAATGTAAGAGAAGAAGAATTTTTGGCTTTGGAAACTGGATTGTTGGTGATGTCATTCATCTGTATTAGAAGAGGAAAAAGAAAGGCTAGTGGGGTAAATATGCTAATTAACTTGATTGTAGTGATTACCTCAGTGTGTATTATGTCAAAATATGTTGTACGCCTTAAATATACACGATTTTAATTTGTCAATTATACCTCAATAAAGCTAAAAAATGGATTAAAAAACAAAGGAAAAAAAAAAAAGAAAGACAGGCTAGAGGGAAAAGACTGTAAGTTAATATTTTGCAACATTTAGTTGGAGGTTCCTGGGAGGAAGTCTACAGGACTTGCTGGATATGTAGGATTGAAGTTCAGGAGAAAGGACTTAGTTACAGAAAATGATTTGGGAGCGATGAAATTGAAGCCATAAAAATAAATTGGTTGTTAAAAAAATTAACAACAAATTTAGTTGAAATTTAATTGGCTATTATTAGCTATTATAGGACCAGACACCATCTCATTTTACAAAATAGCGTGGGTGCTGTGATGAGCTGAACGTGTGGGTTTAGCTTTATAGGCAGAGAAGGACTGAGGAAGGCAGAAACTGGGATGAAAGCAGACTGCTAATTTCAAAAGTTACTTTTCTCATAAGGTTAAAGCAAAGGGTACTTGTTTACCAGGCCGGCTCAGGTCAACTGGGCCCCTTCTGATTGGTGGCTGCAAGTCTCCTGTTTTTGGAAAGCCGACGGTTTTGAAGTTCAGCTTGATTATGTGGCTTGGACGGGTCTGTGGGGCCCAGTGTAGGAGCGCAGTCCCAACAACGGCCCCCCATAAACTTTGTTTAATGCAGTAAAGAAAGGAGATTGATGTGCTGAAACCAAAACCTGAAGAACAGCTTTTAAAGAACAGAGAAAGGCCAGGCGCGGTGGCTCATGCCTGTAATCCAAGCATTTTGGGAGGCCAAGGCGGGCGGATCACAAGGTCAAGAGATCGCAACCATCCTGGCCAACATGGTGAAAACCCGTCTCTACCAAAAATAGAAAAATTATCTGGGCATGGTGGCGCGTGCCTGTAATCCCAACTACTCGGGAGGCTGAGGCAGGAGAATCGCTCGAACCCGGGAGGAGGAGTTTGCAGTGAGCCAAGATCATGCCACTGCACTCCAGCCTGGGCGACAGAGCAAGACTCTATCTCAAAAAAAAAAAAAAAAAAAATATATATATATATATATATATTTATATATTAGAGAAAATATATATATATATATATTAGAGAAAGAGATGCCTAGAAAGAAGATGGAGAAGTATAGCCTGAGAGCTTGGTGTGGTGTAGAGACAGCAGTGGTGTCTAGGAATTCAAAACAATTTAGCTGTTAAGATAGAGTAAAAATAGAAGTAAAGCTTTTAAAGGGTTGGACCCAGCAACAAGTAGGTTTTCATTCTTTGGGAAAACAGTTTAATGGGATGATGGAGACAACAGTTACAACTAAATAGACAACACTTTAAAAAGGTGTATGAAGCCAAGGAACCGGAGTTTTGTTTTTTCAAGTTGGGAAGGAAATAAATACGCTTTCATGCTGATGAGTAAGCAAAGGTTGAAAACATAGCAGGGAGATGTCATCATTAAGACTACACTTACTGAGTTAGTGGAAGGAAATACAATTCAGAGCACAGGCTTTAAAAAAATATAATGAAGTAGAAAGCATTAGCTTTATATGCCGTGTCACTGTAAGGGGAGAAAAGGGAAAGGGTGGGCGTGGATAGGGATTCTTCTGCAGGGCTGATTTTGTGGGAGTGAGAACAGCGTGGGCAATCCTTTTCTGTGTCTGCAAGGTTAACTGCAGGGGATGAAATGAGCTTGGTGGTCAGAAGAGAATAGAAAATGTCTGAAGTATCTCCTGATGAGAATGAGATCAAGGTGGCTAAGGAGACAGGGACTCCTGATTATCGAGCTTAGATACCATGCAGTTACAGAGCGGCACTCATCTCTAAAGCTGTGAAATTCTTTACCAGTACCTCTGATCCTCCCATTTGAAAAGGCAGAAAAGGTAGACATTTAATTTATAACAGACAGGGATTTGGGCATGACAGAGTTTTGAGATATAATAGGAGAGTTTTCGGAGTGATAAATTGTGAACACAGTAACTTAAACTTCAGATTTCATAGTACAGTTTCTTATGGCAAAGTCCAGTGGGAAGCCGTGGCTGAAATGAAATGAAATCCATTGTCTCTCAAGATAAGGAGGCCAAGGAACTTAGAAATTCGGGTGCATAATGTGGCAACCCCATGAACACTGAAGTCATTTCGGATGATGCAACAGGGTTCAGGGTGGAGAAAAAAGTGACCCTGGCTTTTAAATCTCCAGTGAGTAGTGTAGAATGGCAAGGAGTCCTGGATGAGCATGAGGGAAGTTACAGGCAGGCTTCCTGGAGGCTGTGAGCCTCAAAAGGAACGGGCCTCACGCTCAGGCAGCAGAACAATTTTATGAAAGTAGCCACTCTGAAGTTTTTAGTTTGTGAAATAATAAGCTGCTTCAATCTAAAGAATTATAGGCAACTGGCTGAGCACGGTGGCTCACACTTCTAATCCCAGAACTTTGGGAGGCCAAGGCAGGTGAATCACCTGAGGTCAGGAGTTCAAGACCAGCCTGGCTAACATGACGAAACCCCGTCTCTACCAAAAATACAAAAATTATCAGGGCATGGTTGTGGACACCTGTATTCCCAGCTGCTACTCAGGAGGCTGAGGCAGGAGAACCCAGGAGGTGGAGGTTGCTGTGAGCCGAGATCACGCCATTCCATTCCAGCCTGGGCAACAAGAGCAAAACTCCAACTCAAAAAAAAAAAAAAAGAATTATAGGCAATCACTGTGCTCAGTGGATATCCAAGTTTTAGTTAAAGCAAGAGGATAGAAAAAAAAATATTCAGTGAAGATTTCAAAAGTTTAAGATAAATTGTGCACCAAACAATGGACTGTCTGGGGTCATAGTGGCGAGTTGGGAAAGTGGGGAGCTGTGTGAGGAGGGATGGGCAGAACACCTCTGGAGGGTGGGGGTCCTGATGCATGGGCTTCCTGAGAGGGGACCAAGGAGAGCAGGGCTGTCAGAGATGGTGAGGAGATACAGCCTCAATTTTTCTTTTTCTTTTTCTTTTTTTTTTAGATGGAGTCACTCTGTTGCCCAGGCTGGAGTGCAGTGGCACAATCTCGGCTCACTGCAAGCTCCGCCTCCCGGGTTCAAGTGATTCTCCTGCCTCAGCCTCCCGAGTAGCTGGGACCACAGGCACCCGCCACCACACCTGGCTAATTTTTTGTATTTTAGTAGAGACGGGGTTTCACCATGTTGGTCAGGATGGTCTCCATCTCCTGACCTCATGTTCCACCTGCCTCAGCCTCCCAAAGTGCTGGGATTACAGGTGTGAGCCACTGCGCCAGGCACCACGGCCTCAATTTTTCAAATGGACTAATTCTAGAGTTTTCCTCATGTTGAAACGGGACAAGTTCCCTTGTCCCCCTCACATGGCGTGCAACACGGGGAGTGGCTGACTTCAGTTCCCTGCTGCTCAGACCTGTATGGGGAGCATGCAGACGGGCAGGTCGTGGGGCTCCAACCCCATGGCAGTGTCTAGGGGTGAATGCTTACAGCTCCTGAGGCCCCAGTGGGCGTGTGTTACAGGGTGCTCTCAGCTTTCGTCATCTGTAGGTGTCGTGTTCATCAGCTCGATTAGATCTTCTGCCTTATTGCAAGGACAGGCGGCTTTCTGTACCCTGGGTTCTTGCCTTGGTGTACCAGAAAAATCAGATCACACGTGGGCTTGGAGAATGAGTGCAAGGTCTGATTGAATGTTGGAGGTAGCTCTCAGCAGGTGGGTGGGGAGGGGGAAGGGGATGGAGTGGGATTGAATGGAGGAAGTAGCTCTCAGCAGGTGGGTGGGGAGTGAGAAGGGGATGGAGTGGGATTGAATGGAGGAAGTAGCTCTCAGCAGGTGGGTGGGGAGTGAGAAGGGGGTGGAGTGGGATTGAATGGAGGAAGTAGCTCTCAGCAGGTGGGTGGGGAGTGGGAAGGGGATGGAGTGGGATTGAATGGAGGAAGTAGCTCTCATCAGGTGGGTGGGGAGTGGGAAGGGGATGGAGTGGGATTGAATGGAGGAAGTAGCTCTCATCAGGTGGGTGGGGAGTGAGAAGGGGATGGAGTGGGATTGAATGGAGGAAGTAGCTCTCAGCAGGTGGGTGGGGAGTGGGAAGGGGATGGAGTGGGATTGAATGGAGGAAGTAGCTCTCATCAGGTGGGTGGGGAGTGGGAAGGGGATGGGGTGGGATTGAATGGAGGAAGTAGCTCTCATCAGGTGGGTGGGGAGTGAGAAGGGGATGGGGTGGGATTGAATGGAGGTAGTAGCTCTCAGCAGGTGGGTGGGGAGTGGGAAGGGGATGGAGTGGGATTGAGTGGAGGAAGTAGCACTCAGCAGGTGGGTGGGGAGGGGGAAGGGGATGGATTTAGAAGGTGATTTTCCCTTTTAGTCGGGCCGCTGGGTGGCCGGACTCCCCTCCAACGGCCCCGGCCAGATTCCCCTCGGCCCCCCATCTCCGCCGGCTGATGGCCTGCCAGCGTGTTCTTCCCCACTCTGCTCCTCTGGACGTCCAGCTGCCTGTGTACTCTAACACGGGCATGTTCCTCTCAAAGTCCAGTGGGTTGTGTCTGTGCCTGCTAGGGTCTCAGGGTTTTTATAGGCACAGGTCGGGGCCGTAGTGGGCCAGGGTGGTCTTGGAAAATGCAGTATTTGGGCACGAAGACAGGAGTGCCTGTCCTCACCTAGGTCTGTGGGCACAGGCCTGAGGGTGGACCCCTAGCCAGGGACCCACCTTTCTCTACCCAGCACTTCCCTGACCCTCTCACATCTCAATGTGAGTGGGTAGGAACTGGAGGGGAATGTAACTTAAGCCTCTTAACTGTGATCATGTGCTTCTCTCCCCAGTAAACATCCCTAATCTCTCTGCTAGCCTAGCCGACCCCTGTAAGGGCAAAGCACTAATGTGAAAGTAAAGGTGTTGTGCAAAGGTGAGCACGGCCCTGGAGTCTGAGATGCTGCCGTGCAGAAGTGGAGCTCAAGGCTTCAGGCTCTGGCAGAGAGCACCCCCGAGCACGCGGCATGCAGCCAGCTTCCTGGGCCCTCCAAATCCAATCCCCCTACCCGATTCCTAGAGTCCGGGATTTCCTCTGAGCTCGCAAGTCTCTGAAACTTAAAGGCAGTCCAGCAGAGTAATTAATACAGAGATCCACTGCTCTCCTGACTTCGGGCAGTTATCTTACTTTTCTCAGCTTGCGATGCTTATCTGTAAAACAGATATGCCTTCCTCGCTGAGGCACTGTGAGAATGAAAGTCAGCAATCTAAAACTCCTTGCTCAGTGCTGGAATAAAACATGTGCTCAATGAATGGCAGCTATTATTATTTTTTCAGAAAAATGTTCTGGCAAGAAGCACATAGGGCTCTTCAGAGACTGTGTTCATAGTCCCGAGCTGAAGGCAGGTCAGGAAAGAAGGATCCAATTTTAGAGTAGATGCCTCACTTTCTTCATTTAATTTTCCTGGTACTAAGCCAACCCCTTCTCCTTGCCTGCTACCTACCTGCCTGTTAAAAACTGCAATCCAGTGGTTTTTGGACCTCAGCTCTGGAAACTTTGATTATTAATTCCAGGGAGGGACCGCACAGTGCTATATTGTTAAGACATCACAGGACAGCCTGTTGCATAGCCAGCATTGCAGGCCACTGTAAGCTGTAGACTCTTCTAGAAGATCACTAGACTCTTCTTCACAGCAGTCATTAGGTGAAAATGGCATTCATAGAGGACAGGTTGTATCTCAGGTACTGTGCCGCTACATAAAGGGAAGTTTTGAATGGCCTCTAAAGGATTTGGCTCAGTGACAGCCTTTACTTCTGGCTTGGAGCCCAGACCAGGCCCGCCTTATTCGTGTGGGTGACCATCACTACGGATGCTGGAGGTCCAGCACGTCACAATCCCACCTTTCGCAAACTACCTTATGTTCTTGCCCCTGTGTCTCTGCTGCTTCTTTGCTTTTCTTCCCCAAAATTGATAATGAAAATTTTCATTCCTTTTAAAACATGTACTGGAAGTACATGTTTTAAAATGTACATAATTCAAAAAATCCAAAGCACATATAAGGAAAAGTAGATTTCCTGCCTTTCTCCACATCCCAGCCACCTAGTTCCCTCTACTTGGAGACAAGCGCTGCTGCCAGTTTCTAGGACATTTTTTCAGAAATCTCTTTTCAATGTATGAACATATTTTTCCAGTACATGGAGTATATTATACCATGTACTTTTGCCTTTTGCACATTTTATATTCCAGTGGATATTGGAAATTTTTCTTTCTTTCTTTCTTTTTAGACAGAGTCTCGCTCTGTCACCAGGCTGGAGTGCAGTGGCACGATCTCAGCTCACTGCAAGCTCTGCCTCCTGGGTTCAAGCGATTCTTCTGCCTCAGCCTCCCAAGTAGCTGGGAATACAGGCTACAGGCATGCACTGCCATGCCCAGATAATTTTTGTATTTTTTTTTTTTTTTTTTTTTTTAGTAGAGACGAGGTTTCACCATGTTGGCCAGGATGGTCTCGATCTCCTGAACTGGTGACCTGCCCACCTGGGCCTCCCAAAGTGCTGGGATTACAGGCGTGAGCCACCACGCTTGGCCCTGGGAAAATTTCTTTATCAATGTGTGCAGACATTCCCTGACATGATGGTTTGACTTACAGTTTTGTGACTTTAAGATGATGCAAAAGCAATATGCTTCAGTAGAAAGAGGCAGAATACTCTCTCAATGCTGTGTGGTGGCAACGAGCCACAGCTCCCTGTCAGCCATGTGATGACCTGGGTAAGGAGCCAGTACTCTGCAGTGCACTGTGTTGCCAGATGCTTCTGCCCAGATGTAGCTGCTGTGAGTGTTCAGAGCACACTTAAGGTAGGCTAAGCGCTGATGTTCAGGAGGCTAGGGGTATTAAAGGCATTTTTTTATTGATACATAATATTTGTACATATTTATGGGGCTCGTGTGATACTTTGTTATGTGCGGAGAATGTGTAGTGATCAAGTCAGGTTACTTGGGGGTACCTAATGCATTTTTGACTTACAGTATTTCCAATTTATAATGGATTTACTGAGAAGTAATCCCACTGTTGGCTGACGAGCATCTCTATAGATGTTCCACCTTTTCTATAATAGCTGTATATTCTCCAGTGTACAAATGGAGCAACACTTTATTTAGTCAATTTTGTTGTAAAAATTACCATTTTTCAATCAGCGGCAAGATTCAAATATTGGATAATTCAGTGTAATTCACTTCTGTGGTGCTCTGTGTGCCTTGAAGGGTTGAGATAGCTAGCTGACTCACAATTCTTCCTACTATAAATGGGTTTTTATATTTTGCTTGCAAAGTTTATTTTCCATGAAACACCTTCTCATCTGTGTATCTTAATGCTATAGAATGCGAATTTTAAGAAGATCCTTAATTACTAAATCTTTTTAGGCCAATGGTGATAACCAGATGCCTTTCTCTCTAATAAATGCAAGGAGGAAAAATGGGCAAAGCGACTCTGCGAATAAAACAACAGAGATTCCATGGAATACCGGAGCTGAGATTCTGCATTCTCTCTTCAAGAACTGCTAAGAATCATGAAAATCACTCCCCCTCTGCAAAACCTCCTGAGAAACCTTTCCTTAGGGAGCTATCCTGATGGTTCTCATGATATATCAATACTGTGATCAGGAAAAAAGACCTGCGACCGCAAATCCTGGTAATAAAAAATAAAAGATTCCAGTAAGTATGTACAATCAACAAGGCAGAGTTCTTTTTTTTTTTTTTTTTTTTTTTTTTTTTTGAGACGGAGTCTCGCTCTGTCGCCCAGCAGGCTGGAGTGCAGTGGCGCGATCTCGGCTCACTGCAAGCTCCGCCTCCCGGGTTCATGCCATTCTCCTGCCTCAGCCTCCCGAGTAGCTGGGACTACAGGCGGCCGCCACCACGGTCGGCTAATAACAAGGTAGAGTTCTTAAGGGGAAACAGTTCATGTTCACGCGTGCGTTTGTGATTTCTTCTGCAAGGTCATAGACCTTTGGACGTTTACTGACGTCACTGACAGACATGTGAAAGGTGAAATTAGGGGAAGGTTTTGATAAAGGGAAATGGAAAAAATAAACTTAACTGTATTGCATATGGAATGGTGGGAGATACTAGTAGATATAGCTAGCAAAAATCCATGAATCAGGGCCAGAAGTTCTTGTGAGAATCTGCGAAAATTGAGGCTCAGAAGTGACAGCCGACACTACGACCCTGAAAACCTTCCTGCTCTTCATCTCTGCTAATGCGTCTCCCCAGCAAAACAACATGCTTATGTTTCATTCATCTTTAAAAAACAAAATAATAAAAAAGAAAAACTTCTGGCATAGTATTGTTTTTTTCTCTAGTCCACTTAATTCCCCAATTGATCATCTCATTTATTGCACCATTCCCCTTTCTTTCTCTATTCATCTCACTGAAAAGGTACATTTTTTCTCTACCACTCCATGACAGTTAATTTTGTGTGTCTATTTGGAAGGTGGTTTTGCCTGAGATTACCATTAAATCAATAAACTCTGAGGATTATCCTTTAGACTGTAGGTGGACCCCATCCAATCAGGTGAAGGCCCGGTTAGAACAAAAGGAATGACCCTCCTCTGATCAGGATAGAATTCTCCAGCAGACTACTGCTGGTGGTATTATTATCTGATATCTCTAAAACTGTTAGTTCTTCCAACTATTCTTCTAAAAACTCTCTTCTTTTTATTTTATTATTATTTTTTATTTATTTTGGAGATGGAGTCTCACTCTGTTGCCACGCTGGAGTGCAGTGGTGTGATCTTGGCTCACTGAAACCTCTGCCTCCTGGGTTCAAGTGATTCTCCTACCTCAGCCTCCCAAGTAGCTGGGACTACAGGCACACGCCACCATGCCCAACTAATTTTGGTATATTTAGTACAGACAGAGTTTCACCATGTTGCCCAGGATGATCTCGATCTCCTGACCTCGTGATCTGCCCACCTCAGCCTCCCAAAGTGCTGGGATTACAGACATGAGCCACTGCGCCCAGTCAACTCTCTTCTTTTTAATTTCTGTGGTGCTGTCTTGACAACTTTTTTTCTGACTGCTGTAATCATTCCTTTTCAGTATCTCCCAGGGGCTCCTCTTGCTCCCCCTGACTCTAGGGTACTGGCAATCTCCAGTAATCTGTCCCCAGCCTTCTCTCCCCACACTTCTTCGTTTGGGTTTCAAGTGGAAGACTCTAAGTTATGACTCCCCCACAGAATCTTCATTCTACACCACTCTGCGCCTCTGAAAGAGCTGAGAGGACCTGAAAGGCGGAAAGAGGGGAGCCCCTGGGGGGTGAGGAGGAGACTGAGGAGCAGTGGCATGAAGCTGGGGCAGACAAGGGAACGGGCTGGTGCATCACGTCATGAGTGTTCACAAGATCGTGTGCTCCTTATTGATGTCTTATTTCAGAATATGTTAGGAGTGTTATTAGAAAACATTTTTAATATGGAGACAAAATTGAAAACTATTGAAACATTACAACGTTTTCAAGTGATATTATAATTTTCTCATCCAATAAATATTCAGTTTGAAGAAGTTAAAAGTAAATTTTATTAGAGTTCTACTTTACAAACACACAGAAGCATACAACATAAGTGAAGCCAAAAGACCAAAACCAAACTGTAATATGTCCATTGTTTTGGTGTCAGACAGCAGGCTTTTTTTTTTTTTTTGAGACGGAGTCTCGTTCTGTCGCCCAGGCTGGAGTGCAATGATGCGATGTCGGCTCACTGCAAGCTTTGCCTCCCGGGTTCCAATGATTCGCCTGCCTCAGGCTCCCAAGTAGCTGGGACTACAGGTGCCCGCCACCTCGCCCGGCTAATTTTTTCATATTTTTAGTAGGGTTTCACCATGTGGCCAGGCAGGTCTCGAACTCGTGACCTCAGGTGATCCGCCTGTCTTGGGCTCCCAATGTGCTGGGATTACAGGCGTGAGCCACCGCGCCCGGCCTAGACAGCAGCTTTGACTGAACAGTGCTGCTCCTTGCAGAGCAGGTTAACTCATAGGCAGTGTGCTCAGAGTCAGCCTAAAGGAATTATGTGTTACTAATAGCACATGACATAAAATTTCAGAAGAGAAACACCAAAATTTCAACAGAAAAATGAGGGAAAAAGCATGATAGGTAGTTCACATTAAAGAAAAACAAATGTCATTTCTTCTCAGCCTTTTGGCTAAGATCAAGTGAAGAAAAACAAATGTTTTCTAAACTAATAAAAATATGCTCAAGGTTCACATAGTAAAATAAACACAAATTTGAAATAGCATTTCTTAGTCTTCAACTGGGACATTTTCTAATTGTCTAACAACATACTTAAAAAAACAAAATATTTGACTGGATAAGTAAATTCTTATATATTCACAGCATAATGTTTTTATAAGGCCATTAAACAAAGGTGACTTCATTTTATGATAGTTGTCTAAATACCAAATCTTTCCAAAAATACCATGAAATGATACAGAGGGATTATTTTGAAGATAAAACCCCACAAGAACAAAAACCTGGAAAAGAAATAAAAAGCACCAAAATTCTGAAAGGAAAAAAGGAAGTAATATTTAAATGAGCAAATCCGAACATAATAAATACTAAGCCAGTGGTAGGAAAAGGCCAGAAGTAACCAGCTTGCAGAATTCCCAAAAGGCTCAGTAATTTTTGGCTCCAGGAATCTTAGGAAGTGCAATTAAACACAGGATTGTTTCCAAGAAGCTGAAGGTCTGTTTGAGCAATTGGCTCACGTCATCCAACAGAAGGCTGGATGGAGGTTTCTTCTCTGTAGATCAGAGGATCACCAGACAAGACCTGAGATGCCACATTAACAGAAAGGGATCACACTGGATTTTGCTCACATACAGAATTTCACGTATCCAGCCTTCTTCCCCCACCTGATATGCAGAATGCCTGCCTGATATCCAGGATCTTGTCCTCCAAGCAGACAAGAAGCTACTTCTCTGAGAAATCTGACCTATCCAAGGAAGAAAATTTAGAGACTGGCATAGTGAGGCTTCAACAAGTCAGCCTGACTAAATCTCTCTGCAATGGGGCTAGGCTTAAGCCTTGCCCAATCAATTTGCTAATACCCCAATCTTTTTTTTTTAGGAGGGGTGGGGGGAATGGAGTCTTGCTCTGTCGCCAGGCTGGAGTGCAATAGTGCAATCTTGGCTCACTGCAACTTCTGCCTCCTAGGTTCAAGTGATTCTCTTGCCTCAGCCTCCCCAAGTAGCTGGGACTACAGGTGCGCCATCAGGCCCGGCTAATTTTTGCATTTTTAGTAGAGAAAGGGTTTCACTGTGTTGGCCAGGATGGTGTCAGTCTCTTTACCTCAGGTGATCCACCTCCCTCAGCCTCCCAAAGTGCTGAGATTACAGGCGTGAGCCACTGCGCCCAGCCACTAATACCCCAATCTTAATTATGAGCAGACAACCATGTGTCTCTAGGCAACTGAAGACAGCCTCTCACCTTAAAAATAGAATAGAACAAACAAACAATAATAAGTAACTTGGAGAAAATTGAGACTATGCAGGAAGCCAAAACTCTGTAAAATAGTCACTAATGTCCACAGAGAAATAAAAGGATATATGGCATCCCTGAAAGAAAAATAGGTCTAGAAGGATAAGGAGGAAGAGGAGAATTATTTTGGAGAAAAAGAGAAAAATATGATGTCTGTAATTAAAAACTTAACCGAGAAATTAATTAAAAATTAAAATTTAGATCTCCCAAAAAGTAGAGCATGATTCTAAGAAGTACAAAATAAAATATGAAAGTTACAAGGATTTTAGACTTTCAATCCAAAAAAGAATTCCTTAGTCCAAGAAAAAAAGAAAAAAAAAAAGGAGGAATGTGAATCACGAAAAAGCTCTCCATCAAAACCCCACTCCACTCATATTGTCTGGTGCCCTGGCTGAAGTGGTAGCTAGCATGGCTGAGGACTGACTGGGCTTCTCTGTCCAGGATAATAGTCAGACTTCTTACAAGCTGTCATAAGTCTCCCAAAGACAGAACATGGAAGTTGCCATGACTCTGAGGGACAAGGCTTAGAGCTGCCACATTCTACTGAGAAAAAGCTAGTCACAAGATCAGTCCAGATTCATGTGGGAAAGAATAGACTTTACACATATAAAGATGGGAGAAATTATTAGCAGCCCTCTTTTGGGAGAGTTAAAGTCCATATTCTACATATCTGTAGTGTAAATCATGCTTATATAGTCATAATACAAATATTGAATACTTATCTAACAAATATAAGTAAATTGGTAGAATGGTACATGAAAATGTGTAAATGTATGTGAAATGTGATGAAATAAAATAAATTTGATCTAGTGAGAAGTCAGTAGTTAAGCTTAGGACTCAATAACAACAACAAAATACAGAACTAGCAGTATAGTCGTTAAAATCATGCGATTACATTAAATACCAAAAGAAAAGCTATGTGAGCTTAATTATTGTCTCTGAAGAATAAGAACTAGAAGGAGATGAATATAGTACAATTTAATTTTTTTTTTTTAAGACAGAGTTTCTCTCTTTTTGCCCAGGCTAGAGTGCAATGGCGCAATCTCAATTCACTGCAACCTCTGCCTCCCGGGTTCAAGCAATTCTCCTGCCTCAGCCTCCCAAGTAGCTGAGATTACAGGCGCCCACGACCACACCTGGCTAATGTTTTGTATTTTTAGTAGAGACGGGGTTTCACCATCTTGGCCAGGATGGTCTCAATCTCTTGACCTCACGATCCGCCTGCCTCAGCCTCCCAAAGTGCTGGGATTACAGGCGTGAGCCATCATGCCTGGCCAAATATAGTAGTACAGTTTTACATATTAATCCTTATAGAACTACTTGAGGCTTTGAAATATGTACATTTACAACTTTGAAAAAATTAAAACTAACAAATACAGAAATTTTATGTACTAGACCAGGCGCAGTGGCTCACTTCGGGAGGCTGACGTGGGCAGCTCGCTTGAAGTCAGGAGTTCAAGACCAGCCTGGGCAACACAGCAAAACCCTGTCTCTACCAAAAATACAAAAAATTAGTTCGACGTGGTTGTGCACACCTGTAGTCCCGGCTACTTAGGAGGCTGAGATAAGAGGATGGCTTGAACTGGAAGGTGGAGGTTGTGGTGAGCCAAGGTCCTGCACTTCAGCCTGGGTGACGGAGAGACCCTGTCTCAACAAAAAAAAAAAAAAAAAAAAAAGAAAACAAAGAAATTTTATGTAGTAATATGAACAATCACTAGGACACATTAAGTGAAAAAAATTAACAGAGGAAAGTGGGTTAAAGGTAGGGTTAGTGTGGAAAAGCATAAAGGTTTAAAATAGCTTTTGAAAAATACAAAATTCACTTGCAGACTTAAACGTCCATAAGAAAGGGAAGTTAGTGCCTCAGGAATAGACAATAGACCCTTTTCCGTTACAGTACATAAATGTACTATGATTCAAAGTAAATAATTACATGCCAAATAAGTCTAATTTATCTGGGTTTGTGTGTGTGTGTGTGTGTGTGTGTGCTTCCCAAGTTCTGTGTAAGCAATCTTTGCCTACTAAAAGGTAACAAAGATATTCTCCTATGCTTTCTTTGAAAAGCTTTATAGTTTTAGCAATTATGTTTGGATATATAGTCCACCTTGAATTAATTAAGAAAGACCTGGCTGGGGGAGGTGGCTCATACCTGTAATCTCAGCACTTCGGGAGGCCAAGGTGGGTGGGTCACTTGAGGTCAGGAGTTCAAGATCAGCCTGGCCAACATGGTAAAACCCCATCTGTACTAAAAATACAAAAATTAGCCAGGCATGATAGTGGGAGCCTGTAATCCCAGCTACTTGCATGGCTGAGACAGGAGAATTGCTTGAACCTGGGAGAAAGGGGTTGCAATGAGCTGAGATTGCACCAATGTACTCCAGCCTGGGCGACAGAGCAAGACTCCATCTAAAAAAAAAAAAAAACCTAAAATTGTGCAGTATTTCTTTCTCTGAGCAATGTTTTATAGCTATCTGCATAGAGATTTTACACATCATTTTGTTGCCAAAACACCAGGGATTTGGTCTAGGTCCTGTTCTCACTGCACAGAAAGCCAATCAACAAGTATTGCCAAGGAAGAAGTTTTTAATGGGATGCTGCAGCCAAGGAGATGGGAGCTCAGTCTCAAATCCTCTCCCTGACTGACTACAACTAGGGATTTATACAGCAGGAAATAAATATAACAATGTGTAAGAAAACAAGAAGGCATATGATCTGGTGAGTTTCAGTTCTTCGACACTTTTTTTTGAGAGGACTGAAGGTTCTTTCCTGAGGACCTAACTCAGATAAAATGAATACAAGTTTCAAGCTTTAACAGCAGAAGGGTCCGGATCAAGAGGTCAGGAGATAGAGACCATCCTGGCTAACACGGTGAAACCCCGTCTCTACTACAAATACAAAAAATTAGCCGGGCGTTGAGTCCCAGCTACTCGGAGGCTGAGGCAGGAGAATGGCATGAACCTGGGAGGCGGAGGTTGCAGTGAGCCGAGATCACACCACTGCACTTCAGCCTGGGCGACAGAGAGAGACTCCGTCTCAAAAAAAAGAAAAAGAAAGACAGAAGATAAAAAGCTTCTACTCTCTTAGACAATTTCAAGTATACACTGCATCCATATATACAAGGAGGCAGTGAATACTTGAAATTGTCTGAGACAGTAGATCTTAGGTGTCCTAACCACATACACATAATACACACACACACACACACACACACACACACAGAGGTAACTATGTGTGATGATGATTGTTAAATAACTTGACTGTGGTCATTTCACAATGTAAACATATCTCAAATTACCATATTGTATTACTTGAATATATATAATTTTAATTTATCAATTATACCTAAATAAAGCTGGAGGAAAATAATGTATACTGGGAAGGAACAACATCCACACATTAAGTTTATTTTTTTATTTTCTTTTTTTATTTTTGTTTGAGATGGAGTCTCACTTTGTCCCCCAGGCTGGAGTGCAGTGGTGCCACCTCAGCTCACTGCAACCTCAGCCTCCCAAGTTCAAGTGATTCTCCTGCCTCAGCCTCCTGAGTAGCTGGGATTACAGGCACCCACAACCACACCCAGCTAATTTTTGTATTTTTAGTAGAGACAGGGTTTCACCATGTTGGACCAGGCTGCTCTCGAACTCCTGACCTCAGGTGATCCACCCGCTTCAGCCTCCCAAAGTGCTGGGAATATAGGCGTGAGCCACTGCACCTGGCCCACACATTAAGTTTACAAAACAAGACACAGAAGGGGAAACTATGGAATAACAGGACTAGAAAGAGTAGGAGATTTTGTAAATGTTTTTATTATGAAAATATTTGATACACATAAGAGAATGTTTGTGACAGATGTATATTTATATACACACAAACATATACATCTGTAGATAGGATGGATAGATAAGATTAGATAGAAGATAGATAGATAGAGAGATAGATAGATAGACAGACAGACAGACAGATAGCAGATAGAGATAGATTTTCATGAAACAAACACCATTGACCCCTTCACCCACACTAAGACATGGAACGTCACTGTTATCTCTGAAGCTCCTGTTCGCTTCTGTTACTTCATCCCTGGCCCTGGGTTTTCTCCAAGAGTTCCATTCACATACGTGTTGCACAGCTGTTAATACACTGCCTAGTGTGCTTGGCTTTGAATTTATAATACAGTATCATGCTGCATATCTTTCCACAACTTGCTTCCACAATGTATTAACTTTCTGAGTTTCGATCACCCTGACATGTGTAATTCAAGTTTATTCATTTTCACCATTATATAGTGTCCAATTCATGAATAAACCTCAATTTCTTTATCCATTTTCCCACAAATAGACCCAATAGACATTTGGTTACTTGCAAGGTTTTGTTCTTGTCTTTTGCTATTATTAACAATGCTCCTAGAAACATTATTTTGTATGATTCCTTGTGCAAAGGGGTAGACATTTTTCCTACAGCACATACTAGAATTGGGCATACTCACATTCAGTTTACAAGATAATGCCAAATTGATTTTGAAAGTCATTGCACCAATTCACACTCTTAGCAACTGCCCCAGGGACATCCTTGTTCTATATCCTGGTCATATTTACCTATGTATTAGGTGTATCATGAGATTTCATTAAATATTAAATTGCCTTTTACTGATTATTACGAATTGAGAATCTTTTTATATATATCTACTGGCCACTTATATTCCTGTTCTGTAAAGTACTTGTTAGTACCTTTTACAGATTTTTCTAACAGGTTATTTCCTCTACTGTGAAATTTTTTCACATCTTTTCCCCATTTTTGTTGATTTACTGATATATTATACTTTTATATATTCTGGATCATAATGCTTCATTAATTTCATGTATTTTTTAAAATTAGGCCAGGCATGGTAGCTTTTGCCTGTAATCCCAGCACTTTGGGAGGCCAAGGCGGGTGGATCACCTGAGGTCAGGAGTTCGAGACCAGCCTGACCAACATGGAGAAACCTTGTCTCTACTAAAAATACAAAATTAGCTGGGTGTGGTGGCGCATGCCTGTAATCCCCGTTACTCGGGAGGCTGAGGCTGGAGAATCGCTTGAACCCAGGACAGGGAGGTTGCGGTGAGCCGAGATCGTACCATTGTACTCCAGCGTGGGCAACAAGAGCAAAACTCCATCACAAAAAAAAAAAGAAAAAAATTATTTTCCCTGCATGTGTATCACTTATGCTTTTTTTATTGTATCTTTCGATTAAAAGAAGTTTTTAATTTTAATGTAGTCAAATTTATCAAGATGTTTTTGTGGCTTGTACATCTTACATGCTGTTTCAGAAATACTTTCCTATTCAAAGGCCATAATGAAATTATTCTATACTATCTTTAACATTTCCGAGTTTTCCTTTTGCATTTAAAACCATTAATGCTTACAACATCCGTCAACATGAAACAGGAGAGTTCTCTGACCCCTCGCGGAACATGTGATGGCATGTGGCTCATTTATTCGGCTGGTGCGTGTTCAAACCCTTTAAGGGAGGGAGAGCACACAGGTGAGCTGGGGTGAGCACATTTGGGCTCTGACCCCCCAGCAGTGGCTAGGGGTATTACAATGTCCTTTAGCCCTGCCACCCAGGGAAAGCTAAAGTGTTTAACAGCTCAGTGAAGAGTCAACGTGACAGTCTTTTTGGTTCCTGTACCCAATGGAATTGGTACAGGAATCCTGAATTCCTGTCTAGCTTCCAGGAAGAATCAGGTCACATGGACTTGAAGAATGGTGAATGCAGGGATTTCATTGAGAGGTGGAGGTGGCTCTCAGTGGGATGGGGAGGTGGAGAGGGGATGGAGTGGGAAGATGATTGTCCCCTGGAGTTCAGCCATCTCATGGCGAATCTCTTCTATGACCGCCCCCAGCCAAACTCCTCCCCATGTTCAGACACTTCTCTTCTCTCCTTCTCCACTCTGCCGCTCTGCTGCTCTGCTGCTGTGCCGCCCTCCTGCTCATTGAACCTGGGGTTTGGGGGTTTTATGAGTACAGGATGCGGGGTCAGGGGGGGAGGGGCATGAGGGTGGCGGGCCAGGGTGGTTTTGAATAAAGCAACAATTGGACGGGAAAACAGAGATAACTGTTTTCATTTAGAGCCACAGTTTCCAGGCTTGAAGGTGGGGCCTTTGCTGAAGAACCACCTTCTTCTACCCAGCGTTTCCCTGCCTCCTGTCCCCATCAAACACGCATGCACACACACTCATGTATGCACACACACACACACACAGAAAGAAAGTGAGAGGGAGAAACAGTCAGAGAGAGACGATTAATTCAATGGACTAGCGCATATTATCCCCATTCACATACAGGATAATTTCACCACTTATCAAACCTCCACACTTTCACTGTGTTATTTCCAGACAATCTAACAAATTTCTTTTCTCTGTTGGTCTATTGTTGTGCTAGTGCCACTGTCTTATAGTCTATGGATTATAATGCGTCTTGATGTCTGAGGAAGGATATGTTCCCACCTCATTCCACTTGAAGAGTTTCTCCCATTTGTTCTTGATATTTATGCTGCCATATACATGTTTTTTCTTTCTTTTTTTTTTCTAAGATGGAGTTTCATTCTGTCACCCAGGCTGGAGTGCGGTGGTGCGATCTCGGCTCACTGCAACCTCTGCCTCCCGGGTTCAAGTGATTCTCCTGCCTCAGCCTCCCGAGTAGCTGGGACTACAGGCACCTTGCAGCACGCCTGGCTAATTTTTGCATTTTTAGTAGAGACAGGGTTTCACCATGTTGGCCAGGATGATCTCGATCTCTTCACCTCATGATTCGCCCGTGTCAGCTTCCCAAAGTGCTAGGATTACAGGCATGAGCCACCGCGCCTGGCCCATATACATTTTTAAATTAATTTTCCCATTTCCTTTTAACCCTGTTAGATTTTTGTAATTTAATAAACTTTATTTTTTAGACCAGTTTTAGCTTCACATCAAAATTGATCAGAAAGTACAGAGAGTTCTCATATACCCTTGGTCCCTATACACACACAACCTACCCCACTACTACCATCCCCCACGACAGTGGTGCATATTTGACAAATCTACAGACCTGCAATGATACATCATTATTATTCAAATTTCATGGTTTATATTAGGGTTCTCTCTTAGGGTTGTACATTCCATGGTTTTTAACAAATGTATAATCACACATATCCACCATTATATTATCAGACAAAATGGTTTCACTATCCTAAAAATCTTCTGTTCTCCACCTAATCATCTCTCTTTATCCTTAACCTCTGGCAACCACTGACCTTTTTACCATTTCCATAGTTTTGCCTTTTCCGAAGCATCACATGACTGGAATCATGCAGTGCATCACCTTTTCGGATTGGTTTTTGTTTCTGTCATTTATACGCAGTTAACATTCCTCCATGTGGTGTTGTCACTTGGTAGCTTATTTATTTTTAGCACTAAATAATATCCTATTGTCTGGAGGTGCCACAGTTTCTTTTCTTTTTTAACCTAAGGAACAACATCTTAGTTGCTTCTAAGCTTTGGCAATTACAAATAAGGCTACTATAAACATTGATGTGTTCATTTGGGTAAATACCAAGGAGCATAATGGCCGGACTATGTAGTAAAAGAATGTTTAGTTTTATAGGAAACCACCGAACTGCCCTCCATGGTATCAGTACCATTTTATGAGTACATCCACTCCCAGCACAATGAATCAGAGTTCCTATTGCTACACATTCTTGCCAGCATTGGTGTTTGGGATGCTCACCCTTTTTTTTTTTTTTTTTTTTTTTTTTTGAGACGGAGTTTGGCTCTTGTTGCCCAGGCTGCAGTGCAGTGGCGCAATCTCAGCTCACCACAACCTCCGCCTCCCGGGTTCAAGCGATTCTCCTGACTCAGCCTCTCAGGTAGCTGGTATTACAGGTGCCTGCCACCACGCCCGAATACTTTTGTATTTTTAGTAGAGACGGGGTTTCTCCATGTTGGGCAGGCTGGTCTCAAACTCCTGACCTCAAGTGACCTGCCGGCCTCGGCCTCCCAAAGTGCTAGGACTACAGGCATGAGCCACCACACCCTGCCTGCTCCCCTTTTTAATAGGTGTGTAGTGCTATTTCCTTTTTTAAAAATTTGTAATACTTGGTGATACAAGATGTTGACATCATCTTTACATATGCTTATTTACCACGCCCGGTGGCAAAGTGTCTCTTCTTTCACGATCCCTTATTGTTTATGTTGTTCTGCTGTTGCACTGTTAATATGTCCTAATATTGACTGGCTTTTATTTGTCTTTCTTTGGATCTGTCATGATTTGGTACTATGATGAGCCAATAACCCTGAAACTTCCCAGCTGCAAAAAGAAAAACCAAATGAGAAATCAAATGGAATGAAAGACACACGATGGATTTGGGTCTTTCATTCATTCCAGAAACACTGGTCATTACTTCTTGAAATATTTTGGCCAGGTGCAGTGGCTCCCGCCTGTAATCCCAGCACTTTGGGATGCCGAGGCAGGAGATCGAGCCCAGCCTGGACAATATGGTGAAACCCTGTCTCTACTAAAAATACAAAAATTAGCTGGGCGTGGTGGCGTGTGCCTGTAATCCTAGCTACTCAGGAGGCTGAGGCAGGAGAACCGCTTGAACCTGGGAGGCACAGCTTGCAGTGAGCCGAGATCACACCACTGCACTCCAGCCTGGGCAGCAGGGTGAGACCATCTCAAAAAAAAAAAAAAAAAAAAAAATTTATTCCTTGCATTTTTTTTCAACAATCTGCCTCTCAAATTCTGATTATATGTACGGTGGATTTTCTACTTGTCTCTTAAACTTTTCTATTTTTAATGTATTGATCTCTTTGTGTAATAGTATAATTTTTGAATAACTGAGTTTACTAATTGTTCTCTCATCTCCAGCAATTTTTTAACCCTTCCATTGAGTTTTCTTTTTACTTCAATTATTATAGTTTACATTTCTAGTTTTGCCCAAATTTGTCTGCTCATCTTCGGTGATCCCTTCATCCTGACTCTTCACCTTATTTCTGCCTTTACTCATTGAAACATATTAAGAATACCCATTTTATATTCTGTATTCTGTTCTTACAGTATCTGACGTCTTTGCAGGTCTTTTTTTGTTGGCAAATGCTCATAAACAACTTCTTCATATGTACCCTTGGCTTCTCCTTATTAGTTACAGTAGTTAAAAGTTGGTGCCACTAACCCTGTGGGGTGCTTGGAAGCCTTGTTTGAAGACTTACTCCTCGAGGGAGTATTGATATTTGCTTCTCTGAAGTACCTGGGGATACTATAGACTCCATGTGCTTTAAATGTAAATTCCTGCTTGCAGTTTTCAGACCACGTAGCAGTGGAAATTCAGACTTGAACCCATGTGAGAGCTTGCAACATGTTTTTTAAGCTCCACTGCAGCCAGTGCTAACATAGATGACACCACCGTTTCCTCTCGCCGTATGAAAGTGATGCCCAACCCAACTCCCCACCACAAGAGCGGTAGAAACTTCGTACCCAGATCCTGTCCCTGTTCCAAAGCAATGATGAGTCCCAGCATATCTAGTGCCTTCACTCAGTGCCCTGGACTCAAACTGTCTTTGTTACTGGCCTCATTTGATTCCTGTTTTATGGCAGGGAAGTGTTGGGGTTTTTGGTTCATCATACTGTGTCTGTAATTGGTGGGTTCCTCGTCTCACTGACTTCATGAATGAAACCACAGACCCTCACGATCAGTGTTACACTTCTTAAGAACAACGTGTCCAGTTCGTTCCTTCTGATGTTTGAACGGGTTCACAGTTTCTACCTTCTGGTGGGTTCGTGGCCTCCCTGGATTCAGAAGTGAAGCCACAGAGCTTCATGGTGAGTGGTACAGCTCTTAAGACCACGCGTCTGGAGTTGTTCATTTCTCCCGGTGGACTCGTGATCCCGCTGGCAACAGAAAGGAAACTGCAAACCTTAGCAGTGACTGTTACAGCTGATAAACGTAGTACAGACCCCAACAGTTAACACCATCATGAGTTACTGCAAAGAATGAAACAACAAACTTTCTTAAATGTGGAAGGCAACACCAGTGGGTTGGGAGTGTTAGCTCAGGCAGCCTGCTTTTATTCCCTTATCCTACCCCTCCCACATCCTGCTGATTGGCCCATTTTACAGAGAGCTGATTGGTCCAATTTACAGAGAGCTGATTGGTCCATTTTACAGAAAGCTGATTGGTCCATTTTGACAGGGTGCTGATTGGTGCATTTACAATCCCTGAGCTAGACACAGAGTGCTGATTGGTGCATTTAGAATCTTCTAGCTAGACATAAATGTTCTCCAAGTCCCCACGAGCTTAGCTAGATACAGAGTGCTGATTGGCACACCCACGAACCTTAAGCTAGACACAGAGTGCTGGTTAGCTCACAGACAATCCTCCAGCCAGACATAAAATTCTCCAAGTCCCCACCTGACTCAGGAGCCTGCCTGACTTTGCCTAGTGGATCCCGTGGCGAGGCAGCAGGCGGAGCTGCCCGTTAGTCCCATGCCGCCCGCCTGCACTTCTCAGCCCTTGGGCAGTCGATGGGACCCGGCGCCATGGAGCAGGGGACAGCGCTCGTAGGGCAGGCTCGGGCCGCGCAGGAGCCCGCAGCGGAGGGGAAACTCAGGCATGGCAGGCTGTAGGGCCTGAACCCTGCCCTGCGGGGAGGCAGCTGAGGCCCGGCAAGAATTGGAGTGCGGCCTGGGTGGGCCGGCAGTGCTGGGGTACCCGGCGCACCTTCCGCAGCTGCTGGCCCGGGTGCTAAGCCCCTCACTGCCCGGGGCGGGCGGCGCCTGCCAGCTGCTCTGAATGCAGGGCCCGCCGAGCCCTCGCTGGCCCATGGGCGCCGCGGGCAGCCCCGGTTCCCGCCCTCGCCTCTTCCTCCACACCTCCCCGTAAGCAGAGGGAACCAGCTCCAGTCTAGGCCATCCCAGAAAGGGGCTCCCACAGTGCAGCAGCCGGCTGAAGGGCTCCTCAAGTGTGGCCAGAGCGGACGCTGAGGCCGAGGAGGCACTGAGAGCGAGCGAGGGCAGGCAGCACATTTTCACCTCTCAATAGTACCAAAAAAAAGTCAAATATTTACTTGTCATTGTATGTCTTATTGTACCTGAATTTTGAACCATTCACCTGCCCGATGTATTACAAATAAGAAAGTTACATGAAATTTAAAATAAATGTTCTGAGCATGTTGATCCTAGGTTGATCCTGTCATATCAATAGTAGTTTTCATAATATTAAGATATATTTAGATAGTTTTTGTCTTCAGCTTGGTCTCACAGTTTAAATGCAAAAAACTTTCAACCTGAGAAGCAGAAATGACTCATATCTAATACATCTAAGTGTTTCATCTAATTTATTCTGAGCATGACTCCTCAAGATTGCATAAGGGGATGGGGGTAAGGTTTCTTAGCTTGTCCTATCAGTTTTAGAAAACAGAACCTACAGGCTTTTTGATGTTGACCATGGATTTCAAACAATAGCTGAAATCATTACTTATGTATAATGAACATGATATAATGTTTACTTTGCAATGTTAGTTACCAAAAAAAAAAAAAAAAGAAAAAATCTTTTTCACTAACCTAGGAATCTAGCAAGCTCTGGTGTAGATTTTTCTGCAAAGATGTGATTGATGGGGGAGTCAGTTCTGACTGGCTGGATCCTGGCCGTGTGTTCCGCACTGATCTTCCCAGTGTCTGGCAGAGTTGTCCACCTCTTCCTTCAGGGCAATTTCTAACCCCTGCAAATTTCAGTGTTTGCATATATACTTGCTTCAAGCCTATTCTTTCTGTCATTATCGTATCACTGAGTGTTTCCTTCCACGGTGCTATGCACCCTACAGTGCCCGCCTTTTCTCATCCAAACTCTCTAGTCTGCGGCGACACTACCAGTTAGTTCTTTTCTCTCTGTGTGATCAGTATTCCTATAGATTTGCAGCAATGATGGGAGCTAGGAGGAGGCATATTCTAAACCCCGTTTGGCTGGAGAATCCCTTCCTGCATGGAATTCCAGTCTCATTGCAAAGCTCTGCATTGGGATAGCTCTTAGGCAGCACCAAACGAATTTTCTCCTCACTCCACTACAGCATATCTCAAAAAATTACTCTAAACCTAATTTTGGGGTGACCAAATTGAGGTACAGAAAATAAAGTTTAAATACATGAATATATTTAAGGCAACTTAGTAAACATATTTGTATTCAAGAAACAATTTTTGTATTTCTAAGCCCTCTATTGAAAACTTCATTATCATTCTCTCAGGAAACACAGTCCAACAGGATACAAAACATTGTGAAAATTCTCAACTTTTCGATCCTGACTGCCCTCAGGTCATTTTTTTGTGTTGGAGTGTGTTTTGTTTGGTTTTGTTTTCTGAACTACAGGGAGCATTCCCTTCTGCTCCCGGCATAATGCCTATTCCTGCCCCCATCTCCTTTTTTTTTTTTTTTCCCAAGACGGAGTCTCGCTCTGTCGCCCAGGCTGGAGTGCAGGGGCGCGATCTCGGCTCACTGCAAGCTCCGCCTCCCGGGTTCCGGCCATTCTCCTGCCTCAGCCTCCCGAGTAGCTGGGACTACAGGCGCCCACCACCACGCCCGGATAATTTTTTGTATTTTTAGTTTAGACACGGTTTTGCTGTGTTGGCCAGGCTGGTCTCAAACTCCTGACCTCAGGCAATCCGCCCGCCTTGGCCTCCCAAAGTGCTGGGATTACAGGCGTGAGCCACTGTGCCCGGCCCAATTCAGGTTTAAGAGGTGCTTTCCAGCCGGGAGTGGTGGCTCACGCCTGTAATCCCAGCACTTTGGGAGGCCGAGGCGGGCGGATTGCCTGAGGTCAGGAGTTCAGGACCAACCTGGTCAACATGGCAAAACCCTGTCTCTACTAAAAATACAAAAATTAGGACGAGGCTCGGTGGCTCACGCCTGTAATCCCAGCACTTTGGGAGACCAAGGCGGACGGATCATCTGAGGTCAGGAGTTGGAGACCAGCCTGACCAACATGGAGAAACCCCGCCTCTACTAAAAATACAAAATTAGGCATGGTGACGCATGCTTGTAATCCCAGGTACTCAAGAGGGTGAGGCAGGAGAATCGCTTGAACCCGGGAGACGGAGGTTGCAGTAAGCCAACATTGTGCCACTGCACTCCAGCCTGGGAGACACAGCAAGACTCTGTCTCAAAAAAAAAAAAAAAAAGAGGCGCTTTCGGTCCCTTAAGCACCTCCTGCATTGCTGGGTGGCCAATCATATACCAAACTCCAAGGGAAGTGTACAAAATTATGCACGAATGGAATAGGTGGATTTCAAAAGAGCATTCCTACGTGTAAGTCCTATATAATTTACATTTTCTTGCAAACAAAGGAAGGAAGCTTATAGACTTGGAAAGGAGCGTGTCTCCATGGGCCCTCTCTCTGCTTCTGTCTCCCTCTATCCCTCTGTCTCCCTCTCTCCCTCTGTCTCCCTCTCTCTCCCAGTCTCCCTTTCCACCCTTCTCTTTCTCTCTAATCTCCCTGTTCAATCCCTCCATTTCTCCCCTTTTTTTCTGCTATTTGGCAGACTATCTCCTTGCTGAGTGTTGCAGACTCACCAGCCTTAAGCCTGTTCCAGATGTCAGTGGCTAAGGGCTCCTACTATTGGGCCAGTCACTGCCCATTTCTACTGGACTGGAAGGAAATAGGCCATGTGGTGAGGGCAGGAAAAACACAAAAGAAAAAGAGCAGCTCCTGCCATTCATTTGGTAGGAGCTGGCCTGACGCTCACAGCTGGGCCAGGTGTTCTGGTGAAAGTAAACAATTTCACAGAGCATAGCATCAACAGGGTCACTCTGTGACTGTGATGGAGGGAGACAAAAACAAGACCACTCCATAAACATGTCTGAGCACAGAATAAAACAAGAACACTGGGCGGGCACGGTGGCTCACGCCTGTAATCCCAGCACTTTAGGAGGCCGAGGTGGGCAGATGACCTGAGGTTGGGAGTTCGAGAACAGGCTGACCAACATGGAGAAACCCCGTCTCTACTAAAAACACAAAATTAGCCAGGCGTGGTGGCGCATGCCTGTAATCCCAGCTACTTAGGGGGCTGAGGCAAGAGAGTCGCTTGAACCCAGGAGGCGGAGGTTGCAGTGAGCCGAGATAGCGCCACTGCACTCCAGCCTTGGCAACAAGAGCAAAACTCCATCTCAAAAAAAAAAAAAAAAAAAAAAAAAACACAAGACTTTGCAAACCATAATACTGCCTGAACATCCCATTCTTCCGCTAACGTGAACAACTGCCTCTGTGTGGATTACAGCTTAAGCCCTCCTGTGTTCCTCCTGCCTCCTAGATAAAAATTATTACAACGTTTTATCACAGAATCTCCACTGCTTGCTCTCAGCACCAGAGAAAAACCATGTCTCATTGATGACTCACTCAAAATCACCTAGCATAAGCTCAAACCCCATCACAAGCCCGTGCTGTCACCCTCTTCCTGAGACGTGCCATGGGTCCCCACAGGATGGTCTCCTTGTTACCTTGTTCAACTCCGGGTGTCCTGATGGCCTTTGGCTGGGAGTATTCACAGCAGTCACATCCCTTGTTCAGTCTCTGTCCTGAGGGCTGTGGGGACTTCCTTATAAATTCGCCAAAGAAGGAGGCACACCTTTAGAGCAGACTGCAGTCCAGTTTCATACGAGTTAAGCATATTCGTCCTGTTAGAAGAACGTTGGTCCAGGGCAGGCCCGGTGGCTCACACCTGTAATCCCAGAACTTTGGGAGGCCGAGGCAGGTGGATCACTTGAGGTCAGGAGTTCGAGACAAGCCTAACCAACATGGTGAAACCCCGTCTCTACTAAAAATACAAAAACTAACCAGGCGTGGTTGCACTTGCCTGTAGTCCCAGCTACTAGAGAGGCTGAGGCAGCAGAATCGCTTGAACCCAGGAGGCGGAGGTTGCAGTGAGCTGAGATCGCGCCACTGCACTCCAGCCTCAGCAACATGAGCGAAACTCCATTTAAAAAAAAAGAGAGAACTTTGGTCCTACCATTTGCGAATGAATGGTCACAGTATTACTCTACTCTTATCAGCACATCTTACAGGAGTTACTGCATTGGCTGTAACAGACCATTTAATAAGCCCAGGATCAGTAATACACACTTCTGTTAATTCTACTCCAAATCACTACTATCTCTCACTTTGTCTCCATCAGTGAGGTTACGCTTCAGCACATCTCACCAAACAATAAAACTGAATATAATAGAATTATTCTTATAATAAGGTTACTGTCAAATGTTGAATATTGACCAAAATCTCACTACAATTTTCACCAATCCATGGAGGTACCTTCATTCTAATATTGTTCCCATGCTTGTTATTCAGAACCACTCACCCCCAAGGCAGTGTTAATATTATTTGAGAAGCACAAATAAAAGTTTCCCAGCTGAAAAATTTCCTTCCCCCTAGGCTGCCGCTAGGGAAAGCAAGAAATTAACATTTATTGAGTTTCTTCTAAATGTGAAGCACTCTCATAAAAACTTATCTCATTTGATTCTCACAACACACTGCAAAATGGGTACTATTCAAATTTTGACATGGAAGAAACTAAAGGCTAATGGTTTTCTCTGCAAAGAAGGGACTTTGTCTTTTATCTGTTACCCCTTCAGGACAGGCCAGTGGTAGATCCATTGCAGACACTGGGTAAAAGGTCAGTTGAATAAATGAGGCTTGAAAAGGTTAAGAAAATTGTCTGAAATCCACCACTTTCTAAAAAGCAAAATAAAGTTTCAAACTCCACTCGTATTCCAAAGACCTAGCATTTATTAATAGCGTAAGTTATACCAGTTGCTAGAGATTGTGCTATTTGACAATTAAATCTACGCTTTGGTAGAACTATGAACATGATAAAGAAATGAAATATTTCTAAGTAACCAACACTTTAATCAGTACCTAGCAAATAGTAGGCATACAGTAATACTAATTCCCCTTTTCCTAATTAAATAGGGACATGCTGGGTTTTTCTGGCGCCATTTTTCTCTTTGACCATCCAGACCATAAAAGTCACTGATAGCCAATATTGAGGGATTGTCACAGACTGACAGGTTCTTCCACTGCCTCCCTGAAAAAGCCAGTGAGATGGAAGGTATTTAATTTATTTATTTATTTTTGAGACAGAGTCTCACTCTGTCATCCAGGCTGGAGTACAGTGGTGAAATCATGGCTCACTGCAGCCTCAACCTCCACCTCAGCCTCCCAAATATCTGGGACTACAGGCATTCACCACCATACCCAGCTAATTATTATTATTATTTTTTTTTTGAGACAGAGTCTTGTTGCATGTCGCCCAGGCTGGAGTGCAGTGGCATGATCTTGGCTCACTATAACCTTCGCCTCCCGGCTCAAGCAATTCTCCTGCCTCAGCCTCCCAAGTAGCTGAGATTACAGGCATACCCCACCACACCCAGCTAATTTTTCTTCTTGTTGTTGTTGTTTTGTTTTGTTTTGAGATGGAGTCTCACTCTGTCACCAGGCTGCAGTGCAGTGGTGCGATCTTGGCTCACTGCAACCTCCGCTTCCTGGGTTCAAGCGATTCTCCTGCCTCAGCCTGCCGAGTAGCTGGGACTACAGGCAGGGGCCACTGTGCCCAGCTAATTTTTGTAGTTTTAGTAGAGACGGGGCTTCACCATGTTGGCCAGGATGGTCTCGATCTCTTGACCTCATGATGTGCCTGCCTAAGCTTCCCAAAGTGCTGGGATTACAGGCATGAGCCACTGCACCCGGCCATTTTTTTTTTTGTATTTTTAGTAGAGACAGGGTTTCACCATGTTGGCCAGGCTGGCCTCAAAGTCCTGACCTCAGGTGATCCACCTGCATCGGCCTCCCAGAGTGCTAGGATTACAGGTGTGAGCCATTGCGCCCAGCCTCCAGCTAATTTTTAAAATTTTTTTGTAGAAACGAGGTCTCACTATGTTGCCCAGGCTAGTCCCCAATTCCTGGGCTCAAGTGATCCTCCTGCCTTGGCCTGCTACAGTGCTGAGATTCCAGGCATGAGCCATCCCTGCCTGGCCCAAGAACAACAGTTATTGCAGCAAAGAAAGAGTTTAATAATCACTAAGCAATGGCAAGTCATTAATGCTTCCTAGTCCTTAGCGAAGTTTAATCCCCTACCATAATTCTAATTTTGTTTTATGAATGTACCTTTAATCTCCAGACAAGAAAGGGGATCAGTTTCCCTTGACTCCAAGTTTAACTATGACTACATTCCTCTCATAGTTTTATTGGTCTCTCTACTATAATAAGCAAAACAAAAACAAGTGAGCAGTTAAGGTTAAAAGCAAGATGGAGTTGGTCATGTTAGAGTTCTCTCATTATTTATAATTATGCAAGGGTGGTTTTAGGATTAATTGGCATAGAAGTGTCTTCTTGGCTTGAACCTTCAGCAGGATTTTCTGAGACTATACTCTGGAATAAAAATGTGTGTGTGACGAGTGCCAATCACTATGATCTGTTATACGAAAGAAGGACCAGACAAAAGGCAACCTTCATTTTACATTCACAAGATGCCAGACCCAGGGCCCAGCTACCCGAAGAGAAAGTGAAGGACTTGGAATGCAGTCGGCTCTACCTGACTTCCATCCTGCTTGTAAGTAATGAGGAAGAAACAAAAGTGAAGAAGCGGGGAATACAAGAGATCAGTATACAAAGAGGATAGACTGTATTTCTGTTTAAATAGATGAAATCTATATTCAAATTCAGGCAGAAAAAAAAAGAAAATTGAGGCAGAAGAGGAGGAAAAAACCTTCCCTAGCTTTTCACTTGCTGACTTTGTTACAAGACAAAGTTACACAAACCCACTGAACTCTTTCAGCCTGTTTTTCCACTCTGCTTAGACAATCCTATAGTCTTTTTCCTATTTTTAACACGATAGGCTGCTTGGCATCCACCCTCTAATCATAGAAGGATGCTACCCAAACCAGAGTGCATAAAATTGATTCCAATTGTAATGAGCCCTGAGGAGTTTATCGAAAATCTTTCATGCTTTCAACTTTGCTTGTAAACAACATCATTTTACTCACAGACAAAGAAGAGTTTGCCAATTGCAGACAGACTGTGTCATCAATGGAGTCACAGGGTGTGTCTGCTGGAATTGAGCCTCCCTGTGCTATTGGTGGTGATATGATGAGACTGGTCTCAGCACTTCAAGGTGCTTTTGCCCTGGTCCTGAGCTAGGTTGGCCTCAGTCCCTGGAGGTAAATTTGTACTCAGTGTGCAGTTGACTGTGAGCCTTACTTTCCAAGACGAATTGAAGGTCTTTCCCCCTTCTTCCCCTTCTCCTCTGCTTCCACCCTTGATTCGTGTTAAGTGTTCTATAGCTGGGCTAACAAATCACCACGCCTTCTGTGGTTTTAAAACAACACAAATTTATTATCTCGCAGTTCTGGAGGTCTCAGAAGTCTGACATTATTTTGACTCGATTAAGATTAGGTGTAGGCAGTCCTGCATTCCTTCTGGAAGATAAGCGAAGGAGCTGTTTCCATGCCTTTTCCGGCCGCTAGAGGCTGCCTGCATTTCTTGGCTTGTGGTCCCTTACCCTATCTTCACAGCCAGGAGCGTGGCATCTTGTGTCCTCTCTGCCCTCTACTTATGTCCTTACATCTTGTCCACAACCCTCTTCAGTCATCATCTCTATTCTCAGGACCTGTGACACCATTCTAAATGATTCTTTCAAGCAGTTGTGGCAAATACACAAAATTTAGTGTTGGTCATGTATTTCAGATCACTGGAGCCGGGTTGTTGGCTCTTCTCAGCTGTGAGGCAGGCACTGCTCCACTGTGTAACCACAAGCTCCATGGACGCACAGTCAGCTGTAGCAGGGGCCTGGAGCTCCTCTTACCAGGCATGATGTGAGGGGACAGTACACCCATCCTTCTCCCAGAGAAGGGAGATTTAGGGACCCAGGTGCTCAAGTTACTCTTTCCAAAGAAAGTTTCCATGAAAGGAAAAAGTTTAGACAAAATAAATTTTACAGAGTTTGAGCATTAAGGCATTCAGCAATCGGGCAGCACTCAGACACAGAAGAGATGCAGAGAGCTCTGCTCCAGCAGACTGAACAGCAAGCTTTTGCAGGCTGACCATGAAAACAAAGGAATTACTCAACTGACTCCAGCCAGGCCTCATTTGAGTATGATCTTGTGAAAAGTCCCTACTTACATAACTAACAGCTAGTTGGCTGTGTGTGACCAGTTGCTAGTTGGCTGCTTGTGATAGAGTACTAGTTGGCTGCCTGTGATTGGTTGCTAATTAGCTGTTTGTGGCTGGGTGTTTGAGATTGGTTCCCAGTTGGCCGTTTGTGATTGACTACTAGTTGATTGTTAGTGACCGCTTACTGGTTTGCTACTCGTGATTGGTTGCTGGTTGGCTTTTTATAATTAATCATTAGTTGGCTGCTGGTGTCTGGTTGTTACTTAGCTGTTTGTGATTGGTTGCTAGTTGGCTGTTTGTGATTGGTTGCTAGTTGGTTGTTTGTGAATGGTTGCTAGTTCACTGATTGGTTGCTAGTTGGTTGTGACTGGTTGCTAGTTGGCTGTTTCTGATTGGCTGATTATTGGTTGTTGTCTCCCCCCCACCACTCCCAACCCCCCCCCAAAAAAATAATAATAATCAGTTTCAAGAAATGCTTCCAAGTTGAACTTTGGTTTGCCTGTGTAAGTGTTCCAGGTACAGAACCAACCCCAGGCTAATGGCCTCCTGGATATTTTGCTTTAGCACCTCCAATTTCCAAATAAATTTCCATCTTCAACTTTAGTACTTGCCCATGCAAGAGTAAATAAAAAAGTGATTCTTTTTCTAACTCCTTTGCAAATGAGGAAGTTGACACATAAATGATCTTAGACTCTCAGTGGAATCCTAGAGAAAAGGAATTCCATTTTTGCATCCTGTCATACACAGTCATTTCTGCTGCTGGAGTGCCACATGTGTTCCTAAAAATCGCTGCAATCTACAGAATTGTGTAATAAAAAACTACTGGGTTTGGCTGGGTGTCGTGGCTCATGCCTGTAATCCCAGCACTTTAGGATGCCAAGGTGGGCGGATCACAAGGTCAAGAGATAGAGACCATCCTGGCCAACATGGTAAAACTCCATCTCTACTAAAAATACAAAAAAATTAGCAGGGCATGGTGGCATGCACCTGTAGTCCCAGCTACTCGGGAGGCTGAGGCAGGAGAATAGCTTGAACTCAGGAGCCAGAGGTTGCAGTGAGCCGAGATCGCGCCACTGCAGTCCAGCCGGGCGACAGAACAAGACTCTGTCTCAAAAATAAATTAATTAATTAATTAAAAAAATAAAGAAACACAACAACAAACTACTAGGTTTATGGGGTCCTGGGCACAACACCTAGAAACGTTGTCAGCTGACACATTAAAAAAGAAGGAACCTAATAAACACTGTAGCACAGCTTTACACTTGTTAAATGGTTAAGAAATACATAAATACTACAATAAATATGGCACTGTACCTTGAAAAATATCTGAAGTTTGCTTGTGGAAGTGGGCATCAGAAGGATTATAGCTTATGAGTTATTCTGAAGCAGTAGAAGGAGAGTTATCAGGAGGGACAGAAAAGAAAGGAAATCAAACAGAAAGCTGTTAACACCAAATGTGCATGGGTGTGGCTCATAACATTGTCAGTGAACTGAGGTGGCTGGCAGATGTTGAGGGGTGTCTGTGCGTGTGCGTGTGTGTGAGTGTGTGACTGTTTTATGCCTTCCTGGGCAGCTGGATTCAGCTAAGTGCAGTTGTCTCTGCTCACCTAGTGTTTTTCATGGATGAAATCATGCATACACAAACATGAAATTCTCATTCTGCTTGAATTGTTCTCCAATACACCAATTGCATTGGAACAAATTTGCATTTTCAAAACAAGTGAATAGCAGAACTGAATGTATTTTCATATGAGCGATCTGATCAGATCCTCCTTAGGGAGTCGTGCCATCAGATCGTAGCCTATCAAGCTATTAAACATAAGCTGTTTTCAGTTGTCAGGCATCTCTGGGTATTCTTGGACAGATGGTGAGAAATGGGAATACTCTTCCCACATTAAGAGCAAAATGGAGATGACTGTGAAGCTGTCTCACAGCAGAAGATGTAGGCAAGGAAGCAGTCTATCCTAGTAGAAAGGAATAGTCACTAAATCCTTGCTCCAAAAAATGTCAGTGACATACTGTGTGATTCCAACTATATGGTGTTTTGGAAAAGGCAAAGCTATGGAGACATTACAGAGATCAATGGTTGCCAAGGGTTACTAGGTAGAGAAGGATGAATACGTAGAGCACAGAGGATTTTTAGGGCAGAGAAACGACTCAGTACAATACGATAGTGGTGGATGCATGTCATTATACACTGGTCAAACCCAAGGAATGTGCAGCACTTTTGAAACACATTGAGCCCAAGGGTGAACCCGAGTGTGAACCCTGGACTCTGTATAATAAAGATGTACCCGTGTAGGCTCATCAGTTCTGACAAAGGTACCACTCTAGTGGGCAAAGGTGATCATGGGGGAGGATGCATGTGTGCAGAGGCAGGAGTTTATGGGAAATCTCTCTATGTTTCTCTCAATTTTGCTTCGAACCTGAAACTGCTCTAAGAAGCCTTAAGACTTCCTCAAGTGATACTGTTTCTCACACAGAGATTTTCCAGCCCTCACTTCTCATAGGACCCTGGAGTGAAGCTGAGCTCATCCGGAGCGGGAGGACCAAATTCACACTGCTCACATTGATCAGGCACAAGTTCCTGTTTGGGGATACTCCTGCATCTCAGCCAGTTTTTCTTGGGCATCAGGAAAAAGTGGTCATTTCTACATTTTGCGTGATGCTAAGTGCAGAGACGCAAATCAGCACCCAAATGTGAGAGCACTGAGGGATGGTTAGCAAGCTCCGAATGAAAACGCATGCATTTCCGAGTTTCTCTTCCAAAAAGGAGGAAAAGGAAAGTTCAGGGCGGCCCTTGGAGGCAAAGGTCTAGTGGGGTTCCAGCCTTATAGGAAGAGGTCCTGGGGTTAAGCTGGGTGAGAGTCAGTTATGGATGAGAACAATGGTGCTTCCTAGCACCATCCACTGACCACTTTCTCTTGCACTCATGACAGCCACAATGTCAAATGTATTTCCTCCCTTTTAAACAGTATCTACTTTTAGAAATTTTGCTCAGGGGACACAGGGACTCTCCCAATCCTGTGCCCATCCTCTCTCCTCCTGGGCCATCGTTTCCACCTTTGTTAGCTGTGTTGCTGTTGAGTGTGGGACTTCTTTTAGTCCTTTATTCCTAGACTTTTTTTTTTTTTTTTTTTTGAGACAGAGTCTCACTCTGTCGCCCAGTCTGGAGTGCAGTGGTGCAATCTCGGCTCACTGCAACCTCTGCCTCCCAGGTTCGCGTGACTCTCCTGCCTCAGCCTCCTGAGTAGCTGGGACTGCAGACGCCCGCCACCACGCCCAGCTAATTTTTGTATTTTTAATAGAGATGGGGTTTCACTATATTGGCCAGGCTGGTCTCGATCTCCTGATTCAGGTGATCCACCTGCTTCAGCCTCCCAAAGTGCTGGGATTACAGGCATGAGCCACCACACATGGCCTATTCCTAGAATTCTAAGCCACCCTGTCATTATTGTAGTTGCCATACACACAAATACTATATTTATATATAAAGAACCATAATTTTAAAGGATAGAACTTAAATAAAAATTATCTGACCTTGTGTCATTATAATTGCTTTAGAAGTTTTGCTTTAAAATTACTCAATCATGCTTAACTTACATGGTTTTACCATTAATTCAGTTCCGTAATTTCTTATCAACAATTTATCAATCCAGGCCTAAAAAGTGTTTTCCTCAATCCGGGGGAAAAAAGTGTATTCGGAGACAACCTGCCCCGCACTGACAGGAGGATGCTTTTAGTCTTTACTGATCCCACTTCGTATGAATACTTTTATGTTTCACTCCAGGAATATTGACCGATTTGTGTAAAGGGTGCTGCCTCGGACCCCACTGGGGTCCTACACAGTGGAGAGTGCGTGTAATTTGTTACTTTTCTATAAACCAAAAATTCCTGACTTTCAAAACACATTGAGCCCAAGGGGGATAAGGAATTGAAAGCCTGCACGCTTTTCAAAGCATTTTTCCCGTCAAGCAGGTAACGTGTGTGAGGTTTTAGTGCAGCTGCTGCAGAGGTTGCTGGGGTCCCTAAATGTGCTCTCCTCTTAGCGCTTGGCTGCACCCAATACCTAGCCATTTTCGCAGACACCTGGACCGGATGAGCAGTGGAACCTGAGGCAAGGAGATGCTGAAGCTTCTGCGTCATCCGGGTAAAGAACAGCCTCTCGCCAGGCACGGTGGCTCACGCCTGTAATCTAGCACTTTGGGAGGCCGAGGCAAGCGAATCACCTGAGGTCGGGAGTTTGACACCAGCCTGACCAACATGGAGAAACCCTGTCTCTGCTAAAAATACAAAATTAGCTGGTCATGGTGGTGCATGCCTGTAATCCCAGCTACTCAGGAGGCTAAGGCAGAAGAATCGCTTGAACCCGGGAAGCGGAGTTTGCAGTAGGCCAAGATCACGCCATTGCAATCCAGCCTGGGTAACAAGAGCAAAACTCGAAAGAAAGAGAGAAGGAAAGAAGGAAAGAAGAAGGAAAGAAAGAAAGAAAGAACAGCCTCTCGCTCTGAACTTCCAGGCTCCCTTACCTGCCCAGCTTCTAGCAGCTTGAAGTGGTCATGACTGAAGCTGACTTTAAAACCCTGTGCTGGGTGTGGCGGAGACACTCTGCTAGTCCCAGTTCCTGAATGACTCTGTGGAGCAGAGACCACTAATTCACCAAGAAAGGTTACCTGAGAGAAAGTTTTCTGCTGTTTAATCTACACTATTTGGGGTTATCTTTGGTATAGCACCTGGCCTTTACCTATTATGAGATCATCAACATCCAGTTAGCACATAGTGACTTAATGAGGTTTCATTATTTCTTTCAGAAAAAGAAAATTTAGGCCGGGCGCAGTGGCTCACACCTGTAATCCCAGCACTTTGGGAGCCCAAGGCAGGTGGATCACGAGGTCAGGAGATTGAGACCATCCTGGCTAACATGGTGAAACCTCGTCTCTACTAAAAATACAAAAAATTAGCCAGGTTTGGTGGTGTGTGCCTGTAGTCCCAGCTACTTGGGAAGCTGAGGCAGGAGAATTGTGTGAACCCGGGAGGCGGAGCTGGCAGTGAGCCAAGATCGCACCATTGCACTCCAGCCTGGACAACAGTGTGAGATACCAAATTAAAAAAAAGAAAGAAAAAGAAAAAGAAAATTTAGGCCAGGCGTGGTGGCTCACACCTGTAATCCCAGCACTTTGGGAGGTTGATGTGGGTGGATCACTTGAGGTCAGGAGTTCAAGACCTGACCAGCCTGGCCAACATGGCAAAACCTCATGTATTTCTAGTCTCTACTAAAAATACAAAAATTAGCCGGGTGTGGTGTTGGGTGCCTGTAATCCCAGCTACTCAGGAGGCTGAGGCAGGAGAATTGCTTGAGCCCAGGAGGCAGAGGTTGCAGTGAGCCGAGATCACACCACTGCACTCCAGCCTGGGCAACAGAGCAAGACTCTGTCTGAAAAAAAAAAAAAGAAAAGAAAATTTGTTCTCAAACTTTTTTGAATAGGTTTCTTAGATTAAATAAGATGCCTTTTCAGCTCATTGATTTTCTTTCCTCTCCTTGAATCTCGGTTAGCAAAATAATTAGCTCGTCAGCATTGGCCCAAATTGACAAAATTGTTTTCCTTTCCTTTGTTTCTATCATTTAATAAGTTCCTTAATTAACAACTTTCTCCAACAGTGGTCTTTTCTCTCTGCTGAGGTGTAGGCACAGCAGCCCTCAAAGCTGTTCCTGTGTAGATCTCAAAAGAAGAAAAAGACGAAAGTCATCTTGGTCTTTTTTTTTTTTTCCTTTTTATTTTTTGAGACAGAGTCTAGGTCTGTTGCCCAGGCTTGAGCCTGATCTCAGCTCACCGCAACCTCCGCCTCCTGGGTTCAAGTGATTCTCCTGCCTCAGCCTCCCGACTAGCTGGGACTACAGGTATGCGCCACCATGCCTGGCTAATTTTTTTGTATTTTTAGTAGAAACGGGGTTTCACTATGTTGGCCAGGCTAGCCTCGAACTCCTGACCTCATCATCTGCCCACCTTGGCCTCCCAAAGTGCTGGGATTACAGGGGTGAGCCACCACACCCAGACTTTTTTTTTTTTTTTTTTTGAGACGGAGTCTTGCTCTGTTGCCCAGGATGGAGTGCAGTGGTGTGATCTCGGTTCGCTACAACCTCTCCTTCCTGAGTTCAAGCAATTCTCTTGCCTCAGCTTCCCAAGTAGCTGGGACTACAGGCATGCACCACCACGCCTGGCTAATATTTGTATTTCTGGTAGAGATGGGGTTTCACCAGGTTGCCCAGGCTCGTCTTGAACTCCTGAGCTCAAACAATCCATCTGCCTCAGCCTCCCAAAGTGCTGGAATTACAGGTGTGAGCCACGCCCGGCCATCTTGGTCTTTTTTAAAAATGACCTTTCACAAGGTGGTAAAATGATAAACATGTATAAAATATATCCTTATAAACTATAGGGATAATTCTTCTTAATGACTGACTTCCCATAATACCCCAATTTCTCATCAGTATGGCCTTGATCTACCACCTTTTATTAATGTTCCAGAGGTTAACATCTGCTACCTAAGATGTTGACACCAGGATGTCAGGGGTTTGCTGATGAATATCAATCAGCAGTCGGCAAACCCTCAGCCCTATTGAGAAAACTATTGGTTATTTCAAGTCCAGAGCACTGATACTTGGCTTGCAATACTCATGGGACCCTCTGGTTAATTAATAACCAAGAATGTGAGATTTTACTCTACTGATTCTGTTTTATGACTAAACTTTGCTGCCATTTTAAGATTCTACATTTTGTTCCCCAAAAAGTAAATAAATTTACTTTTATAAATTTGCTTTTTAGAAAAAAATTTTTTTTTCTGTGCTGGTCAACCAAATGCAAAATGGAGAAAAAGAGGAAGGAAACTGAAACATGAGAAAGAAAAAAATTGGGTCTCTTGTAACATCTTATTCCTTCCCCCTGTGATTTTTTTTCTCATAGAAATTCTGTATGAGCAAATTTAGTATCATTAAAATAACACAGTGGTTCCCAGCATTCTATTGACCACCATCTTGATTCAAATGCTGTTTCAACCGGCCTGGTTATTTATTTACTTATGGAGACACAGTCTTGCTCTGTCACCCAGGCTGGAGTGCAGTAGCGCAATTATGGCTCACTGTAGCCTCGACTTCCTCCTGCCCTCCCAAGTAGCTGCGACTACAGGCATGTGCCACCACATCCGGCTAATTTATTTTATTTTTGTAGAGATGAGGGTCTCACTATATTGCCCAAGCTGGTCTTGAACTCCTAGCCTCAAGTGATCCTCCCTCCTCAGCCTCCTGAGTTCTAGGCCAACAGGCATGTGCCGCAACAGCCGGCTAATATATTTTATTTTTGTAGAATTGGAGGTCTCACTATGTGGCCCAGGCTAATCTTCAACTCCTGGCCTAAAGTGATCCTCCTGCCTTGGCCTCCCCAAGCACTGGGATTACAGGCATGAACCACCACACCCGGCCTAGGCAACTTCTTTAACCCTTCTAAAAGTAGTGTAACTGTTATACACATACTTGGCCTGTTACAGACGTTTCATAAATGTGAGAATTCATGAAATATCTGGGATATGTTATCCAAGAGATCATCATCGTTATTAGCGAGAAAGGACATATGCATAGAAGAGACTTGCAGTCATAGCTATTCTCTTTGCCTTGATTGCATATGCACACCGAGGCTGCCCAGCAGCAGCTCAGCCTGGCTCAGTGGCTGCTCGTCTAAGCACAAAGCTGCAGCCATCAGCCATTACCCATCAGGGGAGGAAGGCAGGATGACAGTCCCCAGAGGGCCAAGCTTCTGGGAAAAGATAAGCATCTGAATCCAAACACAGAGCCAAGATCTTATCCATGAAGTGGAAGATAAAAGCGGTGGAGATGAGAAGAGGCGGATAAAATAGAATCTGATTTCTAGAGCAGAATACTAACTAAGATCTACCAACTAGATCTTCCACAGCCTGCTCTTTTTAAAGACATTCTCAGCCTCTTCCTTATAGTAGCTCATAAGAAAAAAAACAACAGCAATGTATGTAACTCCTGAAGAATTAAGGACAGCTTTGTACATTCAGTATGTGATAATATATATATCTCTATATGTAAACATAGTTGTTTTTTTTTTGAGACGGAGTCTCGCTTTGTCACCCAGGCCAGAGTGCAGTGGTGCGATCTCAGCTCACTGCAAGCTCTGCCTCCCAGGTTCACGCCATTCTCCTGCCTCAGCCTCCCGAGTAGCTGGAACTACAGGCACCTGCCACCACGCCTGGCTAATTTTTTTGTGTTTTTAGTAGAGACAGGGTTTCACCGTGTTAGCCAGGATGGTCTCGATCTCCTGACCTCGTGATCCGCCTGCCTCAGCCTCCCAAAGTGCTGGGATTACAGGCATGAGCCACTGCGCCAGGCCACCTACATGGATTTTTAAAAATTAAATAATACAGAGTGCTGGGCCAGGCACAGCGGCTCACACCTGTAATCTCAGCACTTTGGGAGGCCAAGGTGGGCAGACCACTTGAGGACAGGAGTTCGAGACCAGCCTGGCCAACATGGCAAAACCCCATTCTCTACTAAAAATACAAAAAAAAAAAAAATTAGCTGGGCATAGTGGCACGTGCCTGAAATTCCAGCTATTCGGGAGGCGGAGGCACAAGAATCCCCTCAACCTGGGAGGCAGAAGTTGCAGTGAGCAGAGATTGCACCACTGCACTCCAGCCTGGGTGATAGAGTGAGACTCTGTCTCAATAAATAAATAAATATATAAATAAAATGGAGTTTTAAAATGAAAGGCCAACAGAACTCTGCTCCACCTCTTCCCTCCTGAAGTCCTGGTCTCCAGAATTAAGGTAGACACTTTTTTTTTTTTTTTTTTTTTGAGATGGAGTCTCGCCCTTTTGCCCAGGCTGCAGTGCAGTGGCCCGATCTCGGCTCACTGCAACCTCCACCTCCCTGGTCCAAGTAATACTCCTGCCTCAGCCTCCCAAGTAGCTGGGATTACAGGCACGTGCCACCATACCCAGCTAATTTTTGTATTTTTAGTAGAGGCGGGGTTTCTCCATGTTGGCCAGGAAGGTCTCGAACTCCTGACTCCAGGTCTGTCCGCCTTGGCCTCCCAAAGTGCTGGGATTATGGGTGTGAGCCACTGCGCCAGGCCAACGTGGACACTTTGATGCATGTCCCAGATTCCTCCCAGCAATTGGTTGCCTCTTTTGCTGGGAATCCCCTGGGCAGATAGACTGACTGCAGCTGTCAGCCCCTTCAGGAACTGCCTCGGCTGGGGGAGCCACCTTGCCCAAGAGTGCCTAACGGCTAGGATATCTCAGTCCAACTCCAGCCAGGCTAGTTTGCAGAGCCAATTTAGCTCCAGGGCGCCCTGTGTGTGGCTGAGGCAGCCTGTAGCTGTCCCTGCATGGCAGCTAGACTTATCCCTCTGCCAAATCCTGCTTCCTTCCCCACCTTTAAACAGGTCTTGGTCTTGAGGTCATCTTCTTAAAAAAAAAAAAATATATATATATATATATATATATGCGCATGGGACACCTGCTATAAAAGGCAGCCACTTTTTTGAAAATTTTTACTGAAGTACAATTTACATACAGAAATTGAACATATAAATTTCCAGCTCAATGCACTTTCCCAAATGAAAAACAGGATGTAACCAGCGCCAGATAAGAACAGAACATTTCCAGTCCCACAAGAGACAACACATTTAACAATTACTCTTTAAAATGCCTAATAGCATTTTAAATGAGTCTAACAGTTCTTTAAATCTATGCCAAAGAAGAAAGAAGGGAGAAAAGTTACATTATTAGCTTCAGTGCCCAGGGTTCAAACAACAATAAAAGATTTAGGCTTTAAAAACAAAACTTATAATTAATTCTAAATAGTATAGTATTGTTTTCAATATTTATGTTGCTTAAAACTGGCTTTTGAATGATGTCCGTTAATAGGAAAAGGCTAGTTATAAAAGAACTAGGATGTGTGTAAAAGCAGCATGGACTCTCCGATTCGTCTCAGGAGGGTCTCCTGGCTGCCTCTGCAGTGAGATCGCATCACCAAGCAGCAATCTGGTCCCTCCTGTCTTCAGCCTGGGGCTATTTTTTCCCCTGGCTCCAGAAGCAGAGAGGCCAAGAAACCTCGAGCTTTTCTTCTCAAACAGGTTTACAGAACCAGTGTTTCCTTTCTGAGAAGCGAGACAACTGGGAGACAGGGAGGGTTGGGGGAAAGGAGAGTGACAATTGGAAGGAGAGGGGCACAATTTGGAGGGACAAAACGGGGAGCTGAGAAAAACAGCCTCCGAAAGCAGCCGGACCCTGCAAGGACCCTCCCACACCGCACCTCACTCCTCTCACACACACACCCCTCACCTAGAGGAGAGTCACCTCTCCAGAGCACCTGGGCCTTCATTCCCATCTGCAAGAGGGCAGGGCTCCCAGATACTCTGTGATGACGCGTGGGCCCCACCAAAATAGAACCGAACAGAACTGGTGGAGAAAGAATTTGTTTGAAATTTGTGGATCCACCATCACTGTGAAAAACACACCCCAGAAAGCAAATCACCACTCTAGACACTGACTTACAATGCAGAGGAGTTTACCATTTAGACCGGAAGGAGGTGAACGCGTGAGTCGATGCGGAGTTCACTGTTCAGACCGGAAGGAGGTGAACCCGTGAGTCCATGCGGAGGAGTTCACTGTTCAGACCGGAAGGAGGTGAACCCGTGAGTCGATGCGGAGGAGTTCACTGTTCAGACCGGAAGGAGGTGAACCCGTGAGTCCATGCGGAGGAGTTCACTGTTCAGACCGGAAGGAGGTGAACCCGTGAGTCGATGCGGAGGCGTTCACTGTTCAGACCGGAAGGAGGTGAACCCGTGAGTCCATGCGGAGGAGTTCACTGTTCAGACCGGAAGGAGGTGAACCCGTGAGTCGATGCGGAGGCGTTCACTGTTTAGACCGGAAGGAGGTGAACTCGTGAGTCCATGCGGAGGCGTTCACTGTTTAGACCGGAAGGGGTGAATGGGTGAGTTGATGCGGAGGAGTTCACTGTTCAGACCGGAAGGAGGTGAACCCGTGAGTCCATGTGGAGGCGTTTACTATTTCAACAGGAAGCGGATGATGAATCCCTGAGTCAAATGAAAGACAATGTTTGAAACTCTCAGGAATGTTTAGGAAGGCGTCATAAGAGATGAAGAGTGAGGGAATCAGAAACTCAGAAGGACCAGATTTGGGGCAGTATGCTTCGAGGCTGTTTTGTCCAGCCAACCCAACGCTGGAATCACCCCAAAAGCAGCGGCGGGGGAATTCCCACAAGGGAGTACTCTGAACTGTTCCAGGATGGGGTCGATTGGGATTCCAAAGAAAGAAGCCCTCATCAGCAGGGTGCTCAGTTCAGAGCAGTTATGAGGGGAGCTTACAGAGGCCACAGCGATCCTTGGAGAGAAAGGGGTGCTCTGTATGGACACAGGGAGGGGAACAACACACACTGGGGCCTGTCGGTGGGGCAGGGGGAGGGAGAACATCAAGATAAATAGTGAATACATGCGGGGCTTAAATACCTAAATGACGGGGTGATAGGTTCAGCAAACCACCGTGGCACATGTTTACCTATGTAACAAACCTGCGTGTCCTGCACATACATTCCAGAACTGAAAATTAAATTACATTTTTAAAAAGTATTTATATAATAACCAGAAAAAAAAAAAAGAGAGACTGGGCACAGTGGCTCAAACCTGTAATCCCAGCTCTTTGGGAGGCTGAGGCGGGCGGATCACCTGAGGTCAGGAGTTCAAGACCAGCCTGGCCAACGTGGTGAAACCCCGTCTCTACTAAAAATACAAAAATTAGCAGGGCGTGGTGGTATGCGCCTGTAATCTCAGCTACTCAAGAGGCTGAGACACGAGAATTGCTTGAACCCGGGAGGCAGAGGCTGCAGTGAGCTGAGACCACTCCACTGCACTTCAGCCTGGGTGACAGAGTGAAACTCCATCTCAAAAAAAAGGTGTTCTACCTGCGTGTGTCTGCAGTGAGGGGTTCAGGGATTATGGAATGTGAGAGTTTTAAGAAATTTGGTTAGGGGCCAGGGCCAGTTTCTTTCCGTGTTTCGGGCGACAACCTCGAGACCTTAATGAGTGTCTGGGAATGTTCGAGACTCCGGTTTGGGCCCGGTTTGGGTTTGGGCGTGCTGGGAGAAGCTTGCACCTGGCTGGGTGAAGAGCTGTCAGGACACTCTGTGATTCTTGGTCAGGGCACAGAAAGAAAGTGAAGTAGGGGAGAAGGGTTACTGGGGGACCCCACAGAGGCCATTGCAAAACTGGTGAGGTAGAGTTTCCGTAAGGACAGTAAGGACAGAACCAGGACCCCCAGGCAGAAATGGGAGGAATAGAAGGCAATATTCCGACCTCAGTTTCAGGTTCTTGGTCAGAACTGTGAGGAATCAGGGCAGTGTCTAAAACCTCAAACAGCGTCATGCTAGTGTAGACGTCCAAGCTTGGTGAGGAGCGATTCATAGTTAGCACTGTTGAGTGCTTACACCTGAAATTAAGTGATGCTCCAAGTACAAGTGTTATGTCATTTCATGCATACGACAGCCCTAGACAGCCCTGTGAAGCAGTATTATTTCCTTTTTTTTTTTTTTTTTTTTTGAGAGAGGGTATCGCTCTGTCGCTCAGGCTGGAATGCAATGGCACAATCACGGCTCACTGCAGCCTCGACCTCCCAGGCTTAAGTGATGCTCCCACCTCAGCCTCCTTAGTAACTGGGACCACAGGTGTGTGCCACCATACCTGGCTCATTCTTTTTATTTTTGGTAATAGTATTACTTGGGGTCTCACTATATTGCCCAGGCTGGTCTTGAGCGGGGCTCAAGCGATCCTCCTGCCTGGGCCTCCCAACTTGCTGAGGTTACCATGTACTGGCCCGGATATTATTTTCAAACACATTTTCCTGATGAGGGGACTGAGGCATGGGGAGACAAGCTGGTACAGTTAGTAAGTGGTGAGTGGTGGAGCTGAGATTTGAACCCAGCAGACCTGGCTTTACTGCCTTTGTGCTTCATCTTCGTATCTGGCTAACCCAGAGGCAGATGTACAATGGAGCTAGAGAAACTTAAGTTTCAGGCCCTTATTTATTTGATACTCTCTAAGACACTGGGCCTAATTTTATCATTTGTAATTTTTAAATTATTTTTTCTTTTTTTTTTTTTTGAGACAGAGTCTCTCTCTGCCACCAGGCTGGAGTGCAGTGGCGCCATCTCGGCTCACTGCAACCTCTGTCTCCCGGGTTCAAGTGATTCTCCTGCCTCAGCCTCCCAAGTAGTTGGAATTACAGGCATGCGCCACCACGCCTGGCTAATTTTTGTATTTTTAGTAGAGACGGGGTTTCACTGTGTTAGCCAGGATGGTCTCAATCTCTCGACCTCGTGATCTGCCCGCCTCGGCCTCCCAAAGTGCTGGGATTACAGGCGTGAGCCACTGCGCCAGGCCTTTTTTTTTTTTTTTTTTTTTTTGAGACAGAGTTTTGCTCTTGTTGTCCAGGGTGGAGTACAATGGCGCAATCTCAGCTCACCGCAATCTCTGCCTCCTGGGTTCAAGCGATTCTCCTGCCTCAGCCTCCTGAGTAGCTGGGATTACAGATCCACACCACCACACCCGGCTAATTTTTGTATTTTTAGTAGAGACGGGGTTTCTCCATGTTGGTCAGGCTGGTCTCGAACTCCTGATCTCAGGTGATCCACTCGCCTCAGCCTCCCAAAGTGCTGGGATTACAGGTGTGAGCCATCGCCCAGCCTGAGTGTCTAGTTTCAAAGTCTAAGCCCTACTCCAATTCCACTCAGTGTAGTTTCTTGGGGAATAAACGCAATGCTCTGGTGAGACCGCAAGGCAGGGGCAAACATGGTCTTTCTCTGGTCTGGAACTAGTGTGTCTGTCCCTTCGGTGTGGGGGTGTGAGGGAAGCCTTTGGGACGCCTTGCAGTGCAGGTAGAACGAAGGGAGGGTACAACCAACACGCACACGGTGCAGGACACACAGTAAGCTTTCCTGCCTGCCGGAGACACACTTGGGGAAGAATTAGAGAGACACCCAGGGGCTTATGTGCACTGTGTTCACCACAGTGGGAGGTATAATAGTTACCAACAGAAAATCTGAATGCTGCACAATAGTGGAATGATTACATAAATTAGGGACAGTCATATAATGAAATACTACTCCCATTAAAAATCATATTTTCTGCCGGACGTGGTGGCTCATGCCTGTAATCCCAGCACTTTGGGAGGCCAAGGCAGGTGGATCACGAGGTCAGGAGTTCAAGACCAGCCTGGCCAACATAGTGAAACCCCATCTCTACTAAAAATACAAAAATTAGCCGAGTGTGGTGGCACGTGCCTGTAAACCCAGCTACTAGGGAGGCTGACGCAGGAGAATCACTTGAACCCGGGAGGTGGAGGTTACAGTGAGCCAAGATCATGCCATTGCACTCCAGCCTGGGCGACAGAGTGGGACTCCATCTCAAAAAAAAAAAAAAAAAAATCAGGCCGGGTGTGGTGGCTCACACCTGTAATCCCCCAGTGCTTTGGGAGGCCGAAGCGGGTGGATCACCTGAGGTCAGGAGTACGAGACAAGCCTGACCAATATGGTGAAACCCAGTCTCTATTGAAAAATAATAATAATAATACAAAAATGAGCCAGGCATGGTGGTGTGCGCCTGTAGTCCCAGCTACTGGGGAGGCTGAGACAGGAGAATTGTTTGAACCTGGGAGGCAGAGGTTGCAGTGAGCCCAGATCGCACCACTGCACTCCAGCCTGGGTAACAGAGTGAGACACCATCTCAAAAAAAAAAAAAAAGTAAAAAAAAAAAAAAAATCATAGTTTCTGAGACAATTAAATTCAATGCATGCTCCTATATTATTTCTGGTTACTGGAAGACTGAAAAACAACTATAAAGAACATTACAAGGACAAGTGAGAAATTTTTATATGAAGTGTTTATTAGATAATATCGTATCATTTATTGAATGTAGATTTTTGCATAAGAAATGTAATAAAATGTGCTAATTTGTAGAAGACACATGCTTATACATTTAGGAATATAAAAGTTCATATTTTAAAGAACTATCTAATGATTGAAGGAAGTTCACTATGTAATATTAAGGTAACCTTTTTTTCATTTTGTTAAAAACATACATACATTAAAAAACAAAGGGTTAGAAAAATATACACAAAAATATAAGCACTGGTTATCTGCATGTTGTAAAATTGCATGCAATTTTTATTTTAACCTTTGCACATTTCAGCATTTTTTCATTTTCCTATGGTGGCGTATTGGATCTCATCCTTCCAAGGTACAAGCCAGGGATAAATCCAAGAATATAGAAGGCTGGATTGGCCACATTCTTCAGTTACTTAGTGTAAGAGGGCCTTGTAAAGTAATCTAAGGTCAGATAAGGTACCGGTACTCTCCAAGCATAATAGGTTGATTGTGGCAGGGGCAGGGGGAGGTACACCAGGAAGTTGGGAATAATCAGAGCAAAAGAGTAGATAAAGATCTTATCTGAAGTTGTTTTGGATATCAGATTTCAGCATAAGAGATTGGCAATATTTTATTTTTAAAGTGCTCCAGGAGGAAGAAAATTTAAAAATAAAGCAAATTGCAGTCCGATGCAGAAGATTCCTCCTGATGTCCTTCCTACCTCTTCTAGCCAAGTTCGAAGAGGTGGAGAAGCAGATTCCGCTTGGAATAGCTATCTCCCGGGGAAATGGGCCCCTCAGGAAAGGGGGGAAAGACAGGGATTTGGAGAGGAATTAACAAGGGAGGATAAGGAACAGCTTAAGGAATGGTGGCAGGTTCTGTGGGGACACCTTCATATCCAAAGAATGTCGTTATCACGAGGTCAAAGGCCGAAGCAGCGAGACCCCACCCTGAGCAGTGCAAGGGATGAGTGTCTACACGGGGGAACACACTTCCCAGGGTCCACTCTCACTCCCCTTCTCAACCCCTCTCTCACTCCCCTTCTCACCCCCACTCTCACTCCCCTTCTCACCCCCACTCTCACTCCCCTTCTCACCCTCTCTCTCACTCCCCTTCTCACCCCCACTCTCACTCCCCTTCTCACCCCCACTCTCACTCCCCTTCTCACCCCCACTCTCACTCCCCTTCTCAACCCCTCTCTCACTCCCCTTCTCACCCCCACTCTCACTCCCCTTCTCACCCCCACTCTCACTCCCCTTCTCACCCTCTCTCTCACTCCCCTTCTCAACCCCCACTCTCACTTCCCTTCTCACCCCCTCTCTCACTCCCCTTCTCACCCCCACTCTCACTCCCCTTCTCACCCTCTCTCTCACTCCCCTTCTCAACCCCCACTCTCACTTCCCTTCTCACCCCCACTCTCACTCCCCTTCTCAACCCCTCTCTCACTCCCCTTCTCAACCCCTCTCTCACTCCCCTTCTCACCCCCACTCTCACTCCCCTTCTCACCCCCACTCTCACTCCCCTTCTCAACCCCTCTCTCACTCCCCTTCTCACCCCCACTCTCACTCCCCTTCTCACCCCCACTCTCACTCCCCTTCTCAACCCCTCTCTCACTCCCCTTCTCACCCTCTCTCTCACTCCCCTTCTCAACCCCCACTCTCACTTCCCTTCTCACCCTCTCTCTCACTCCCCTTCTCACCCCCACTCTCACTCCCCTTCTCACCCCCACTCTCACTCCCCTTCTCACCCCCACTCTCACTCCCCTTCTCACCCTCTCTCTCATTCCCCTTCTCAACCCCCACTCTCACTCCCCTTCTCACCCTCTCTCTCACTCCCCTTCTCAACCCCCACTCTCACTTCCCTTCTCACCCCCTCTCTCACTCCCCTTCTCACCCCCACTCTCACTTCCCTTCTCACACCCTCTGTCACTCCCCTTCTCACCCCCACTCTCACTCCCCTTCTCACCCCCACTCTCACTCCCCTTCTCACCCCCTCTCACTCCCCTTCTCACCCCCACTCTCACTCCCCTTCTCACCCCCACTCTCACTCCCCTTCTCACCCCCACTCTCACTCCCCTTCTCACCCCCACTCTCACTCCCCTTCTCACCCCCACTCTCACTCCCCTTCTCAACCCCTCTCTCACTCCCCTTCTCACCCCCACTCTCACTCCCCTTCTCACCCCCACTCTCACTCCCCTTCTCACCCCCACTCTCACTCCCCTTCTCACCCCCACTCTCACTCCCCTTCTCACCCCCACTCTCCCCTTCTCACCCCCACTCTCACTCCCCTTCTCAACCCCTCTCTCACTCCCCTTCTCACCCCCACTCTCACTCCCCTTCTCAACCCCTCTCTCACTCCCCTTCTCACCCCCACTCTCACTCCCCTTCTCACCCTCTCTCTCACTCCCCTTCTCACCCCCACTCTCACTCCCCTTCTCACCCCCACTCTCACTCCCCTTCTCACCCCCACTCTCACTCCCCTTCTCACCCCCACTCTCACTCCCCTTCTCAACCCCTCTCTCACTCCCCTTCTCACCCCCACTCTCACTCCCCTTCTCACCCCCACTCTCACTCCCCTTCTCACCCCCACTCTCACTCCGCTTCTCACCCCCACTCTCACTCCCCTTCTCACCCTCTCTCTCACTCCCCTTCTCAACCCCCTCTCTCACTCCCCTTCTCACCCCCACTCTCACTCCCCTTCTCACCCCCACTCTCACTCCCCTTCTCACCCCCACTCTCACTCCCCTTCTCACCCCCACTCTCACTCCCCTTCTCAACCCCTCTCTCACTCCCCTTCTCACCCTCTCTCTCACTCCCCTTCTCAACCCCCACTCTCACTTCCCTTCTCACCCCCTCTCTCACTCCCCTTCTCACCCCCACTCTCACTCCCCTTCTCACCCTCTCTCTCACTCCCCTTCTCAACCCCCACTCTCACTTCCCTTCTCACCCCCACTCTCAATCCCCTTCTCAACCCCTCTCTCACTCCCCTTCTCAACCCCTCTCTCACTCCCCTTCTCACCCCCACTCTCACTCCCTTTCTCACCCCCACTCTCACTCCCCTTCTCAACCCCTCTCTCACTCCCCTTCTCACCCCCACTCTCACTCCCCTTCTCACCCCCACTCTCACTCCCCTTCTCACCCCCACTCTCACTCCCCTTCTCAACCCCTCTCTCACTCCCCTTCTCACCCTCTCTCTCACTCCCCTTCTCAACCCCCACTCTCACTTCCCTTCTCACCCCCTCTCTCACTCCCCTTCTCACCCCCACTCTCACTCCCCTTCTCACCCTCTCTCTCACTCCCCTTCTCAACCCCCACTCTCACTCCCCTTCTCACCCTCTCTCTCACTCCCCTTCTCAACCCCCACTCTCACTTCCCTTCTCACCCCCTCTCTCACTCCCCTTCTCACCCCCACTCTCACTCCCCTTCTCACCCCCTCTCTCACTCCCCTTCTCACCCCCACTCTCACTCCCCTTCTCACCCCCTCTCTCACTCCCCTTCTCACCCCCACTCTCACTCCCCTTCTCACCCCCTCTCTCACTCCCCTTCTCACCCCCACTCTCACTCCCCTTCTCACCCCCACTCTCACTCCCCTTCTCACCCCCACTCTCACTCCCCTTCTCACCCCCACTCTCACTCCCCTTCTCACCCCCACTCTCACTCCCCTTCTCACCCCCACTCTCACTCCCCTTCTCAACCCCTCTCCCTCCCCTTCTCACCCCCACTCTCACTCCCCTTCTCAACCCCTCTCTCACTCCCCTTCTCACCCCCACTCTCACTCCCCTTCTCACCCCCACTCTCACTCCCCTTCTCACCCCCACTCTCACTCCCCTTCTCACCCCCACTCTCACTCCCCTTCTCAACCCCTCTCTCACTCCCCTTCTCACCCCCACTCTCACTCCCCTTCTCAACCCCTCTCACTCCCCTTCTCACCCCCACTCTCACTCCCCTTCTCAACCCCTCTCTCACTCCCCTTCTCACCCCCACTCTCACTCCCCTTCTCACCCCCACTCTCAATCCCCTTCTCACCCCCACTCTCACTCCCCTTCTCAACCCCTCTCTCACTCCCCTTCTCACCCCCACTCTCACTCCCCTTCTCACCCCCACTCTCACTCCCCTTCTCACCCCCTCTCTCACTCCCCTTCTCAACCCCTCTCTCACTCCCCTTCTCACCCCCACTCTCACTCCCCTTCTCACCCCCTCTCTCACTCCCCTTCTCAACCCCTCTCTCACTCCCCTTCTCACCCCCACTCTCACTCCCCTTCTCACCCTCTCTCTCACTCCCCTTCTCAACCCCCACTCTCACTTCCCTTCTCACCCCCTCTCTCACTCCCCCTCTCACCCCCACTCTCATTCCCCTTCTCACCCCCACTCTCACTCCCCTTCTCAGCCCCACTCTCACTCCCCTTCTCACCCCCACTCTCACTCCCCTTCTCACCCCCACTCTCACTCCCCTTCTCACCCCCACTCTCATTCCCCTTCTCACCCCCACTCTCATTCCTCTTCTCACCCCCACTCTCACTCCCCTTCTCAACCCCTCTCTCACTCCCCTTCTCACCCCCACTCTCACTCCCCTTCTCACCCCCACTCTCACTCCCCTTCTCAGCCCCACTCTCACTCCCCTTCTCACCCCCACTCTCACTCCCCTTCTCAGCCCCACTCTCATTCCCCTTCTCACCCCCACTCTCATTCCCCTTCTCACCCCCCCTCTCGCTCCCCTTCTCACCCCCACTCTCATTCCCCTTCTCACCCCCACTCTCACTCTCCTTCTCACCCCCAACTCTCACTGCCCTTCTCACCCATAACTCTCACTCCCATTCTCACCCCCAACTCTCACTCCCCTTCTCACCCCCACGTCTCATCACCTTGGAGTTTGTATCCAGAAACTGTGAGTGGCAATTTTCTTGCAAAGTTTTCTTGGTGGTTTATTCAAACTCCAAAGGTTGATCCTATAGATTCAATCTTCCCCACACACCTCATCAGTGGCAGGCCCTGTGTACACAATGGTGCAGCAAAGAGCCACTGGGGATGATTTTGCCAAAGGAAAAATTAGGCTAGACTCTTTGTCAGTATCTACCACTTTGGGACAAAGAAGGAAAGGAAAGGATGTATCACTGGATTATGCTACAATGAGATGTAATGCCCACAAAGTAAAATGTATTACTTTTGTATTTATTTAGTCCCTCCACAAAACTGGGATTTTTGGTAATTGAGAAAAGATGTATTCCAAATGGTTGCTGTTTGCTTTTTATCATTTTGTTTCTTAGCTTTTTGAGGTGAGAAATCAAGATATAAAATCTGTCTAATAAGTGGGGCCCAGGTGCGGTGGCTCACGCCTGTAATCCCAGCACTTTGGGAGGCTGAGGCGGGTGGATCACTTGAGGTCAGGAATTCAAGACCAGCCTGGCCAACATGGCAAAACCCCATCTCTATTAAAAATACAAAAATTCGCTGGGTGTGGTGGTGCATGCCTATGGGGATTAAGCTACTCAGGAGGCTGAGGCAGGAGAATTACTTGAACCCTGTGGGGAGGAGGCTGCAGTGAGCCGAGATCATGCCACTTCACTCCAGGCTGGGTAAAAGAGCAAAACTCTGTCTCAAAAAATAATAATAATAATTTTTAAAAATAAATAAAATAAGGCCGGGCGCGGTGGCTCACGTCTCTAATCTCAACACTTTGGGAGGCTGAGGTGGGCGGATCAGGAGGTCAGGAGATCAAGACCATCCTGGCCAACATGGTGAAACCCTGTCTCTATAAAAATAGAAAAATTAGCTGGGCATGGTGGTGCGCGAGCACCTGTAGTCCCAGCTACTCGGGAGGCTGAGGCAGGAGAATCGTTTGAACCCAGGGGTTAGAGGTTTCGGTGAGCCAAGATGGCGCCACTGCATTCCAGCCTGGCGAGAGAGCCAGACTCCATCTCAAATAAATAAATAAATACATAAATAAGAAGGAAACACAGTGGGCCACAGATAGTCTAAGGAGGACGTGCTGGGCTCCCCTCTGCAAGTCTCAAACTCTGATTGTGCGTGATGTCAAGGTGGGAATTAAATGCTGAATTCAGGGTGGGAATTAAATGGTGAATGCAAAGCACAGGAGACAGCATTTCCCAGACTCTTGAGCCTGTTTCTTCTTTGCTCCCCTGCCTTCGAGGACACAAGATTGAAACGTATAGAGTGGCAAGAGAAAGCAGATTCAGATGGGTGAGAAGGATAAGCGCACCCTACAGTAAACCCTCTTTATTTCACAGACCTCTTTTTAAGGCCTTGTGTGCTGATTAACAGGTTGAATTATTAATTTCTTTCCAACCGAGTCTCCAATTTACAGACAAAACTCTGATAAACATTTTTCCTAAACATCTTAGTAATAACACAGTCTGGAGTGGTGGTTAAATCGTATCCACTGTCTTGCCTGCCTTAGGACAATGGCTTATCTGAGAGATGAGAGGAGGTAAAGGGATACCCTCTGTGACCGGGGACATTCTGCAGTACTAGCAAGGGAACATTCCATTTAAAAACAAAGGCTGGGCCAGGCGCGGGGGCTCACGCCTGGAATCCCAGCACTTTGGGAGGTGGAGGCGGGTGGATCACGAGGTCAGGAGATCAAGACCATCCTGGCTAACACGGTGAAACCCCGTCTCTACTAAAAAAAAAAATACAAAAACTTAGCCGGGCGTGGTGGTGGGCGCCTTTAGTCCCAGCTACTCGGGAGGCTGAGGCAGGAGAATGGCGTGAACCCAGGAGGCAGAACTTGCAGTGAGCTGAGATCGCGCCACTGCACTCCAGCCTGGGTGACAGAGCAAGACTACTCCGTCTCAAAAAAAAAAAAAAAAAAAAAAAAAAAGCCTGGGCACGGTGGCTCACACCTGTAATCCTAGCACTTTGGGAGGCCAAGATGGGCAGATCACCTGAGGTCAGGGGTTCAAGACCAGCCTGGCCAAAATGGTGAAACCCTGTTTCTACAAAAACATAAAAACTAGCCGGGAATGATGGCAAGTGCCTGTAATCCCAGCTACTTGGGAAGTTGAGGCAGGAGAATTGCTTGAACCCCGGAGGTGGAGGTTGCAGTGAGCTGCGATCGCTCCATTGCACTCCAGCCTGGGTGACAGAGCGAGATTGCATCTTAAAACAAACAAACAAACACCTGCAGGGATAGATCACTAAAGACAGCGAGCCTAATGCAGACCACCAGCCAAAAGAGCTCCCCTCAGCCACCACCACTTCCTCACAAAACCTGACTTCTTTTTTTTTGAGATGGAGTTTCACTCTTGTTGCCCAGGGTGGAGTGCAATGGAATGATCTCCGCTCACTGCAACCTCCGCCGCCCGGGTTCAAGCAATTCTGCTGCCTCAGCCTCCCGAGTAGTTGAGATTGCAGGCATGTGCCATCATGCCCAGCTAATTTTTGTATTTTTAGTAGAGAAGGGGTTTCTCCATGTTGGTCAGGCTGGTCTCAAACTCCCAACCTCAGGTAATCCACCCACCTCGGCCTCCCAAAGTGCTGGGATTACAGGCATGAGCCACCGCATCCGGCCAACCCTGACGTTTTGAGATAAGAAGAGGGTAGGCTCTTTGGCCTTCTGGAGATTGAAAGCCTTCTGCTTACAGCAAACCACAAAAGCACCGAAAAGAACCTTATATACAATGCAATATAGTCGCTTGGCATCCCGTGTCATGATACATTTACTGAACAGACACTTTGCTCTGTCACCTTTTAACATATTAATGGAAGGTTCCAGCCTGTTGTGATTATGGAAGCATGAATGGTATGACGACATTCACACAAATATTTGCAGTGTTCTGAACATATAAGCCTTCCTGAGTACAAACACTGCAGGCTCATGGGATGGGAAGGAAAATGGCTTTTGGGAGAAGGATGAGATCTGAGCCCTCTCACACACCCTGAAAAGATGTGTCCATGCCTCAGTTTCCCCAGATGGATTTGCGTTGCCCCAGCATGCGGAGCTCTGCACGGAGGACAAAGACACATTCGAGCAGCACAGTTTTTAAGAGTCAAATAATTAAATACACTTGAAAAAGTGACATATATTTATAAAATCTGGCCTATGGCAGTAGGATTCATGGTAATAGGGGCTCAATATTTGAGTGACCAGCACACACATGGGGTAGCCCAGAGAATACATTTACTTAAAGACACAGAATATGATCAGCTCTCTTCTATTGGGGTTGAAGTTGATTGTGTAATGTGGCTGTTCATAATGGGATCAAGTTAATGGAAACTCTTGGGGGTGGGGTGGGGTTACGGGAGTTTATTTCAGATCACCTGACATTAATACTGTCGATGCCTTCATCGTCTTAATAGTTGTGTCTTGGTCTCAGACATCGCCCGCTGTGACGGCTCAGGGCACGCCCCTCAGACGTGGCTGTTCAGTGAGCAGATGGTGAGAGGGTCTGTGTTTGTCCCCTCATTTGGGAGGCAGGGGGAAAAGATAGGCCTGAGGGCCTCTTGGAAAGAAGCCTGCGGGAAGCTGTAGATGAGGGATTCATCCGTCCCGTTGTAGAATGCTATATGTCCAGATTCATAGTCCAGGAAGACACCAACCTTACACACAGGCTCTCTGACGTGCTGACCTTTCAAAGGTGACGAGACCCAGAGGCTGTAATCATCTCCGATTTTTAAACCTATTAGTGAGAACAGGTCCCCAGGTGGCTTGGGGAGATTCCCCTTTCTGCTCACAGAGTCCTTGCAGATGCCCACTTCCCACTCGGTCTTGTTTCCCACCTCCACCTCCCAGTAGTGTCTCCCACTGGTGAAGATCTGAGTACCCAGCACAGTCGCAGACTGGTCAAATCTTTCCGGGTTGTCGGGTAGCTGCTGTCTGCTTCCCCCATATTTCACACTCTTCAGATCCTCCGACAACACGAGATAGGCATTAGCTGTGGCTGGGTCCAGCGTTATCTCCGCTGCAAGAGGAGGAAAGAAGAGATTTCCCTTGGGCATGCTTGAAAAACCTCTTAGGTATGTGAGATTTCCATTGAATTCTTAGTATTTAGTCCTGGTTTTTTAAATGTAATTTGGGGCCGGGCGTGATGGCTCGCGCCTGTAATGCAGCACTTTGGGAGGGTGAGGCAGGCAGATCACAAGGTCAGGAGTTCAAGACCAGCCTGGGCAACATGGTGAAACCCCGTCTCTACTAAAAATACAAAACATAGCCAGGCATGGTGGCACGTGCTTGTAATCCGAACTACTCAGGAGGCTGAGGCACGAGAATTGCTTGAACCCAGGAGGTGGAGGTTGCAGTGAGCCAAGATTATACCACTGCACTCCAGCCTGGGCGACAGAGCAAGACTCAGTTTCAGAAAAAAACAGTATTTGGTTGAGAACAAAATTTCTGAGCTCTTCTTTGACTGTTCCACAACACATAGCATGAAGCTCTAAATGGAGACAGAGAGAAGAGCCACGTGGAGAAGGAGCTTTAGCCTGCCTGAGGTGGGGAGGAGAATCCCTGTGGGTGGAATGGGCGTCGCTCTGTTCACAGGACATCTTTAGAGCTCCGAGCTGTGCGTCCACATAGGGACACCCTTGGTTGTTCGCATCATATTAGCCATGGGAGGTTCTGGTTCTTCAGTTTGGGTGGGAGAGAAAATAGCACTTATCTTTGGCTGAACTTCTAATGTGCCAAACATTTTCTGTACATTATCTCATTTAATCACTGCAAGCATTCTTTTCTATAATTTTTACAAAAAAGAAAACAGGTTCAGGAAGGTTAGGAAACTTCACCAAGATTACACGGTTACTGAGTGTTCAAATCACAAATCACAATCCCTAATCAGCCTTTTTCATTATGTCATGACAAATGCAGCTTCCTGTGAGTTCAGTGCAGCACCCAGGGACCATGTGATGAAGCACACATAGTCTGTGAACCGACAGTCACATATGGGGCCTCCTTTTATTTTTTTATTTTTTTCCTGAGACAGTTTTGCTCTTGTTGCCCAGCCTGGACTGCAATGACGCGATCTTGACTCACTGCAACCTCGTCTCCCAGGTTCAAGTGATTCTCTTGCCTCAGCCTCCCGAGTAGTAGTCTTGTCCACCACCACGCCCGGCTAGTTTTTTGTATTTTTAGTAGAGATGGGGTTTCATCATGCTGGCCAGGCTGGTCTCAAACTCCCGACCTCGGGTGATCCACCCACCTCAGTCTCCCAAAGTGCTGGGATTACAGGCATGAGCCACCATGCCTGGCTGAGGATTCCAACTTCCACTCACTGTCCAGACAAGATCAGGTACCCCAGTCATTCCATTTCTGACTTTTTTTTTTTTTTTTTTTTTTTTTTTTTTTTTTTGAGACGGAGTCTCGCTCTGTCGCCCAGGCTGGAATGCAATGGCGCCATCTCTGCTCACTGCAACCTCCACCTCCTGGGTTCAAGTGATTCTCCTGCCTAGGCCTCCCGAGTAGCTGGGATTACAGGTGCCCACCATCACTCCCAGCTAATTTTTTTTTGTATTTTTAGCAGAGACGCAGTTTCACCATGTTGGCCAGGCTGGTCTCGAACTCCTGACCCCAAGTGATCTGCCCGCCTTGGCCTCCCAAAGTGCTGGGATTACAAGCGTGAGCCACCGCACCCGGCCCCAATCATACCATTTCATACTTTTATTTATAGACCAGATCCCACCATAACTAATTATCTGTGTGATTAATGCCTTCCTCCTCAATTTCATTGAAAATTCTACAAAAGGAAAGGCAAAATCTGCCTTACTTATCATTGTAAGTAAGCGCAGAGCCCAGTAGCATAGTGCCGGGGCCCATGGCAGGGCTTTATTCAGCACTCTGGAGTTCAAAGCTCATTAGGCCTCTTCCTCTGAAGGTCAGATTGTCCACAAGATAAAAGCTGAGAACTAATCCTGACGTCTCTCAGTGTTGGCTGGACTAAACATCTGGAGCATTCTACAAGGACAGTTCGTTGAATGCACCCTCACTGGGATTTTAGAATTTAAGTCAGCTTTCATCCTAACGGGATCAGAGCTAGAAATGTAGACGCCCCTGCATGAGGGGGGCGTGTCTGCACGTGCAAGGGGGGGATGGAAAAGACAATGACAAAACCAACAAAGAAAGGACTAGGATTGGCTGGGCGCAGTGGCTCACGCCTGTAATCCCAGCACTTTGGGAGGCCGAGGCGGGCGGATCACGAGGTCAGGAGATCGAGACCATCCTGGCTAACACAGTGAAACCCCGTCTGTACTAAAAATACAAAAAATTACCCAGGCGTGGTGGCGGGCGCCTGTAGTCCCAGCTACTCGGGAGGCTGAGGCAGGAGAATGGCGTGAACCCGGGAAGCGGAGCTTGCAGTGAGCCGAGATCGCGCCCCTGCGCTCCAGCCCGGGACACGGAGTGAGACTCCGTCTCAAAGAAAAAAAAAAAAAGACCCTTTAGACAGAAAACAAAGCCAGATAAAGCCTGAGTCAAGTCTCACTGCTTCTCTCTGCTCACGCTCAGAGACGGTCTGTGGCCCCAGCCCTCCCTGGTGTTCCGTGCTGGCCCGGATTCCTTAACCAGGAGCCTCGTGTCAGATCGTGAATGTCTGACACTGGAAGAAGGTATGCTGAAGTTAATTCTTCGAGCCCCGGAGGGGTAACAAATCAGGCTGACTTACTGCTGAATTTTCTTAGCATCTCCTTCATTCCCGTGATGCGGCACAGACTCAGCTCTGTGGTGGTGGCCTCTGGACACTGAAGCAAGAGTGGCTCGCTCCTGCAAGAGAGCAGAGAGGTTCACTCCTCGGCACAGACCGCGTGACCTGCTCCAGCTGGAGAGTCCACCTCATTTCTCCCCCAGCAACAGCGCAGACCTCCTATCCCCACTCAGAACTGTCCATCAGCACCACTGCCCCGCAGCTTGCATAACTGAACACAGAATGAAAGCCTACCTTTCCAGGGCTCCTCTCACTTCCTACGGGTAAAAAAGAAAGAAGTTAGCATGGTGCGCTTTGATCATAACACAGACGAAATTCATTTTGCATACAGTCCTTGCAAAGCTCACAGAATCTGCTTCCCATGAAGCACACCATGAGTGGGAGCACAGAGAGCAGAGAAAAGCGTCCCCAGTTTCTTCCAGGGATGTGCTGTGGTGAACACAAGGTGTTTCTCACAATGACTAGAGAATACTTTGTCCTTTTCTTTTTCTCGTATCATCACCTTGTCCAGGGAACCTGTTCTGCAAACAAGCCAACCTGTTAGTCTCGATCATCCAGTGAGAGGCAGAGATAACAAAGGAAAATGGGCTGGTGAGAACTGAGGCTAACCAAGCCTGTGTCAGGTCGGGGTGGTGTGTTTGGAAGGCACTAAATTAAATAGTAGCACTCTGTGGAACCAGTCTACAAAACAGACCTGAAGCTGGAGTTGGATCACATGGCTTATGTTTAAGAAAGTCCACGGCCGGGTGCCGGTGGCTCTCGCCTGTAATCCCAGCCTTTTGGGAGGCCAAGGTGGATGGATCACAAGGTCAAGAGATAGAGACCATCCTGGCCAACATTGTGAAACCCCGTCTCTACTAAAAATACAAAACTTAGCTGGGCATGGTGGCACACGCCTGTAATCCCAGCTACTTGGGAGGCTGAGGCAAGAGAATTGCTTGAACCCAGGAGGCGTAGATTGCAGTGAGCCAAGATTGCACCACTGCACTCCAGCCTGGGCGACAGTGCGAGACTCTGTCTCAAAAAAAAAAAAAAAGGTCCTGAAGAATGCAGCAGCCTAGAAGGGCAGTAGACCAAAGGTGGTGAGAAATAGGAGCTCCCTGCACAGAACAGGAGGGCTCTCCTGTCTATTAACTATCAGGCGGGCAGATCTCGTTAGTACCACAGGTATGAATAATTAAATCAGTGCCGCTATTAACCCATCCTGTAGATGACAGTCATCTAGACCTAGAGTTCATATCATAATGGTACTTATCTTCATCAGGTCTTTGTGAAGATTAAATTTAATGTGCCCAGCACATAGTAAATACACATTAATAAACTAGAAAAAAAAATTAACAAAGCTGAGGTTGCAGAGAGGCAGGTACAGAAGAAATTGAAGCCACTCTCAGGCTTGTTTGGGATAGTTATTCCTCTGGATGTGTTTTTTTTTTTCTCTCTCTCTCTCTTCTATAAGGCTTTATTGACATATAGAATGTCAATTCTTTAGGAAAACTACTTTTGGACCAGAACTTAGTTTTTAAGATGAATAAAGAAAACATTATTTCCTATGGCTTGAAGTACTATGAGTTACTATAATTTTTCCCATTACTCTCATGAATGTTATTCTCACCTCAAGAGATTCGAAAGCCGAGCTTTGACTTGAGGACTCAATCTGTGCGATCATTTTGCTTAGGCTTCTGATTTGCTGGGTCAGTTTGATCTCATTGTTCCTCAGCTTCCTCATGTTCTCTTTCTCTTCCTGTTCTAGTAGCTGGAGTTGCAGCTGCTCCTCTTCCTTCAGGAACTGGTGCATTTTCATGTATTCTGACACAACAACCTGTTTACAAGTCTTTGTTTCTTCCTGCCAAAACACACACACACACACACACACACACACACACACACGAGATAAAGTTAGTAAGAGAAATGCCCTTGTCTGTAGATTTTTAATCCTTACAAGTCCTAGAGTTTCTTTCTTTCTTTTTTTTTTTTTTTTTGAGATGGAGTCTCACTCTGTCGCCAGTCTGAAGTGCAGTGGCGCAATCTCGGCTCACTGCAACCTCTGCCTCCTGAGTTCAAATGATTCTCCTGCCTCAGCCTCCTGAGTAGCTGGGACTATAGTCTAGGAGTGTGCCACCACGCCCAGCTAATTTTTGTATTTTTAGTAAAGATGGGGTTTCACCATGTTGGTCAGGATTGTCTCAAGTCTCTTGACCGGGTGACCCACCCTCCTCAGCCTCCCAAAGTGCTGGGATTACAGGTGTGGGCCACCATGCCTGGCCAAGTCCTAGAGTTTCATGGCAACAATTCCTGAAATCCAACATATAATACATTTAATCTGTTGATGCGCTGGGTGTAGAGGTTGATGTTTTCGGAGGTATGTGCGCTATAGATACAATAGTAAACAAAACCAAAATCTCCATTCCCAGGAGGCGGTCGTTCTAGTGGAGAAAACCAAAAATGAGTAAGAAATATGACAAGTAGTGATCAGGACTATGATACAAATAAAACAAAATTAAGAAAAATTATGAAAAATGTGTGTTCATTTATTCAACAAATATTTATTCAATGAAAGTAGGTGTCAGATAACCAAAAAGGAACAGAAACATACATGGCAAATACTCTCACTTAAGAATTCAAAGTCTACGGCCAAGCACGGTGGCTCACACCTGTAATCCCAGCACTTTGGGAGACCGAGACAGGTGGATTACCTGAGGTCGGGAGTTCGAGATCAGCCTGGCTAACATGGTAAAACCCCATCTCCACAAATATACAAAATTAGCTGGGCATGGTGGCACACGTCTGTAATCCCAGCTACTCAGAAGGCTGAGGCAGGAGAATCACTTGAACCCGGGAGGTGGAGGTTGCAGTGAGCCGGGATCGCGCCACTGCACTCCAGCCTGGGCGACAGAGAGAGACTCCATCTCCAAAAAAAAAAAAAAAAAAACAGATTTCAAAGTCTATTGGGAGAATCAGATACATGGTTTTAAAAAATATATAATTTGATATTTAGTCCTTTGCTTTGACTGCTGGAGAGCTCAAATCCAAGTCCGTGACCAACCTTGAGGACTTGTCAGGTATCATTTAAACCACTATTTTGCTTTTATATCTCTGTCTCTTTATTTTTTTTAATTTGCATTTTCCCCTCCATGTTTTTGAGATATTTCTTTTTAAAATCGCTTTCCGTCTCATGTTACATGTCTATAAGTATCACTTGTGTTTTAAATAATTCTACCAGAGCCATCATAGAGGAAGCCACAGCGTTGTCTAGTTATGCAAAGGAGGCTCCTAGAGGGGGCGAATTGCAGCTGAGCCTTGAGACTCCCACGAGGACGCTCAGAAGAAGGCAGCCCAATGCAAGGAAACTGCATATTTTAGAGGTGAGACTGGAAAAATTTGTCTTTTTTTTTTCCTGATATTTCACTAAATTTCCCTTTAGTCCCCCTTATGGGGTCATATACAAGCAGCAAAAGTCAGACAGACACCGACCTGGCACAGTTTCACTCTCTCCTTCTCATGGGTTAGTACAGCCTGAGCTTCCTTTCTCCTTACACGCAAAAGATTCAGGATTTCCTGGAGTTTCTCCTGCAATAGAAACAAACCCTTTCTGGCAAATGAGCAGAGTCCCAGGTCATGAAGGGGCTTTGAAGACCAGTAACTGCGCAGTCCTAGGCCTCTAAAACAAAGGGCAGGCTGGGTGCGGCGCCTCACGCCTGTAATCCCAGCACTTTGGGAGGCCGAGGCAGGCGGATCACCTGAGGTCAGGAGTTCAAGACCAGCCTGGCCAACATGGTGAAACCCCGTCTCTATTAAAAATACAAAAAATTAGCCGGGCGTGGTGGTGGGTGACTGTAGTCCCAGCTACTGGGGAGGCTGAGGCAGGAGAATGGCGTGAACCTGGGAGGCGGAGGTTGCAGTGACTGAGATCGCACTGCTGCACTCCAGCCTGGGCAACAGAGCAAAACTCTGTCTCAAAAACAAAAAAAGGGAAAAAAAAGGGTGTAAACTGGACCCACGCCAGTTTGTGATGTGGTGCTCAGATGGGCCCTCGTGACTGTCCCCCACAGAGGACGTTAGGAAACGTCAGGAAAGCTAACGGAGTTAGCTGCGATGAGTCGTGGGGTTCATGCTGAGCAGCTGTCTTACTCTGTGATGCTCCTCAGCCTCGCTGGAGAGATGCACTCTGTTTGCACCATGGCTCTGGGCTACGAAGGCGCTTCCACCCTGCTCGTCATCGGAGAGCGCCTTGGCAGTGGTGGGCATCCTCCCGTAGCTGCCCTGCTCATCCTCGCTCTGCAGCACCTGGGACCGGAGCTGCCTGGCGATGCTGGCCAGCCTCCCCAGACGCTCGTTTGACTGGAAATGCGGGCCCTCCAAGGTCCTCCAGCACTCAGGACAAGATAAAGGTGTGTTATGTTCCTCCCAGCTCCTGAGGAGACACACCAGACAAAAGCTGTGCCCACACTCGGTGGTCACTGGGCTGCTGAAATAGTCTAAGCAGATGAAACAGGTGAGTTCCTCCCTGAGGTTCTCCATCAGATCTGCTGTAGACATTTTCTCGAGGCTGGATATGCAGCCAGGTTACACCTCTGTTCTGGGATTAGCAAAGCCCTCACTGCCGTCCTACAGTTTTGAGTAACACGCGGGTGACCTGTTCCTATGTTGTTATGACAAGAAACCCTTATCTCTTCTGTGCCTGATTTCACCAGCTGACATACACTGTCCAACACAAAGCCAATTATGACTTAATGTGGAACTCCTGTATACTGGGCTCCTCACCAACCCCAAACTTTGAGACTTATCTCTGTGAAAAGCACACATGCTAGAGGCTGAGGATTCTGGCTTCTAACAGGATTACCATTTTGAGAACTGGTTATTGTACATAAACAGCACTGTGGAACCATGTGAGCATGTGGGTTTTAGGCTGGAAGCTTGGGTGATTTGGTGTAAACCAGTAAAGAGATTTGAGTTTTGATGATCTCTAATAATATCTGAATTGGAAATTTGGTCCAAATCTTTTGGGAACTCCACTAATAAAACCTAGTTGAGAACTGAGAGAAGAAAACTGTAATACATAGTCCTTTTCTCATTAGCCCCTTTTGTTCTGCTTGACCAAAGCCTAAGCTTTTGTTCCTTTATTGGGTACTGTGTACTTTTATTTAATTTTATTCATCCCAACAAAATGAGAGCTCTTCCACTGAAGTATTCCTTGGTGTTAGGCGCACGATGAATTGCCAGAGCTGTTTATTGATCTTCCCTGCACACCCTAGTACTCACCCATCTGCCATCTTGGAAAGCATCTAAAATGACATTCTAATTGGAAGTTGCCTCAAGAGGCTATCCCACTATGGAGCAGATGGAAAGAATTATATTTTAGTATAAATGTAATTTTGCTCACTTATTTTCACCCATTGAAAATTTCCAAACTAGGCCCCTTCAAATCCCTGATTATCAGTTCTTACTGGACAGAAATGAAGTGTGCAGACATTTTTTCGGACATATGAAAAAGTAAATGCCTAGTGTGGAGACTGTGCACAGTGAACTCCGAGATTGGTAACAAATGCCACAAATTCACTGTGTCCCCTGCTCGGGAGTCAGCTCCTGTCCTGGCCTGCCTTCTGCTCACTGCATGCCAGGAAGTTGCACCTCAAAAGCTCTTCCTCAAAGGCCAGCGAGTTTGACCTTCCCACGAACTCATCACGCCATATTTCTGTCTCCGTCCCCTCACTCTCCAGCTTGGCAGCCTTCCACGAGTCGGGTCCATTACTCAGGCTGTTCCGTTCATTGGTTTCTGACTTTCAAGGCTCCAACTGCTACTTCTTTCCCACTTACCTCCAACAGGATGTTGGATGTTTTCTTATCTTGAACTTTGGGAAAAAGAAGTTTTCTGGCTGAGAATGTTTTTTCCTCCACCTTCCTTTCTCCTAGTCAAAACTCACCTTTCTGAAATCATTAATTCAAAATGTTTCAATCCTATACATCCCTTGTAAAGCATACGTGAATTGCTAGGATGAGAATTTAAGCTATGAAAAAATAAGAGCAAAGAGTTATACTACTGTAAAGAGGAAGAGAGGTGGCATCAGGGTGGCATCATGAAACCTCTACCAAGATAGCCTCCAGGATACTAACTTGTCACAGCTTCAGAATATTGCTATGAGTTAGTCTTGTAAGAGTCTTAAAAAAAAAAAGAAAAAAAGTTTGGCCAGGCGCGGTTGCTCACATCTGTAATCCCAGCAGTTTGGGAGGCCGAGGTGGGTGGATCACTTGAGGTCAGGAGTTTAAGACCAGCCTGGCCAACATGGTGAAACTCCGTCTCTACTAAAAATATGAAAATTAGGCCGGGTGCAGTGGTTCATGCCTGTAATCCCAGCACTTTGGGAGGCTGAGGCAGGCAGATCACTTGAGGTCGGGAGTTCGAGACCAGCCTGGCCAACATGGAGAAACTCCGTCTCTACTAAAAATACAAAATTAGCCGGGCATGGTGGCACATGCCTGTAATCCCAGCTAGTCAGGAGGCTGAGACAGAAGAATTGCTTGAACCCAGGAGGTGGAGGTTGCAGTGAGGTGAGATCACGCCATTGCACTCCAGCCTGGGCAACAAAAGCGAAACTCTGTCTCAAAAAAAAAAAAAAAAAAAGTAAAAATAGCTGGGTGTGGTGTTGCACGCCTGTAATCCCAGCTACTTGGGAGGCTGAGGCAGGAGAATCACTTGAACCCAAGAGGTGGAGGTTGCAGTGAGCCAAGATCCCACCACTGCACTCCAGCTTGGGAGACAGAGAAAGATCCCATCTCAAAAAAAAAAAAAAAAAAAAAAAAAGACTACAATAACACTAACTGCCACCACTAGAAAAAGAATTTATGAACTACCATCTCCATTCAGTGTGTTATTTCAACACAACCCCAGGAGGAGTCTTTAACATTTACCAAAATCATTAGAATAAGCCTCACAATACAGTTATAGCACATCACAGAGCCAGTATTCCAATTTGGAATAGGGAGGCTGGCATAGTCTCTGTTCAAGTCACACTGATCTGCTCTATCCCGTTTCCCTCTTCCAGATAATTTTTTTTATTTTATAGGCATCGTAACACAATAACCACGTGTTATTCATTGATGACTACAAGAATTCTTTGCACGTGGCTCGATTTTTCTGTTAATGAGTTATAAATGAATAGAGGAACTATATTATTATGGAATCATAGTCTTATATTTAGCTGGAAGTCAAGAGATCATATAGTCCAACTACCTTCTACAGATGCTGAGGAAAACTGAGGCTAGAATAAATTAAATTCATCTCCTGATACTCACTTACCACATACGCCGGATTAGGACTAGGAAACTGGAGCGCCTACCTCCCAGTCTTTCTCTTTTGTCAACACACTATACTGCATCCACTTGTTGACTTGTGAGTGGGTGAAAATTTCCAGTTATCTCAATAAAATGAACATTGCAGGCCAGGCGCGGTGGCTCACACCTGTAATCCCAGCATTTTGGGAGGCCAAGGCAGGTGGATCACGAGGTCCGGAGATCTAGACCATCCTGGCTAACACGGTGAAACCCCATCTCTACTAAAAAAATACAAAAAATTAGCCGGATGTGGTGGTGGGAACCTGTAGTCCCAGCTACTAGGGAGACTAAGACAGGAGAATGGCGTGAACCCGGGAGGCGGAGCTTGCAGAGAGCCGAGATCGCTCCACTGCACTCCAGCCTGGGAGACAGAGCAAGACTCCATCTCAAAAAAAAAAATGAACATTGTCCAATTGCTGTGAGAAGGAAGTCAGACAGCTGTCATTATGGAGTGATGGTGTGACAGGCATCTGAAATCACTGACCACATTCACTCTTGGGAAGGCAGACTTCCTTACCATCTTTCTCAACATTTTGCTTGGGCTTAATTCATAGATGAAATGCATTCATAGAATAGACCAGCCTTCCCAAAATATATGACCCAATCACACTACCAGACACGGCTTCTGAGATCAACAACTCAAGTAGCTTCTTCTCTGGCCTTTCTCTCCTGAGAGGGTGATGCTAGGAGTACTCCAAGAGGGTCACTGTCACAACTATCACCCAGATGCCATCAGGGTTGGCACATGCAGAAAAAAATGAACTTTATAGATACAGTAAGGGCTTATTTGTTGATGAGGCGGTGGACTAGTTGGGAGCTTATTTGAAAAATACATTGCTTGAAAGCCTAGCTTTAAAAATAAAGTTAGCCAGGCCCAGTGGCTTACCCCAGTAATCCCAGCACTTTGGGAGGCCAAGGCAGGTGGATCACCTGAGGTCAGGAGTTCAAGACCAGCCTGGCCAATATGGTGAAACCCTGTCTCTACAAAAATACAAAAATTAGCCGGGCGTGATGGCGGGTGCCTGTAATCCCAGCTACTCGGCGCTGAGGCACGAGAATCACTTGAACCCAGGAGACGAAGCCAGCAGTGAGACATGATCACCGGTGCACTCCAGCCTGGGCACAGAGCGAGATTAAAAAAATACAATTGACCCTTGAGCAATGCAGGGGTTACAGGTGCTGACCCCTTGCACAGTCAAAAATACACTTTAACTTTCCTAGAACATTAACTACTAATAGTCTACTGTTGACCAAGCCTTATCAATAACAGAAACAGTCAATTAATATATTTTTTTGTTACATGTATTATTTTATTCTTATCAAATAAGCTAGAGAAAAGAAAATGTTATTACGAGAAAATCTATTCACTAAGTGAAAGCGGATCCTCATAAAGGTCTTCACCCTTGTCGTTACCACTTTGAGTAGGCTGAGGAGGAGGAGGTGGGGGTGGGAGGGCTGGTCTCGCTGTCTCAGGGGTGGCAGAGGCCAGATAGGTAGAGGAAGTGGAAGGCTGAGCAGGAGAGGCAGGCATTCTTGGTGTCACTTTTATTGAGAAAAATCCGTGTATAAGTGTCCATGTTGAGGAGTTCAAACCCAGGTTGTTCAAGGGTCCTCTGTATATCTGTCATTTCATGCCAGTCTGGAAAAGATAGGTTACTCAACACACAGTTTAGGGAAAGTCAGGGAGTCATCTGGAAAAATAAATTCAGTTGATCTCTACCCAGCAACTTATACCGAAGTATATTCCAGGTAGATAAATACAGGATATATGTGTGTGTGCGTGGGCAGGGGGGAGTGTGTCTATTTTTTCCCAAGTATGAATTTCTACTCATATGTTTCCTTTTTTATTGCTTTTTTCACCTTATTTATATATTTCTAGGAAAGAGAATTTGCAACAGTTGTCAAATATATACTCTGAAATTATGGAGCAGTCTTACATGAATGTATACTTAAAATAATAGCTTTTATTACTATTATTTTTTTTTTGAGACGGAATCTTGCTCTGTCGCCCAGGCTGGAGTGCAGTGGCGTGATCTCAGCTCACTGCAACCTCCGGCTCCCAGGCTCAAGCGATTATCATGTCTCAGCCTCCCGAGTAACTGGGGATTACAGATGTGCACCACCATGCCTGGCTAATTTTTGTATTTTTAGCAGAGATGGAGTTTCACCACGTTGGCCAGGCTGGTCTCAAACTCCTGACCTCAAGTGATCCACCTGTCATGGCCTCGCAAAGCGCTGAAACTATAGGCGTGAGCCATCACACCAGGCCAAAATAATAGCCCTTCATCTTACTACATAGACATTTTTTAAAAAGCAGATCTGTTTACATACATTAACATGATATGACATCCATTATATGACATTAAGGGGAAATAAATTTTTGCCCTCAAAAATAGTTTGTCTAAATAATAAAAATTATATTCCACTATTTGTGTATTTTTCCTAAAAATAAGAGGTCATGCTATAGATGTTGACATATGTATTTGTGTAGATGAAAGCACAGAAGAAGTATGGAATTTCATGACTGTGACACTAAAAGCATGGTCAAAAAAAGCAACAACAGACAAAGGGAACTACATCAAGCCAAAAAGCTCCTGCACAGCAGAGGAAACGATCGACAGCGTGAAGATGCATATTCTGCGGAACGAAAGAAAATGCAGTGGCCCCTCAGCGTCTGCAGGAGACTCATTCCAGGACCTCCTGCAGATACCAAAATTCAGGGATACTCCAGTCCCGGAAAAAAAATGACATAATATTTGCATTAACCCTGCACATCCTCCTGTATACTTATAAATCATCTCTAGATTACATGTAATACCTAATACAATGTAAATGCTATGTAAATCGATGTTATACTGTGTTGTTTAGAGAATGACCCAAAAAAGCCTACATTTGCAGACTTTCACATTTATTATTTATTTTTAAGTATTAAAGTATTTTTAATGCTCTTGCTTTTTTCCCCCACACTCTGCATGTGGCATCCAAATAGTTAACATTCTAAATACAAAAAAACTTCAAAAATAGAAAACTTAGAGGTTTTGGCAGACTGTAGAACCTGACGAAGTGGGAGTCGGGCTGGAGGTGAGGGTGAGCAGAGAGCCAATCACAATAGGCTTCTGTGTTACGCCAAGTTTTGAAATTCTTTCTGTAATCGATGGGAATTGCTAGAGATTTTAGGCACAGGAGTGATAAAATTATAAAATATTATATAACATTTTCAGAAGATCAAAGAACCACACATGTGAAAGAAATACAAATAACATGAACACCCCAGCTTTTTCTTTATAAATGAGAAATTAGGAAAAAATAAAGGAAAATCTCTACCATCATGGAATTTATATTTTAGTAAGGAGAAGCATAAGATCAAAAACAGATATATATTAAGTAGTTATAAGTGCTAGAAAGAACAATTTTTAAACAAGGTAAGGAACATAATTTTTTTTTTTTGAGACAGGGTCTCAGTTTGTCACCCAGGCTGGAATGCAGTGGTGCAATCATAGCTCATTGTAGCTTCAGGCCCCCAGGGCTGCAGTGATCCTCCCACCTCAGCCTTTTGAGTTGCTGGGACAACAAGTGCACACCACCATGCCTGTATAGTTTTTATTTATTTTATTTTATTTGTAGAGATATGTTCTTTGTATGTTGCCCAGGCTGACCTCAGGCTCCTGGCCTGAAGCCATCCTCCCACCTCCGCCTCCCAAAGTGCTAGGATTACAGGTGTGACCCACCATGACTGGCCCCATAATGAGTCTTTTAAAAAATATTTTTGATCCACGGTTGATTGAATCAACAGATGCAGATCCCATAGATTTGGAGGGCTGACTCTGTTTGCAAATCACATGTCAGATAAGGGGTTAATTCCCAAGATATATAAGGAACTTCTATAACTGAATAGCAAAAAAACTAATAGCCAGATAACAATATGGACCAAAGAGTCAGATATTTCTCCAAAGAAGACATAGAAAGGCTAACAGGTATATGAAAAGATGCTCAATATCACTAATCATCAGGGAAATGCAAATCTACAATCACAAAGAGAGCACCTCTCACCTGTTACATGGCTATTATCAAAAAACAGAAAACAAACAAAAAACAGACAACAAAAGTTGGGGAGGATGTGAAGAAATTGGAACCCCGTTGGTGGAAATCCAAAATAGGGGCAATTGCTATGAGATGAGGGACCAGGCATGGTGACTCATGCCATAATCCCAGCACTTTGGAAGGTCAAGGTAGGAGGATTGCTTGAGAGCAGGAATTCAGCCTGGGCAACATAGCCAGACCCTTCTCTACAAAAAAACTTCTTTTTAAATTAGCCAGGCGTAGTGGTCCATGCTTGTGGTCCTTAGTCCAGCTGAGGTGGGAGGATCATTTGAGCCCAAGATGTCAAGGCTGCAGTGAGCTGTGATAGTGCCACTGCAATCCAGCCTGGGCAACAGAGTAAGACCCCGTCTCAAAACAATTTAAAAAATAGCGGAGATGAGGAAACAATTAAATGTCCATCGAGGAATGAATGGATAAAGAAAATGAGATCTACACATACCAATACATATATTGAATGCACTATATTGAATATACTCTCTTGAATATACTATACATATTCAAGTCAGTCTTGAAAAGGAAGGCCTGTCATATGCTACAGCATGGATGGACCTTGAGGACATTATACTAAATGAAATAAGTCAAGCACAGAGAACAAATACCACATGATTCCCCTTCTACAAGTTACCTGACATAGTCAAACTCAGAAGCAGAAAGTAGAAGGGTGGTTTCCAGGGACTGGGGGAGGGAAAAGTGAGAAGGTGCTAAACTGAGTTGGGGAGGCCAGGCACGGTGGCTCATACCCATAATCCTAGCACTTTGGGAGGCCAAGGTGGGCGGATCACTTGGGGGATCACTTGAGGTCAGGAGTTCGAAACCAGCCTGGCCAACGTGGAGAAACCCCGCCTCTACCAAAAATAATTTTTAAATTAGCCAGGCGTGGTGGTGAGCATCTGTAATCCCAGCTACTTGGGAGTCTGAGGCAGGAGAATCGCTTGAACCCAGGAGGCGGAATCGTGCCATTACACTCCAGCCTGGGCGACAAGAGTGAGACTCCATCTCAAAAAAAATAAAAAAATTAAAATTAAAAAATAAAACGAAGAGTGGGGGAACAGTTTGAAACCAAGGGTTTGAGACCAGCCTGGGCAACATAGAGAAACCCTGTCTCTAAATATAAATATATATATATATATATATATATATTTAGCTAGGAGTGGTGATGTGTGCCTATAGTCCCAGCTACTTGGGAGGCTGAGGTATGAGGATCTCTTGAGCTCAGGAATTCAAGGCTGCAGTGAGCTATGATTGTCACTTCATTCCACCCTGGGTGACAGAGCAAGACCCTGTCTCCAAATACACACACAGACACACACACACACATATACCTTCTAAATAATTTGTCAGCAGTTTTTTCAGTAAAGAAATATTGGAGAATAGAGTAGGAGCTAAGAAATGTGAGGTGTGACTTGGAGTAAGCCAATTAATGAAGCAATTTTCCTCAGCTTTAAGGATAAAATTGTCTCTGAAGATTGGTTTCAGCTGTGATATAATAAAATTTTTTAATAGTTTGCAACTTCAATGGCAGCTTTTATTTATTTAACGATTAGATATTGCGCCTCTATTATATAGAGAGCAATGAGCTCAGTGCTGAAAGTGACTAAAAATTATTTCTCTTCTTTGGGAGCAGAAGATATACGTGCAAAAGAAGAAGAAAAATCTACGAAATGAAAAGACGTGTGCCCTGAGAGTGGTAGAATTTAAATTAATTAACTGCTTTGGCATTTTAGTGGCGGGAACATGACATTCTTGCTGGAACAATTAGAAAAAACTTCCGGGAGAAATGGTATTCGATCTGGACCTTTACGGACTAACACGTATTTCAACTGAAGAGATAAGCTACTATTTAGGAGTGAGAAAACTCACTGAATATTTCAGAAATAAAATGTGTAATCTGATTGACGGTGAGTCAAAATATTACAAACAAACAAACAAAAATCGCAACACTCTTGTTATCTCTGAAATATTTAAAGACACAATTCAGCTTGACAATATTCGCCTTTAACATTACACAGCAAGACATGGGGCCATATCTGTGGGGAAGGTTCCGGGCACTGTAACTGCACAGGTTTCCTGGTGTGTGGAACCCAGCCACTCTCAACCAGTTGCCCAGCTTGGACACTGGGAGGTGCTCTCTAGAGCTTCCATCTGCGTAGCTTCCCTGAGGATTTAGGGGGAGGTGCTTTGTTTGTTTCTGGAGAATAAAGGCTATATTGTTCATCCCCTTGCTTTAATAAATGTTAAATGAAGAAAATTTCCTTGTTTCAGGCTTTCTGCTGGGTGCTTTATGTACTTGTCTCTTAAAGAGATTTAAAAAAATGGGGGAGAAGTCAAAAAGAAATTGTGTAAGTTGGGGAGCCTGGGCAGGAAACTTTGAAAAGCAGTTCAAACAAATAAGACAAATAAGAATTTAAACACTTGGTTGACATTTAGGAGTTATAGTCTAAGGCCAGGCGCGGTGGCTCACGCCTGTAATCCCAACACTTTGGGAGGCTAAGGTGGGTGGATCACCTGAGGTCAGGAGTTCAAGACCAGCCTGGCCAACATGGTGAAACCCCATCTCTACTAAAAATAGAAAAATTAGCCGGGCATGGTGGCAGGCATCTGTAATCCCAGCTACTTGGGAGACTGAGGCAGGAGAATCACTTGAGCCCAGGGGGCAGAGGTTGCAGTGAGCCGAGATCATGCCATTGCACTCCAGCCTGGGCGACAAGAGTGAGACACCGTCTCAAAAAAAAGGAGTTATAGTTTAACTTCTTCCCTCATTCTAATGCAGATTCTGGGGTTTGAGATTATTAGAGATAAATAATTTGAATTACTACCATGTGTATAGGATTTAATATTGGTAAAGAATAATAGCAGATTAATTTAGAAAAACTCTTGAGATCAAAGGTCACTTGTTCTGTGCTTGCTTCTATCACTTAATTCTGCAGGAATTATTAAAAACCTTTTAAGTTCTAGGTGGTGTAATACACCCAGTATATTAGGAAATAAATAATCATCCCACATTAAACTAGTATTTTATAGGGAAACAGATGCTTAAGTATATACACGTTGTTTCCTCATCTGTTTTTTTTGTTTGTTTGTTTGTTTGTTTGTTTCTGTAGAGACAGAGTCTTGCTATGCTGCCCAGGCTGGCCTTGAACTCCTGGGCTCAAGTGATCCTCCTGCCTCAGCTTCCCAAGTAGCTGGGACTATAAGTGCACACCACTTCCTTAATGAGAAAGTCCACTTTTTGCTTTTCTTAGGGAAATCTTTTTTTTTTTTTTTTTTTTGAGGCACTCTCTCTCTGTCGCCCAGGCTGGAGTGCAGTGGCGCAATCTCGGCTCACTGCAACTTCCTCTTCCCAGATTCAAGCAATTCCCTGCCTCAGCCTCCCGAGTAGCTGGGATGACAGGTGCCCACCACCATGCCCGGCTAATTTTTGTATTTTTAGTAGAGACGGGGTTTCACCATCTTGGCCAGGCTGGTCTTGAACTCCTGACCTTGTGATTCACCCGTCTTGGCCTCCCAAAGCGCTGGGATTACAAGTGTGAGCCACCGCGCCCGGCCCAGAAATCTTAACATTTATCCATAAGACTCTACCTCTCACCCCCCTGCAAAAAATAGGATCTTTAACGGAAAGAAACGAGACTAGTTGTTCTAATGGCACCCAATTCTTGCCAGACACCATTCTGAACACTTTCAACATGTGACCCTGTGAGGTGGACATGAGTTCCTGCCCCATTTACAGATGAGAAAACAAACTCTAGTTATGTGAGTTCTCTTAGATTCACAGAGGTGGCCTTTTTTTTTTTTTTTTTTTTTTTTTTTGAGATGGGGTCTCCCTTTGTTGCCCAGGCTGGAGTGCAGTGGCTCGACCTCTGCTAACTGTAACCTCTGCCTCCCAGGTTCCAGCGATTCTCCTGCCTCAGCCTCCTGAGTAGCTGGGATTACAGGTGCCCACCACCACGCCTGGCTGATTTTTTTTGTTTTTAATAGAGACGGAGTTTCTCCATGTTGGTCAGGCTGGTCTCAAACTCCTGACCTTGTGATCCACCCACCTTAGCCTCCCAAAGTGCTGGGATTACAGGCGTGAGCCACTGCGCCCGGCCCAGAGGTGGCCTTATTTCAGAGTCCAGGCTATCAACCACAGAGCCATGCTGCCATTTCCACAGAACTGAATGAGCCACAAATGCAGAACTCAAGGAGTTTGGCTGGCAACCAGACTCCTTGAGTTTTGTGACCAAAAGGAGGCTTGCTGGGCAAGGATCCTGTCAAGTCCGTCCCTGGCAGTGGATGGGCTGAGGTTCCCCTGGCCCCTGAACTATCCAATAATAATTGGTGCCAGATGCTGCCTGGGGACACTCCTCCCATGCTCATTGATTACTTGTAGCCGCAGTTGGTAAGGCCAGAGAAGAGAGCGCTTACTTCTAGGTAAGTTTATGACAGGGCTTTCAAAAGGAGCCAGCAAGGCCAGGCACCGTGGCTCACGCCTGTAATCTGGGCATTTTGGGAGGTCGAGGCAGGCAGACCACCTGAGGTCAGGTGTTCGAGACCAGCCTGATCAACATGGATAAACCCAGTCTTCACTAAAAAATACAAAAGGTAGCTGGGTGTGGTGGCACATGCCTGTAATCCCAGCTACTCGGGAGGCTGAGGCAGGAGAATCACTTGAACCTGGGAGGCAGAAGTTGCAGTGAGCTGAGATCACGCCACTGCACTCCAGCCTGGGCAGCGGAGCGAGACTCCGTCTAAAAAAAACAAAAAAAGAATCAGAATTGTTGTCACTTTTCAGGTGATTCTAACATGCAATGAAGTTAAGAAGTTAAGAATCACGACTTTCACAAATAAAACCACCTCACAAAGACTGGGTTCCCAGGCAGCTGGAGGCTGGCACCCGGGGCATGCTTTTATTCTGCCTCTTAGCAAAACTGTGCCTCCCTCCCCTCATTCCAAATGAGAGTTCCCAGATGAGTGTGGGTAGACAGTAACATTCTGAGGGAGGTGTAGGGTGGAGGGAGGAAAGTCCCAGACAACTTCTATACAGGCTAAGAATGGCAAGTGTGACTCAGTCAGAGTGTGACTCAGAAGATGAAGGCATGTGATCGTGAGCTGACATTAAAGACAAATTCCTGTTGCTGCAAAAAAATCAGGTCAAGATGAGAGGTTTTTATTGATTTTTCTCTCCTTAATCCTTCTCTTCCTCCCTGCAAAGTATGAAGGCTAGCTTGGATCTACCAGATTTCAAGAAAGAGCTGACTTGTTCTATCCATTCGCATCATTTGATCAAACCACTTGTAATTGCAGGTGCACGCAGGCCTTGCTGTGAGTGCCTCTAGGGAGATGGAAAGGAACATCTGGTTATGGCTCCAAGGTTTGCTGTGCAGTAGGGGATGATGGCTGAGATGGCAAAGCATCTGAGATGTCATGTAATGGATTTCAAGAATAGCATATGTGAGATGCACCCAAAAAGCCTGAAGGCTTGTGTTGACAGAGTTGATGCTCCTGTGTGAGACTCGTGTTCTGTCTCAGCAACACAAGTCTCTCTCAAAATTCATCACTGGGAAGGCAAAAGTCATCTTCAAGGTAAGATTGTCTACTCTGAAAATTTCAGGCTGGGAGCAGTGGCTTACGCCCATAGTCCCAGCACTTTGGGAGGCCGAGGTGGGCAGATCACCTGAAGTTGGGAGTTCGAGACCAGCCTGACCAACATGGAGAAACCCCGTCTCTACTAAAAATACAAAATTAGCCTGGCGTGGTGGCACATGCCTGTAATCCCAGCTACTCGGGAGGCTGAGGCAGGAGAATCGCTTGAATCCGGTAGGCAGAGGTTGTAGTGAGCTGAGATTGTGCCACTGCACTCCAGCCTGGGCAACAAGAATGAAACTCTGTCTCAAAAAAAAAGAAAAAAGAAAAAAAGAAAATTTCAGGGGTTCATTCTTGATCATTCTTTCCGTCTTTGAAGACGTGGGGTCTTCAAAACAATTCCTACTAGCTCATTCATTTTCTATCCCTGACCTGTCAACAACGGAGACTCAGGAGCCCCAAAAGCCCCGTTTTGACTGACAGTAATGCTAATTTCCACATTCTAATTCACGCCTAAATTTATGCTTACTTTTGACTTTATAGCTCTAGCATAGCAACCTCCAAGAGAGGATAATCGTTATCCTTTTCAGAATGAGGCCCAAGAAATCCGGAATTCTCTACACAAGGCAATGGTCTCACAAGCGGACAACTGCCTCGGCAGAGAAAAATGAACAGGTGAGTATGCTTGGGGCTCTTCCGAATAAGGATGGCCGCTTGATTAACGAGGAGTCTTCAGTGAGTCCAGGGTCACAGGCTGCAGCTTCTCCTCACCACAGTGTAAACACCAATTTGGCCAAATGTGAGCACCCAAACTATATAAAGGCCAGAAAATATAGCGAGTTCTTGCCTCAAGGAAACTATCCTCATGGAAGAGTCAGAAAAGTCACTGGACAGTCATGATCTAGAAACTATGGTAAAATGGCTGTAGTGAGTACACAAAGCACCAAAGCCAGAAACAGTTTCAAAGAAATAGTTAAGGATTCTACTCAAGCGTCACTTCTTCCATCCTAATAGGGTTTGAAGGAACAAGAAGGCTCAGAGGGCACCATTATTACGTAGAAAGGACTGGAAGGAGGAGTAAGTCAAGCTCCTCATCAGCAAAAGTTATTTGGGAGAAAATAGGCAGGGCCTTGCACATCTAAAAAATGTGTACTTAATTCCAAAGTAAATATATATCCACCAAAGTGGTAAACAAGAGATTGGCAGAGAAAGATTATTTTTTATTTATTTATTTATTTATTTTGACTGGCTTCAGGTTGGGATCAAAATAGTTTACACTGTCACAAAACTTGATATTTGGTTGCAGTTCTCAGCTAGAAGCTGGGCTGGGGTAGTGGCAGTGGGATAGAGATAAGTGGACTTTAATGTTGTATAAAGTCTTAGACATGCAGGGCACGGTGGCTGACACCTGTAATCCCAGCACTTTGGGAGGCTGAGGCAGGCGAATCACAAGGTCAGGAGATCAAGACCATCCTGGGCAATATGTTGAAACCCTGTCTCTACTAAAAATACAAAAATGAGCCAGGCGTGGTGGCACACACCTGTAGTCCCAGCTACTCAGGAGGCTGAGGCAGGAGAATCGCTTGAACCCAGGAAGCAGAGGTTGCAGTGAGCCGAGATCATGCCATTGCACTCCAGCGTGGGCGACAGAGTGAGACTCTATCTCAAAAAAAAAAAAAGTCTTAGATAGCTAAAACTTAGTAATTAACTATAGAAATATGACGCAGATAGTCTTTCCTAGACAATACTGGCATTCCTGAAAAACTGAGTGGATGTGGTTGCCTTTGACACGGGGAGAGAATGGTGTATATATATGTACATGTTTCATCTTGGACACCTTGACTTTGAGGTGTCCTGCACAATATCTGGATAGAGAGCTCCAGTGATCAATATGTACATCCTTATGAGCCTGAAGACGAACAGAGGGACCTAAACTAGAGATGAAGTTCTGGCATACAGAAGGTAGCTGAAGACTAGATCACAGGTAACTGTCCAGAAAGAATATGTAGAATGGGGAGTCTCCACTGTCATGATTATAGAAGGCAGGTGAAACTCAAAGTTCAAATAGATCTTAAACATCCTTGGGAATTGTCCTACGAGGATTAGAAATCAACTGTAGGGCTAAAAATAACATGTTTCTATAATGCAAAGTAAAGGACTTGTTTTAGTATGACAAGAAAATCATGTTGATTCAAACATGTCCTTTCCCTGGCACACTGAAGTTTGGTTGTAAGTAAGAGCAGTCGAAGGCAGAGAACACTAACGCAGCCAAGGCAGCAAGCCCTCAGTGGGGTGATCTCTCTGCTATGATGAGATCACGACAGCCATCCACACCACACTCTTCTTGGCTCAGTTTGACCAGATACTCTGTCATAGAGATGCTGATTTTGCTGTTCCTATGTGCCTCTTGTCCTGGCCACCCTAACTCGGCAGCCTCAACCCTTTCCCAAATTTCTTATCAAATAACTTTCACTTCCAAAAAAAGCAGATTCAATAGTTACCCTGTATTTTTGTTTTTGTCGTTGTTAGAAGTTTATGTGTCCTCGACTCTATATGTGGCCTTTTTTTAAGGGCTGTTAACATTTTGTAAGCATCTGGTTTGAGTTGTATAGGGATTGAGTGTTCCACTCTAACTCTTACGGAAGCACTATTATTTTAATACATTATCTGGCAGAGTGGGGTGTCTTTTTGTTTGTTTGTTAGGAAAATACATTGCACGTAGCAGAAATGCCTATATATGGAAAAATGCATTATTTCATCCAGATCAAACTCTAGATTTAAATGAAAAAGGCATTTGAGTATATTAAGAGCCAAGAAAATGCAAAATCTATCAAGTGATGTGTGTATGTTACTGAGAGGGGTGTTTTGAGCTTCATGAATAGAAAGCTTGAAAGGTTATGAGGTCACTGATGTACGGTAAGAATTCAGTGGGCCTACCGGGGCCTCTGACCAAATCCCAGTCAGCATCCTCACAAACGTATCTGGTCATTATGTCACTTCAAGCAGGCTGCAAAAGAAATACCAAAAAATCACATAGGAAGGGAAGCATCAGCATCATGTGGTGGGAGGTCAGTTCCGTGGTGGGTGCTGAGGAGAAGCACCCTGGGTATCTGCTGCCTTAGAGTTCACGCCCAGCTGAAATGTCCAACCCAATGACAGTGATTCCCTAGAAGGCTAGTGCCTTTTAACTGAAAGAAGTACCATAACCAGAGTCTTCGTACTTTTGGATATGTAAAAATCTATTTAGTTTTGCTTGTGATATTTAGGAGAACTCAGCTATGGAAATAACCAAGTAACTCCAATGTAAAACATATAATTGAGTCATTGATTTAGATTTGTGATTCTAAGTTGAGGTTTAAATATATACAAAGCATTGTGATGTTTCAGAATATCAGGTTCACTATTTTTATAAGTTTGATTTATCATATAAGAATTTTGGGCCGGGTGCGGTGGCTCATGTCTGTAATCCCAGCACTTTGGGAGGCTGAGGCGGGTGGGTCACCTGAGGTCAGGAGTTTGAGACCAGCCTGGCCAACATGGTGAAACCCTGTGTCTACTAAAAATACATAAATTAGCTCGGCATGGTGGCGTGTGCCTGTAATCCCAGCTCCTCAGGAGGCTGAGGCAGGAGAATCGCTTGAACCCAGGAGGCAGAGGTTGCAGTGAGCTGAGATCACGTCACTGCACTCCAGCCTGGGCAACAAGAGCAAAACTCCATCTCAAATTAAAAAAAAAAAAAAGAATTTCTTGCTGAGGAAGGATATTTTTCAAGTCAGACAATTAAACTATTTAAAAATATTGACTACGTTCATTGATAACTATATCCTCACTATATAAAATGGTCTAGCTTTGTAAACGAGACCAAGCATAAGGGTCTTTGAGTGGTAAAATTTACTAGAATTATATAACAACTCTAAACAAACTTAAAAGTTTAAGAAAACCTATTTTGGGGTTTGGCTTTATAAATACAAACCTTCCAGATAGTCTACGTATAAAAATACTGCCCTTGTGGCTCCCCTAACCTTTATATAAATTCACTTATGATATAAGATCTGCTACAGAGCCATGGGAACCTCCATGTAAAATGCTAACCTTTGCAAAACCCTCAAGATTTTGAAAGGACCAGACCAAAGGCACTTCTAGATGATAAGAAGAAACAAAGAAAAAAATTAAAAGAAAGGAAAAAGAAAAAAAAAGAAGAAACAAAAAATTTATTTGTTTTGTACTCGGTAATAGTTTTCCTTTTAAACCACCAATCATTTTGAAGAAGAAAGCAAGCTTTCGTTCATCTATTTGCCCAACGATGACTACTTTTAGAAGTGAGCTGCGAGGATTAATGGAAGATACCTCAGGGTAAAGGGCATCTACCCCACTTATTGCTTCTCAGCTTGAGCTTCCTCCGGGAAGCATTTCCAAGTCTCCTTGGTTAATTAAGTTCCCCCTCTGATACAAGAGCTCATAGTTCTTCCTATCTCTCCTTCAATGCCTTAGTGTTGCCATTTGTCTCTTGCCTTAGACTGTAACTCCCTTATGTCAGTGCTTTTCATACTATTGACCACGACCCACTGGAAGAAACACAGTTTTACACGACATGGGACATGCAACTGATGAAACACTTTTATCTTTGCTGCAGAAAAAGTGCCCTGAATCTTTTTTTTTGAGATGGAGTCTCACTCTGTTGCCTTGGCTGAGTGCAGTGGTGCAATCTCGGCTCACTGCAACCTCCACCTCCCACTCCAAGGATTCTCCTGCTTCAGCCTCCCGAGTAGCTGGGATTACGGGGCGTGCCACCATGCCCGACTAATTTTTTAATATTTTTTAGTAGAGACAGGGTTTCACCATGTTGGCCAGGCTGGTTTCGAACTCCTGACCTCAAATGACCTGCCCGCCTCAGCATCCCAAAGTGCTGAGATTACAGGTGTAAGCCACCACTCCCGGCCCAAATATCGTATTTTTTTTTAGTACTGGTCATGGTTAATTCAACTGACATAGCAACCTGCAGTCTAGAATAACTGGCCCAAGAGGAGGGGACTGTGTGTGTGTGTGTGTGTGTGGGTATTTTATTTTTCTCCACAAATTGCATTCTAACAGTTCTGTGCATATATATGGAGAGTAGCAACAAACAGATGCTGGATAAACAAAGGGCTGGATGAGAATTTCAACTACGTGTGTGTGTGCTGTGTGTCGGATTTCCTTTGAAGAAGGATTTATCTCCTTAAAGTGGAAAGCCACAGGTAACAATCTGTGACTACCTGTTGTTAGCCTCTGTAAGACTGAGAGCGGGTACGCCACTAACTTCGTGGAACGAACTTCAACCACGTGGATTACACAGTTAACTACCAGTAGTCAAACGTGAAACCTCTCGTGAATGAGTAGGAAGTGGAGAAAAACAAAGAAAATGCAAGAATCTGTCAATACCTGCAGGAGGCTTCTCTTATGCAGAATCTGGTCAGAAAAAAACGGAAACCATGATCGCTTCAGCAGCACATAAACTAAAATTGGAACTATACAGAGATTAGCAAGGCCCCTGTGCGAGGATGACACCCAAATTCGTGAAGCATTCCACGTTTTCTTAAAATAAGAAAATTCTTAAAATAAAATGTAAAACTACTGAAACTGGTAGCAATTTGTGCTCATTTCACTGAACATGTGAAGACATTTAGTTCATTGTCTTGTGTGAACAGGTATAGTGACAAGTAGGGTGAATTTTTGGAAAACAAATACTTTGTATCTTCTAAAGAACTTTGGTTCAGGGAGAGGGTTTCACCCTTGTAGGGGAAGGGTAAAATTTACTACTTTCTCATGAAAAAATCCTCACCGAGTATATTTTCTTTCTAGGTTAAGTTCTGTGTCAAAGCTATTCTAGGTTTGTGTTGAGGCTATCATTTTGGTCTAATAAAATAATTTTGAGTTAGAACAGAATTCTTGATTTGTTTTCTTTTTTTTTTAGATACAGTCTCACTCTGTCGCCCAGGATGGAGTGCAGTGGTGCTATCTTGGCTCACCGCAACCTCCACCTCCCAGGTTCAAGCAATTCTCCTGCCTCAGTCTCCCGAATAGCTGAGATTACAGGCATGTGCCACCATGCCCAGCTAATTTTTGTATTTTTAGTAGAGACAGGGTTTCACCATGTTGACCAGGCTGGTCTCGAACTCCTGACCTCAGGTGATCCACCCACCTCAGCCTCCCAAAGTGCTGGGATTACAAGTGTGAGCCACCACGCCCGGCTTGATTTGTTTCCTGAACCCAACATAAGATGTAGGCGTTGCTTGAAGAATCCACTTCTAATCCTCTTTCTTTATCTCCTTAGTCACTGAGCAGTTCAGTGGAGTGTCTGCGTCAGTTGTCTATTGCATTGTAACGGGTGACCACAAACTTAGCATCTGAAAACAACACCCATGTACGAGCTCACAGTTCTGCAGGCCAGAAATCCAGCATCCCATGACTGGGATCTCTGCTCAGGGTCTCAGAGGTTGGACAGCATGTATTCTTTTAAGTTTGGGGTCTTCTTCCAAGTTCATTTACATCGTTGACAGAACTCAGTTCCTTAAAGTTACAGGAGTGGATGAAGACCCCATTTTCTTGCTGACTGTCAATGAGAGTTGCTGTCAGAGGCCACTGTCCGCCACTGTCAGATCCCCGCCGTGTGTCTCTCCAGAATCCTTCTCCCAAGCCACCAATCCCTCACATTGTGTCTTCCTCACCACAAAAACCCAGTCTTTGTTGGGGGCTCACAGGAGTAGGTCAGGCCTATCCAGGGCAGTCTCCCTACCTTAAGGTCAATTGATTTGGCCTTAATTACATCTGCAAAATCCCTCACATCAACAACCAGATTTTTTTTTTTTTTTTTTTTTTTTGAGAGATAGTCTCACTCTGTCACTCTGTTGCCCAGGCTGGAGTGCAGTGGTGTGATTTCGGCTCACTGCAACCTCCACCTCCTTCCAGGTTCAAGCGATTCTCCTGCCTCAGCCTCCTGAGTACCTGGGATTATAGGTGCACGCCACTATGCCTGGCTAATTTTTGGAGGTTAGTAGAGACGGGGTTTCACCATGTTGGCCAGGGTGGTCTTGATCTCTTGACCTTGTGATCCGCCCGCCTCGGCCTCCCAAAGTGCTGGGATTACAGACATGAGCCACCGCTCCTGGCCAGCACCCAGATTAGTATGTGTTTGAAAAACTGGGAGAAAGTGTATGTGTACTAGTGGGTGAGAATCCTGGGGGCATTCTCATATTTCTGCCCACCACAGTGCCTCTTCTCTATCTGCCTGTGTCTAAGGGATGGCCTACTTACTGCAGGTATCCAGTGAGGGAAGGGAGTAAGGAAAACAAATTTTTTTCTTAGCATTACCTAAACAGAATAACTCCATCTTTGTTCACAGGCACCATTCCAAGATGAAGAACGTCCCCAAGGTGGTTTTGAGAAGGCCTGAGCATGCAGCAAGATGGTAAGAATGGATGAGAGAATTTTCAGGCGAAGTCAGCAGTGGCGCAGGCGAGCTGGCCTGGATTCACGGCTGTTCTATCACTGTACTGCACCTCCAAGCTTGGAGCAGTCAAGGGAAAAGACCAAGGCTTACCCATACAGGATTAAAATCAAATGAAACTGTCCATGGGACACAGGACTTAGATAGAAATAGCGGTTTCCTTCTATCCTCTCTCTTTTCAGGAACTATCAGTTTCAAGAAAATGCTTTTGGTTCGCAGGTTTTATGTTGCAGCTCTTCATTATTAAAGCCACATAGTCTAGAAGGCAGAGACAGTCTGAGTCCTCCTCCACGATTAACACTGCTTTTTCCATAGCTTTATCTCCTGTTCCTAAGCCACCTCCCCTCGCCATCACTGCCAAAAAACTCAGAATGATCCCATGAGTTATCCCAAACTCAAATAAATCCCATGCTCAGCTGTCCATGTTAGATCTTCCAGATCTTAACTTTAGGACAGTCAATGTATCCAATGTACTAGCTTCAGCTATGTGTGACAGTAAAAAGCAAAGTAACAGTGGCTTAAAACGGGTGGAAGTTTATTTTCCTCATTTAATACCCAGTAGGCAGAATGAATTCAGGGACCTCGACTCTCGTTTCTTCGACACATACAGCCTCCGTCCTACAGGATATCTGATGACCCAGTTTCTATCATTATGTTTACATTGAAGCCAGGCTCAAGAGGAGAAGGGTACACCCTCTCTCTTTGAGACTCTACAGAGTGACCAGGCGTGGTGGCTCACGCCTGTAGTAAACCCAGCACTCTGGGAGGCTAAGGCAAGTGGATCCCTGAGGTCAGGAGTTTGAGACCAGCCTGCCCAACATGGTGAAACCCTGTCTCTACTAAAAATACAAAAAATTAGCCGGGCATGGTGGCAGGCGCCTTTAGCCCAACTACTTGGGAGGCTGAGGCAGGAGAACCGCTTGAACCTGGGAGGTGGAGGTTGCAGTCAGCCAAGATCATGCCACTGCACTCCAGCCTGGACGCTGTCTTAAAAAAAAGAAAAAAGAAAAAAAGGACTCTACAAAGTGGCACAAAAACTTTGTGGTAGAACCTGTTGGCGAGAACATAATGACATGTCTATACATTGCTGTGGTGGGGGCTATGCTTTTTTCCCCCGCATTGTGACGACTGATTTTAGGTGTCAACTTGGCTGAATTAAGGAATGCCTAGAAACCTGGGAAAGCATTATTTGGGGTGTGTCTGTGAAAGTGTTTCTGGAAAAGATGAGGGTGAGAGTCACACTGGAGGGGATGGGGAAGATCTACCCTCAATCGGGTGGGCACTGAATCTGTGTGTCCATCTTCTGTGGTGGGATGCAGGCCCTCTTCCTCTCCTGTCCTTGTTCACCAGAACTCGGGGTTCCCAGGCCTTTGGGCCCCAGGACTTACACCAGCAGCAGCCGGGGTTTGCAGGGCTTCAGCCCTGGCCACGAGCCCCACCATCGGCCTCCCTGGCTCTAAGGCCTTCACACGTGGCTGGTCTCCGGCTGGAGACACACCCTCCAGCTGACACACCAGGGTGTGTCGCATCCTGGGACTTATCAGCCTCCTAATAGCATAAGCCAGTTCCCCTAATACACCTCCTCTCATGCATCTCTCTACCTATCCTACTGATTGTGTCTTTCTGGAGAACTCTAATCCCAGTGCCTAAACCCTGGATAGGAACAGAGCCCTTCCCTCACGGAGTCCTCAGATTTGCAGTGTGTGGTTAATCGAGGTGACCGTCTTGACAGGCTGATTCTCCTGCCATCGTGAGAACTCAGAACTTGACCTCTGGAGTCATTACTGGGGGTGCGTGTGGGAGAGAAGCGTGGCTGAGCAGTAGGAGTCAGGCAGGTATCTCGGAAGACAAAGTCGTCTCTTTCTCCAGTGTGGATTTGTATTTGCCGAGGTGCTTGGCAGACACCACTGTATTTTCTGTAACCACATTCTTTACTATTAGTTCCTCAAACAAAGCTTGTTACAGACAAGGAAGAGCTCTTCCTAGGTATTTGGGGGCTGTTTTCGTTTATGATGCTATTAGAGACTGCCTCCTACTCTGTTTGCCAATTGTGCCATTAGAACTCTGCATCCTGTCTTCTTTTTTTTCATTCCCACAATATGCGTGGGGATTCTGTACCATTAATTGTCTGCCCAGTCCACAAATCTTTAAAAAGAAAACTATTTTTAACCCTCTGAGAAAAAAAAATCCTGGATTAGGAGTCAGGGACTTTTGCACTAAGCAGATAGAATAATAGATAAAATGTAGGCCTGGCTCCTGCCTCCATTGTTTCTAGTTACAATCATAATGCGCACTGAAATAGTTACAGGCTAAAGAAGAAGTTATTTGGCAGTAATGATACCACTTACTTTCTTTCAAGATTGTAATCACCGTAACATTTAACCAGTCCCTACATTCTACCTACTACTGATGAAAAAGCATTGACAAAGCTAGCTCTATGTTCTAACAGGGCCAGCGCCGTGGCTCACGCCTGTGATCCCAGTACTTTGGCGGGGAGGATTACTTGAGGCCAGGAGTTTGCGACCAGCCTGAGAAACAAAGCCAGACTCTGTCTCTACAAAAAACTTTGTGAAAAAATAGCCAGGTGCAATGGCGTGTGTCTCTACTTAGGAGGCTCCGGTGAGAGGATTGCTTGAACCCAGGATGTCAAAGCCGCAGTCAGCCGTGTTGGTGCCACTGCTCTCCAGCCTCAGCAACAGAGGGAAAAACATTAATTTTAAGTATTAGATATATTGACTTGGTAATGATCAGAGATCAAGACCAAGCATTTAAGTTAGCATCTACACTAGTGGAAATGATATAAATATTAAGATTTAATAATGTGGGCCGGGCGCGGTGGCTCACGCCTATAATCCCAGCACCTTAGGAGGCCGAGGTGGGCGGATCATGAGGTCAGGAGATCGAGACCAGCCTGGCCAACATGGTGAAACCCCGTCTCTACTAAAAATACAAAAAATTAGCGGGCGTGGTGGCGGGCGCCTGTAGTCCCAGCTACTCAGGAGGCTGAGGCAGGAGAATCGCTTGAACCTGGGAGGCAGAGGTTGCAGTGAGCCGAGGGCACGCCATTGCACTCCAGCCTGGGGGACAAGAGCAAGACTTCATTTCAAAAGAAAAAACGATTTAATAATGTGAAAGAAACATATTTTATTCACATGCACACACACGAACTGTGATTACTACATACAGCCCATGGATGTTTCTGTCAGATTTATCCTTCTTCTACCTGCAAGAGGGATGCTCAGCTAAAATCATTTGCAGACAATTTTTTTGAGAATATAATACCAAGAGAATTATTAAGTTTTTAAAGAAACAAAACCTGAGAAAGCACACTAGGCCTAGGTAGATGTATCCCGTGTAAACTTCCGAATCTTAGAAAACAGTCTTTTGCATTAGCTAGTTTAGTCTTACAATGTTTACTAAAATATTTGTGTTTATAACTTTTCCCAAAGAGTTATATCCATAAGATCTTTTTACTTTACTACATGATCTCCACTACTTTTCTATAACTTCATGTTTGTATCCATTTTCTTTTTTTCTTTTCTTCTCTTTTTTTTTTTTTTTTTTTTTTTTGAGACAGAGTTTTGTCTTATTGCCCAGGCTGGAGTGCAATGACACGATCTCAGCTCACTGCAACCTCCACCTCCCAGGTTGAAGCGATTCTCCTGTCTCAGCCTCCCGAGTAGCTGGGATTACAGGCATGCACCACCAAGCCCAGCAAATTTTGTGCTTTTAGTAGAGCCAGGATTTCTCCATATTGGTCAGGCTGGTCTTGAACTCCCTGCCTCAGGTGATCCGCCCTCCTCAGCCTCCCAAAATGCTGGGATTTCAGGCGTGAGCCACCGTGCCTGGCTGTTTCCATTTTCTTTCTTTTTTTTTTTTTAATTTATTAATTTATTTATTTTTGAGATGGAGTCTCACTCTGTCGCCCAGGCTGGAGTGGAGTGGAGCGATCTCAGCTCACTGCAACCTCTGCCTCCCGGGTTCAAGTGATTCTCCTGCCTCAGTCTCCCGAGTAGCTGGGATTACAGGCACCCGCCACCACGCCCAGCTAATTTTTTGTATTTTTAGTAGAGACAGGGTTTCACTATGTTGGCCAGGCTGGTCTCAAACTCCTGAGCTCAGGCAATCTGCCCACCTCGGCCTCCCAAAGTGCTGGGATTACAGGCATGAGCCACCGCGCCTGGCCTCCATTTTCTTTATATAAGGTACTTTATGACTAAGAAGCAATCCATAGTTTATATCCTACCTGGTTAAATTTAAATGTGCATTACTCAGGGTGGCCCTGATGTTTTCTATCTCTGTGCTGCTTTCACCCTAGCAAACCACGCCCTTTTTCTACTTAACATTCACTTTAACCACTTTAACAAGAGAAGCAAAAAAGCAGTGTCTCTCCAGGATTGCACCGACAATACTGATCAACGGATCCATGCTAAGCCGTCGCAGCCAGGAAACGTAGTGTAAAGTTTAGTAAAGGGACTGAGTATGCTGAGGAAATACTCTTGTTTACATCACTACTAGGGCTACTATTGAAGGTGGATTTGGAGAAGGATTTCCTGCATTATATTTTGAGAGAAGATGGATAGTACTGATTTATTGATTTATTTTGTCTCTCAGCCATCTTTCTTCATTCATTCCAATCAGACTATGAAACTATGTTCACAGTAGTACAACCCTACTGTGTACTAAATTGAGTAGGTTGAATAAATTAACTCAACTGCATTAAGTTCTGCAAGACTAACACCTGGTTTTGTAAAAATATTTTGACGACATAAAATTTTCTTTTCTTTGCTTTTCTCTTTTTTGGAGGCAGAATCTTGTTCTATCCCCTAGGCTGGAGTGCAGTGGCTCGATCTTGGGTCACTGCAACCTCTGCCTCCCAGGTTCTCACCATTCTCCTGCCTCAGCCTCCTGAGTAGCTGGGACTACAGGTGCCTGCCACCACACCCGGCTAATTTTTTGTATTTTTAGTAGAGACAGGCTTTCACCATGTTGGCCAGGCTGGTCTTGATCTCCTGACCTCAGGCGATCTGCCCACCTTGGCCTCCCAAAGTGCTGGAATTACAGGTATGAGCCACCATGCCTGGCCAGATTTTCTGTTTGAACGAATATTGCCGGCATAATAACTTCTGGTCAAGTTTATTTATAAAGCTGCTTTTTTCTCTGAGATCCAATCCCTTACAACATTTGATGCCAGTCTTTTTAAACAGGTCCAGGTCCTGAAGGGTATCCAGATTATCACATAACTTTAAAGTGTGGAGGAGGCTTTTTGACTCCTTCTTTCAGGAGGGTGTAAAGATGCATATCCTCCAATGATAGTGAGCAGCATGTAGATTTTAGTATCTTGTTACATTTTTATTACTTATTTATTTTAGGGACAGGGTATCACTCTGTCACCCAGGCTGGAGTGCAGGGGCACAATCATAGCTCACTGCAGCCTCGACCTCTCTGGCTTGAGATCCTCCCACCTTAGCCTCCCAAGTAGCTGGAACTACAGGTGGGCGCCACCATGCCCAGCGATTTTAATATCTTGACAATGAGGCTTTATTGTTGAAACTGACTATAATGGAACAGAAAAAAATTCTTCCTAAAAATTTATACCAGTGGCCGGGCACGGTGGCTCACACCTGTAATCCCAGCACCTTGGGAGGACAAGGTGGGTCGATCACGAGGTCAGGAGATCGAGACAATCCTAGCCAATATGGTGAAACCCTGTCTCTATTAAAAATACAAAAATTAGCTGGGCATGGTGGCACACACCTGTAGTCTCAGCTACTCGGGAGGCTGAGGTGGGAGAATCACTTGAACCCAGGAGGCGGAGGTTGCAGTGAGCTGAGATCGTGCCACTGCACTCCAACCTGAGTGACAGAGCAAGACTCAGTATCAAAAAAAAAAAAATTATACCAGTGGCCTAAAAGTTTTCAGATAAACATTACATTAATAAAAGCTGAATATATGCCTTGATATCAATTACGCAATTACTACATTACTAATATATATATTATTAAACAAAAGAAACTGAAAAGGGCATCAAAGATCTCTTTATTTCCCATATGCCAATAATTCATCTCTACCACCTCCATCACCTTCCCGGCTGCACTCTCCCTTATGTAGAGGGCCGTGCTCTTGACTTTGCTGAAAAGAATGACTCTGGGTGAGGAGAGGAAGCATACTCATTCAGAGAGCAATTTCTGTTCTCATTACCACCCTCCTCGCTCCTACGTGTATTTCATCGAACCTCTCCTAATGCTCAGAGACTTGTGGAAGATGGTGACGGTGACTCATGGTGCAAGTGATGCTCAGCGTTCAGTGGCTTGCTGCAGGTCATGACAAGTGTGTGGCCAAGCTGGAATCAGAGCCCACGTCAGTCTAACTTCATCCATGAGACATGATGCTTTCCTCAGCCTGTGAACTTTGGCAAAAATCCGAAGTTTATTTGCTCAGGATTCACTGATTTCAGTTAAACCAGCCCGTTCCTTTTGCTGAGGGTATTCTGTCTGGTGAAAACCGATAGGGCTTGTCCCGGTGTTGTAATAGGTGAGGTGAAGGTGACCTCTTAATTCTGCTGGAATTGTTAGGAGGATTATCTTCCTTACAAAAGAGTGCAAGCAAACTGAACATGTTGGGTTCAGATAAGCATGCACTGACTTACAACAACAAATGGGTAACTGTGCTATCATGAGGTCGACCATAATGTTTGATTCTTTTTTTTTTTTTTTTTTGAAACAGAGTCTTGCTCTGTCGCCCAGGCTGGAGTGCAGTGGCTGTGATCTCGGCTCACTGCAACCTCTGCCTACCGGGTTCAAACGATTCTCCTGCCTCAGCCTCCCAAGTAGCTGGGATTACAGGTGCCCGCCACCATGCCCAGCTAATTTTTATATTTTTAGTAGAGACAAGGTTTCACCATGTTGGCCAGGATGGTCTTGATCTCTTGACCTTGTGATCCAACTGCCTCGGCCTCCCAAAGTGCTGGGATTACAGGCATGAGCCACAGTGCCCGGCCCCCATAATGTTTGACTCTTAATTTTTTTTTTTTTTTTTTGAGACAGAGCTTTGCTCTTGTTGCCCAGGCTGGAGTGCAGTGGCGCGATCTCGGCTCACTGCAACCTCCACCTCCTGGGTTCAAGTGATTCTCCTGCCTCAGCCTCCTGAGTAGCTGGGCATGCGCCCACGCCCGGCTAATTTTGTATTTTTAGTAGAGACGGGGTTTCTCCATGTTGATCAGGCTGGTCTCGAACTCCGGAACTCAGGTGATCCGCCTGCCTCGGCTTCTCAAAGTGCTGGGATTACAGGCGTGAGCCACTGCGCCTGGCCTGATTCTTAAGTTTTAATGCTTTCTTAAGCAAGGAAGAAGCAGTTGAACATGACTTCTGGACCTCTTAGAGCTGTGGGAAGTAAACCAGTGAGAGCCAAGCCCCTGCTTCTAATGGAGCAGCCTTGGAGAAAAGGAGCCAGAGAGAAGCCACACCTTCCAGATGAGTGATAACACTGGGACCACAACCAGCACACCCCCGCCTCCAGCTGTTCTTTTCTGGAATGGGAGGAGGTGGTAGTCTCCTGCCGCAGATTTGGTCCAAAGTAACAAATACAGCCTTGTTTGGCACCAGCCATACTCATCCCACCCAGAAGCCGAGAGTATGCCAGCCTGGGGCGAGTGGTGAAGGTGATGTGGCTAACAAAGGGGACAGGACTGTTTTTGTTTTGTCCTGGTTTTTTGAGACCGAGTCTTGCTCTGTTGCCCAGGCTGGAGTGCAGTGGCACGATCTTGGCTCACTACAGCTTCCGCCTCCTGGGTTCAAGCAATTTCCGGCTAATTTTTGTATTTTTAGTAGAGATGAGGTTTCCCATGTTGGCCAGGCTGGTCTCGAACTCCTGACCTCAAGTGATCCACCCGCCTCGGTCACCCAAAGTGCTGGGGATACAGGCATGAGCCAGAGTGCCCGGCTGGGATACGACTGTTATAAGTTCATGAAATGACTCAGGAGAACAATGACTCACTCATTCATAATTGTATTTGTTCTTTGACAGTGAAAAAAAACTACATTTCTTCAGGATTTTCATTTTAATGAAAAGTTTTCCTATGAAAAATCTAACTACCTTAAAATGATCTGTGTTCCTTGTAATGTGATTACTCTAGCCCTATGAAAGCATCTCGTGATAAATTGTCATACAAATTTGAGGCATCTTTTTTGTAAATTGTCAAGCCATTTGATTAATATTTAATAAGGACAAATAATTATAATAAGGAAATATCATGAAATTTGGCACCCGATTCAAATTCCATATCTTCAATTTTCTGCACCCAGTGCTCTTGGTCAATTACTTAATCCCGTGACTTAATCTCTACGTCATCTACTTCATCAGCTGCAGATGTACCTCACGGGGTTGGAGCATGCAACAGGTGGGGCATGTAACAGTAAATAAGGGTTTAGCACACTTTTTTGTAATGTTTTTAGAATTATCTTAAAATATTGACTCTTCTAGAATTAATAATTTAATTATTAATAAATATTTATTTAATAGTAAAACAGGCTTTAATAAGTATTTATTTAAGCATTTAATACTCTAAAACAGGCTTTAAGAGACTTCAAAACCTGACAATATGCTTGATGTTTATTTTCCATTTGATTCAAAGATTACAAAGTTTTCTTGTCAAGATGAGTAAGCTCAAGAGTTATGAAAGCTCAAGGGATGGTGAGAGTAAATGACAGAGTATCTGACAACAAGTATGTGTGAGTATCTTCACAGACGTTGGCCGTACCCAGGCTTAGAAGAGAAAGGAAGATTGGATTAGAAAAATAAGAGAAGTAAAGGAGGATGGACTGGCTGAGGAGGGGAGGGGGCACAGGAATAAATGTGGTCTATTTGAAGAAAGCTGGGGAATTGGGTTTTGGAAAAGAGAGTGGGTGTAGGTAATCATCTGAGATAAGAGAAAGGGTGTATGGCCAGGCGCGGTGGCCAGAACTTTTGGAGGCCAAGGAGGGTGGGTCACCTGAGGTCAGGAGTTTGAGACCAGCCTGGCCAACATGGTGAAACCCCATCTCCACTAAAAATACAAAAATTAGCTGGGTGTGGTGGGCGCCTATAATCCCAGCTACTCGGGAGGCTGAAGTGGGAAAATTGCTTGAACCTGGGAGGCGGAGGCTGCAGTGAGCCGAGATCGCTCCACCGCACTCCAGCCTAGGCAACAGAGTGAGACTCTCATCTAAAAAAAAAAAAAAAGAAAGAAAAAAGAAAAAGAGAAACGGTGTATTGAGATTCCATAAGGTAGAACCAGGTTCTGAAAGATCAGATAAGCAAAGCAGAAGAATTCTCATTATCCTGTCAGCAGCATAAAGAAAAAAACTCCCTGGTTTGATTAGCAGGGGATTGACTGACTGATGCAATAAAAACCCTCGGGGACAAAACTATAAAACTTAGAAAGCTGTGAAGAGTTCCTCCTCACTGAAGCCAAATATCAAGTATGAATTATCTGGGATTGTTCCCTGACCTCCCATCTGTGACAGATTCCATAGGCAGTTATCCCTACTCTTGGTTTTTCTTTCCACAGATACTGGAATGAACACTTCTCCAGCAAACGTTCTAGAAACTAACAAGTCAGGCATTATTTTCTACTAAGGAACAAACACAGTCTTGAGTGTTAGCTCGAAGGCTTCTTTCCTGTGAAATTGTCAATATACACTAGATTCATTAAGAAAGAAAACCCCAAACCTTAAGGAGCTAGAGGTGTTAGGCACTGTACATGGCACTGGAGATAAAACAAGATATTTATCCAACCAAGGTCAGGGCTATTAAGCATTTTCTGGGAGTCCATTAAAAATGTAAATTACGGACCCCACCGTAGATTTCTGGAATCAGAGACCCTGTGAAGAGGCTTGCGTTTTAATAAACTCAGGTGGTTCTAATGAGATTAATTGTGTGAATATGATAAGAAACTTCACAGACGCCTTCCTGATGGTGTGAGGGCGGGGCTGAGGGAGGAATTGAACAGATAAAATCTCTTCAGTCTCCACTGTTCCAGCTTTTTCCCTAAAGGAAATACCTTGGTTCGGTGTGGTGACTCATTCCTGTAATCCCAGTACTTTGGGAGGCTGAAGCAGGCAGATTGCTTGAGCCCAGGAGTTCAAGACCAGCCTGGGAAAAATACTGAAACCCCGTCTCTACAAAAAATACAAAAATTAGCCGGGTGTGGTCGTGCAGCGCCTGTAATCCCAGCTACTCAGGAGGTCAAGGTGGGAGAATCACTTGAGCCTGGGAGCTCGAGGCTGTAGTGAGCCGAGATTGCGCCACTGCATTCCAGCCTGGGTGACAGAGCAAGACCCTGTCTCAAAAAAAAAAAAAAAAAAAAAAAAGGAAATACCCAGGATTGCTACAAAGAAAGTAAGTGAGATTTTCTCTATAGATCATTTTCTTAATAATTGTTTCTTTAGATTTCTAAACTTGATCTTAGAATCTATGTGTGTGTGTGTGTATCTGTGTGTTATCAGGAAAAAGCCTGAAGAAAAATATTAGGAAAAACAAAATAAGGGTAGACAACATGCTGGGGACTTAATTCGTCAATTTTCCTTTGCTGTTTCTGTAAAAATATTTAGTCTCTGTCCCTCTCTCATTACACCTTCAATTTTTACTGGTTTAACATAAAATATCGTTTACAATATTTATTGTGCATCGAGTATGTCAGATGTAGACACAGGGCATCTCAAGGACTTAGTTTCTTATGGATGGAGAGTGACCCACAAGTAAACTTGTTCATAGAAAGATAAAATCTTTTCGCTACTAAGAAAATAAAATAAGGAGATGAGTAGTGGGAAGGTATTTCAAATTGAGTAGTGATGGAAAGGTCTCTCTTGGGAAGACATTTGAGCTGAGAACTGAAGAGAAGAAAGAAGAGGCAGCTGGAATTGCAAAAATATGAGAGAAGAGCTCTGTTGGCCACGGAAGGGGGAAGGGCTGTGATGAATTAGAGGCAGCTAGATTGACAGTGATGGGGGAAAGCTATAGAGAGATCAGAAGAAGGCAGGAGGCCAGATTGTATAGGACGGGGTTATTACCCACTTCGATCTTACTCTAATGCCATAGAAAGTGACCACAAACCTGCTCACTTGGTTTTGGTTTTAAAATAGTATTCTGGTGGTTGAGCAGAGAGGAGCTGGAGATGGACGAGGAGGGCAGGACAGAATATAAATTTGGAAAACAATAGTTGAATTGGTGAAAGGAAGGCTTAAACTGTGGCTCTAAAGGAATGAGTTTGGGGGAAGAGAGCCACTGGGTTGAGATCCTGAGCGGCTTTAGATATGTTAATTTTGAGTGCTCCTTAGACATTCTATTGCAAAAATGTTGGGAATTGGGCAGGAGATTGAAATCGGAGAATGGAACTTAAATCTTCAGAAACGAGTAAGATTACCTAGGGAGAGACCAGGACTGGGAGACCAGAACTCAACCTTGAAGCACCCCAAGATTGAGAGGTTCAGAGGATGTGGGACCAGAAAAGGCCACGGAGAACAAGACCAGACAAGTTAGAGGAATGTCAGCTGCAGACAGATGAGAGAAGAAAACATTCTAGGAAGAAGGGTGTGGTCAGCTATGTTAACTGCTGCTGAGAGCTCAAGGAAAAATTTGAGTTGGTGAATTTCTTTGTTTTGGTGACTCAGTGGAGTCATCTCGGACATGTTCAGGGACCTAAGACACGGGAAACCAGCAGGGATTTCAAAGACCTAAGCAGAAGAAAGGATGAGAGCATCAAAAACAAGGAAGGAGGGAGAAAGTATTTGCAACTCACACAATTTACAGGAACTTGGATCTATAGCTCTCTCTTAAAATTGACCCCTCCCTCCAAAAAGGCCAAACCTGATGGAATAAACTGAGAGAGAGGCTTGAACATAGACTTCACAGCAAAAGAAGTGAAAATGGTTTTTTAGCATATGAAAATAAAAGGCTTAGACATATTAATAATATAACAGATGGAAGTTGAAAATATATGAATACACTATTTCTCACCCAGCCAGTGGGCAATGATCCAAAAGTTTAACATCTTTTTAATTTGTTGCTTGGAGTGCAAAATTGTACAACTTTTGTGCTTGGGAAACTGACAAAACATATCAAAATTATGGATGCATTCATTCACAGTCCTATTTGTGGGGAATATGCCTTTTCAGGCCAAGATTCTCAACTTTTTGGAATCAGTACTCCTTTGCACTCATTATTGACGAAGATCCCAATAAGCTTTTGTTTATGAGCGTTAATATCTATGTTTACTGTATTAGAAATTTAAAACTGCATTTTATAGTTATTCATTTAAAATAATAAAAACAAGCCAGGCACGGTGGGTCACACCTGTAATCCCAGCACTGAGGCTGAGGCGGGCAGATAACCTGAGGTCAGGAGTTCCAGATCAGTGTGGCCAACACGGTGAAACCCCGTCTCTACTAAAAATACAAAAAATTAGCTGGGTGTGGTTTCACGCGCCTGTAGTCCCAGCTACTCGGGAGGCTGAGGCAGGAGAGTCGGTTGAACCCGGGAGGCGGAGGTTGCAGTGAGCTGAGATCGTGCCACTGTGCTCCAGCCTGGGCGACAGAGATTCGGTCTCAAAAATAAATAAATAAGTTAATAAAATAATAAAAACAAAAACATTTTTCTGAGAAAAAAGTTTTCGAGCTAAGTGGCTTTTTTAATAGAGAAAGCCAGAATTACAAAGGACTTAAGAAGGACATTGGGGCCCTTCTTCTTGCCAAAGATGGGCACAACGTCGACAAAGCGCCGGTGGTACCGCACCCGCGGCTCAGCCCGGCCTGTCTTCTCGCTTGGCCACCTTAGCAAGAGTCTGACCTGTCACTTTCCCAGCGCGGGCCGGGGAACCACGGACTTGGCCTCCCGGGCAGTCGGGGCCTCCCACTTCGCCCTGGTCCAGGGTGGCCTCGCCCTGCAGGGACGCGCCTGCCAGGAGCACGATAGATCTTCCGGGGCGAAGCCCTCCAGTGGCGCTGCCTGAGCCGCGACCTGGGAGACCGTCTCCTGGCCGGTCACCTGGAGGGCGTGTAGCTCCGGGGCGCGGACCAAGAACTGCATGTTGGTGACTGAACCGCGGTTCCGGCTGCCGCCCCCGCGAAGATGGAGTCAAAGAGGAAGGAGCGAGGGCGCTCACGGCCAGACCGCGGGCAGCGCGTCACGTCACTCCTGAAATTTTATTTCGGAAACAATTATTGAGAAGAGTGGCTTTGGCTTCACTGTTTTGCAAATCTCTTTAATTGATGGCTTCTTAGAAGAGCCGTTTTCGGCCGGGCGCGGTGGCTCACGCCTGGAATCCCAGCACTTTGGGAGGCCGAGGCGGGTGGATCACGAGGTCAGGAGATCGAGACCATCCTGGCTAACACGGTGAAACCCCGTCTCTACTACAAAAATACAAAAAATTAGCCGGGCGAGGTGGCGGGCGCCTGAAGTCCCAGCTACTCGGGAGGCTGAGGCAGGAGAATGGCGGGAACCCGGGAGGCGGAGCTTGCAGGGAGCCGAGATCGCGCCACCGCACTCCAGCCTGGGTGACAGAGCGAGACTCCGTCTCAAAAAAAAAAAAAGAGGAGCTGTTTTCCCTTATTTGCTTCCCCATTCCTTCTGTTGCATGTGTTTTGTCCCAGCTGTAGTCCCAGCTACTCCGGAAGCTGAGGTGGGAGGATCGCTGGAGCCTGGGAGTTCCAGAGGCTGCAGTGAGCCGTGGTCACGCCACTGTACTCTAGACTGGGCAACAGAGCAAGACCCTGTCTCTCAAAGGGAAAGTATTTTAATAACTTTTTCAGATACTTGTGGTTTTTTTCTGTAATTCTATCAACGAACCTCTTTCGCACTCTGTTACCTCACTCTAGTCCTGAAGTTCCTTCAGTAATTAGCGCGATGCCTTTAGAGCACTGTTTTCCCCTGAATGACTCGTAAGTGAGTGCTGTTCCTTGTAATTAATTTTCAGCCTATTGCTCAAGATTGTCAGAAGACCTGAGGGAAACCCGCTGGTCTTAGAACACTGGCCTAACTCTGTCTTTTCCCCAAGCAGGCAGCTGCCAGAAATTTGTTGGATTTGAGGAGTCCAGAGCGCCGACCCGCTCTGTCTGCGTGGACTTATTTCCTTGGATCTTCGTGGACTCTGAAGTTGCCAAGTGTGTGTGCCTGCTCCAGAAAACAAAGGAAGCCACCATTTTTTCTCATTCACAGTGCAGGGAGATACCTCAGTAGAAGCATACAGTCCAGTCTTCAACTAGGGACCCCTACCAGGATGTCCAAAAGGCTCAGCCCTCAGTTACAGCACAACATCACAGAAGATGCCTATTGTGAAACACACCTGGAACCAACACGGCTGTTCTGTGATGTTGACCAAATCACACTCTGCAGCAAATGCTTCCAGTCCCAGGAGCACAAACATCACATGGTGTGTGGGATACAAGAGGCTGCTGAGAATTACAGGGTAAGAGTCACTCACGCAAATCCCAAAACACTCTGGCCAACTCCTATATGGATGAAATGGACAGACATTCTGGTCCTCCAAAACCATTACCTTAGTTGATGTTTATTACAGAATATTAGATAAGTTCGTTGAACCTTCAACCTAAAGGCTAAGAAAATATATACTCAGAGTTGTTGGCTGTTTAAGGTCAGGAATCCAACTGTTCTAAATCAATGATCTCACCTGGAATTCTGTGCTTTCTCTATAGAAGTTATTCCAGGAAATATTGAACACATCGAGGGAGAAACTTGAAGCAGCTAAAAGCATATTGACTGATGAGCAAGAAAGAATGGCGATGATTCAGGTCAGTGAGTGCTTATCTTGATTCTTGGGGGGAAATTACCAGTAATGTTGTTAGAAAATAGTGTATCATAAACAAAGTCAAAAGACAAATCACAAAGCAGGAAAAATGTGAAATCTATAGGAAGGAAAAGTGCTAATATCTTAATGTATAAAAAGCTCTTTAAAGTCAGTAAGAAGCTGGGTGTGGTGGCTCACGCCTGTAATCCCAGCACTTTGGGAAGCTGAGGAGGGCGGATCACTTGAGGTCAGGAGTTTGAGACCAGCCTGGCCAACATGGTGAAACCCCATCTCTACTAAAAATACAAAAATTAGCTGGGTGTGGTTGCACGAGCCTGTAATCCCAGCTACTCGGGAGGCTGAGGCAGGAGAATCGCTTGAACTGGGAGGCAGAGGTTGCAGTGAGCCGAGATCACACTACTGGACTCCAGCCTAGGCCACAGAGCAAGACTCCATCTCAAAAAAAATAAAAATAAAAAAAGTCAGTAAGGAAAAGACTAGAAATTTAATTTTAAAAAACGATCAAATAAGAGTTTGCAGAAAAGAAAGTAAATATATTTTAAATACATTGAAAGAATTTGAACTTTGTTCGTGGTAAGAGAAATACAAATTATATGGTGAGTAAAATGGCATTTGCAATGCTATTTGCAATGATCAAAAAGATTAACGACACCGTTTATAACAATGACATAGGAGAATGAGCATCTCTTGTACTTCTGGTTGCCACATAAATTCTAAAACCCTTTAAAGAGCAATTTGAGAATAGCTATTCAGATTTGAGGGTTCACCACCTGTTAGGCATATTTCACTTCTAATTTCAGCCTGTATCTTCATACTTAATCCTATTCTGTGCAAGGTATCCCCGATTCTGGGTCTTTTCTCTCCCTCAATTTTTAAAGGAAATAAATGCCTACTTAGGGAAGATAGTGGAGGAGAATTGCCTGGCTAGGTAAGGATTTTTCAACCGATCCCCCTTCTTTTTCAGTTCCAAGTACCATGTGTTCAGCAAATACTGAGATCCCACTGTTTGCCAGGGACTATGCAAGGTGCTAGGGGCTCACCAATGGAAAACAAAAAAAACCAGCTCTGCTTTCGTGGAACTTGCATTCTAGTGGATATAAACAAAATAAGTTTAATATATAGTATGTTACCTGGGAAGTGTTTAAAAAAATTTTTTTTAAGTGAGAAAGGAAGCAATGGAGTGAGCTTGTAAATAAAGTGATCAGAACCTTGTTATTCAGAAGGTGGCACTGAAGGAGGTGGGGGATTGGGCCATGCAGTTTTCTTGGGGAGGAATATTCTAGGCAGAGGAAAGGCCTGGAGGCTGCCGTGTATGTGGCTGGAGCTGTGTAAGGAAACGGGGGCTGTAGGTGATGAGATCAGAAGAAGGCGGTCAGTCATTTAGGGTGGCAGCCTTCAATGAAATACAAGCTTCAAAACCACTGGAAGGTTTCGAACAGAAGGCTGACATGATTTAACTTCCATTTTCATAGAAACACGCTAGCTGCCAAATGAAAATAGACATTAAGATAGTAAAAGCAGGCTGGTCGTGGTGGCTCATGCCTGTAATCCCAGCACTTTGGGAGGCCGAGGCGGGCGGATCACGAGGTCAGGAGATCGAGACCATCCTGGCTAACACGGTGAAACCCCGTCTCTACTAAAAAATCGGGTGTGGTGGCAGGTGCCTGTAGTCCCAGCTACTCAGGTGACTGAGGCAGGAGAATGGCATGAACTTTGGAGGCGGAGCTTGCAGTGAGCCGAGATGGCGCCACTGCACTCCAGCCTGGGCGACAGAGCGAGACTCCGTCTCAAAAAAAAAAAAAAAAAAAAAAAAACCAAGAGAGTAAAAGCAGAGGTGGAGAGACGTGCAAAGGGACTTGCAATAATTAGGGAGAGATGATGGTGAGCTGGGGGACAGGTAGAGCAGTGGTGAGAAGTAGTCAGGTTCTTGATAAATCTTGATTTCATTGAATCTTTTTTTTTTTTTTTTTGAGATGAAGTTTCGTTCTTGTTACCCAGGCTAGAGTTCAGTGACGCGATCTCGGCTCACTGCAACCTCCGCCTCCCGGGTTCAAGCAATTCTCCTGCCTTAGTCTCCCAGGTAGCTGACATTACAGGGGCCCGTCATCATGCCTGGCTAATTTTTTTATTTTTAGTAGAGACGGGGTTTCACCATGTTGGTCAGGCTGGTCTCGAACTGCTGACCCCATGATCCACCTGCCTTGGCCTCCCAAAGTGCTGGGATTACAGACGTGAGCCCGGACAATTTCACTGAATCTTAAATAGCTTAATAGAGATGCTATTTAAGCATCTCTAAGATGACTACTTTCAAATATATATCCCTAGCTCAGATTTCCAAATGGTAGTAGGCTTCATGTCCAATTTCCTACTTACTATCTTTACTTGGATGTCTAATTGACTAATCAAATTCATCACATCCCGAGCTAACGCACACTCCTCACTTCTGGAATCCAGCCTTTCCATAGATTCTCTCTATATATTTTGGTAATTCCATTCTTCCAGTTGCTTAGTCTAAAATTTTTGGTGTCTTTCGTCCATGACTCCTTTTTTCCCCACAACTCTTACCCAAGCATCAGCAAATCCCATTGGCCCTTTTCCAATGTCCTGGTCTCCTCCTCTGTTTGACAGAGGCTATAGCTTCCTTAGTTTTTCCTTATTGATGAACATTTCTTTTTTTTTTTTTTTTTTTTAAGATGGAGTCTCCCTCTGTCGCCCAGGCTGGAGTGCGGTGGCGCCATCTCGGCTCACTGCAAGCTCCACCTCCCGGGTTCACGCCATTCTCCTGCCTCAGCCTCCCGAGTAGCTGGGACTACAGGCGCCCGCCACCAAGCCCGGCTAATTTTTTGTATTTTTAGTAGAGACGGGGTTTCACCGTGTTAGCCAGGATGGTCTCGATCTCCTGACCTCGTGATCCGCCTGCCTCGGCCTCCCAAAGTGCTGGGATTACAGGCGTGAACCACCGCGCCCAGCCAATTCATTGATGAACATTTCTTCGTCTGCATTTTATGTTCTAAAATTGTGTTGATGTCTTGGCTGATGTTGACTCAAATTCTATTTCTCCTTTGGGTTTATTCCTTTTCTTCTGTACTTTACATTTCCTCGTCTTTTTTTGTTTGTTTGTTTTTTTGAGACAGAGTCTAGCTCTGTTGCCAGGCTGGAGTGCAGTGGCGTAATCTCTGCTCACTGCAACCTCCACCTCCCAGGTTCAAGCGATTCTCCTGCCTTAGCCTTCCGAGTAGCTGGGATTATGGGTGCTCCCCACCACGCCCAGCTAATTTTTGTATTTTTAGTAGAGATGGGGTTTCACCATGCTGGCCAGTATGGTCTCGATCTCCTGACCTCGTGATCCACCCACTTTGGCCTCCCAAAGTGCTGGGATTGCAGGCGTGAGCCACTGCGCCCAGCCTTCCTTGTCTTTATATTGGGGTTAGAGATGGAAAGAATACATTGTGGTCAGTGTAAGATATATATATCTATATATAGATATAGATATCTATCTATTATGACGTGTGTGTGTGTTGTTAATCTATCATGTTTAACCTGAAGTCTATCATGTCTATATGAGGAAGGAAGAGGAACAAAATTTTAAAAAGATGATTGAGTCTGAGTATAGTATGAGACTCCGGTTGTTGAATGAAGAGTGTGAGCAGAATCTCCAGAGACAGCAGGAATGCATATCTGACTTGAACCTGAGAGAAACCCTTCTGAATCAAGCGATCAAGCTTGCCACCGAGCTAGAGGAGATGTTCCAGGAAATGCTACAGGTGAGATATTGAAAACAACATCCTCATATTTGAGAAATGAGAAAAAGAAGAGCTAAACATTATGTCAATTCCAAAATAACATAGCCAGTGACAACCACACATGTATTAAATGAATTATATACCTACCTGGCAACTCCATTTCTATGAATTTATCTTGACATGCATATAAAAAGACATAAATAAAGCACAATATACCTATAAATATATTTGTACACATATTACTGTATTATGCTTCAAACATACTTACACACATAGAAAAAGACACCTGGGTAAGGCAACACTGAAACTGAGTTTCAGTTTAGAGCCATGGTTTAGAATTCACCTTTCTTTTTTTTGAGACAGAGTCTGGCTCTGTCTCCAGGCTGGAGTGCAGTGGCGCAATCTCAGCTCACTGCAAGCTTCGCCTCCCGGGTTCACGCCATTCTCCTGCCTCAGCCTCCCAAGTAGCTGGGATTACAGGTGCCCGCCACTACGCCCGGCTAATTTTTTGTATATTTAGTAGAGACGGGGTTTCACCGTGTTAGCCAGGATGGTCTCGATCTCCTGACCTCATGATCCACCCGCCTCAGCCTCCCAAAGTGCTGGGATTACAGGCGTGAGCCACCGCGCCCGGCCTAGAATTCACCTTTGAAGCCGGATGAATGGAGTTCCTATCTGAGCCAGCTGTTTACTGGCTCCTGGGTGGCCTACGACCTGCTGCTTAACCTTTGACTTGGTTCCTTTAGCTGTAAACTGGATATAACAGTGACCCCTAATTTATAAAATTATTGTGAGATTTGAGTGAGATAATCTGCTAAAGCTTATTAAATCGTGTCTTGTTCATGTTAAGCAGTTGATGAGTAGCAGATGTTACAATTATAACATTCATAGCAAGAGGTTAGAAACACCCTGTATTTGTCAATAGAAGACTCACAAAATGTGCTCCATACATACATGGAAGAATACTCTTCAGCATGTTAAGATGATGTCATGGCTCTGTGTATATGAATAAGGAATGTTCTCCAAGAATAAAGTAAGTTGTCAGATTAGTAATCAAATATAATAAACTATCACTTATGTTTATGTTTTTTCCCCCTAAATAACATACTCAAGTTGCGTATGTGACTACGCAGTATATGTAAAGTATACTTGGAAGGATAAAAAGAAAATTGATATCAGTAACGTAATTATTTATTTCTTATTAGTTAATCTATATACCTTAATTTTAATTGATTTCAAGTTAATGAAAAAATAGGGAACCTTCTGAACAAACAGCCACAGAAAAAACATGAAATGTTTTAGGTGCATATTAATGTGAGTAAGGGCTGCGTGCACACACATCTGTATTGGCTTAAACATACATAACAGGGGGCAAAGAATCAACTGTCTCTTGAGAGGAATCCTGCTTCAGCAGAAGAATATCATGGCCTTGCCTAATTATGTCTGTTCCTGGGGTAGCAGGCAGAAAAGCAGGGTTTTTTTTTTTTTGGTTTTGGTTTTGGTTTTTTTTTTTGATTTGGAGTCTTGCTCTGTCATTCAGGCTGGAGTGCAGTGGCACGATCTTGGCTCACTGCAACGTCTGCCTCCCAGGTTCAAGCGATTCTCCTGCCTCAGCCTCCTGAGTAGCTGGGATTACAGGCACCCGCCACCACGCCTGGCTAATTTTTGTACTTCTAGTGGAGACTGGGTTTCACCATGTTGGCCAGGCTGGTCTCAAACCCTGACCTCATGATCCGCCGGCCTTGGCCACCCAAAGTGCTGGGATTACAGGCGTGAGCCACTGCGCCCAACCGAAAAGCAGGTTTTTAAAAACATGGTTGAATTAATCTATAGGAGAAGTTACCGAACTCTTGTTCCTGAACTTGAGGTTGTTGAATAGTAACGAAGAAATGCTTCTGCAGAGACTGGGCCGTGTGGGGAGAGAGAACATGGAGAAACTGAAGGAGAGTGAAGCCAGGGCTTCTGAACAGGTCCGCAGCCTCCTAAAGCTCATCGTGGAGCTTGAGAAAAAGTGTGGGGAAGGCACCTTGGCATTGCTCAAGGTAAGATGCTGGGAAAAAGAAAATAAAATTCATTCCAGTATTTGAGAAATGAGAAGTGGACAGTACTCATTAGGGGTTGCTGTCAGAACACAATATCCAATGATCTTCAACCACAAAAGAAGGCTACATGACTTTCTTTCAGCTGCCAAAAGCTTTAGGAATGGTCATAGCTTTGTGGGATAGTGTGGAGCTGCTTCATGAGATGAATTCTCACCTTAAAATTATCAGCAGTAAGTTAGGGTTGAGATGTGACACAATGTGGTTAATACCTCCATGCAATGAAATATTCTGTGATCATAAAGAATAAAACAGCTCTATAGGCACTAACAGTATTTCAAGCACTCATTAAGTGAAAAAGAAAGATGCAGACTGCTTTTTGTTTGATCTTTGGATAATAAGTATATATACACACACATATACATGTGTGGTTGCTAACATTCACAGACTTTCTGGCAAAAAATTAATAAATGTATAGTCATCTGTGATAATCTTGAAACAAGGGTGAGATTATCTGCTATGATCTGAATGTTTGTGTCCCTCCAAAATATATATGTTGAAATCCTCTCCCCCAAGGCGATGGTATTGGGAGGTGGGGCCTTTGGGTAGTGAGTGGGGCCTGGGGGCAGAGCCCCTGTGAATGGGATTAGGGCTCTTATAAAAGAGGCCGAGGAAGACCTCACCCCTTCAGCTTGTGAGGCTGGAGATGGAGGCTACCTAGGAGGGATGGAGCCCTCACCGGACACTGAATCTGCCAGTGCCTTGATCTTGAAATTCGGCCTCCAGAACTGCGAGAAATGAATTTCTGCTGTGCAGAAGCTACTCAGTCTATGGTAAGTATTGCATATTTTGAATTTTGTATAGTAACATACGTTGCCTTTCAGAAAGTGGGTTACCTTTTTTTTTTTTTTTTTCCCCGAGACGGAGTCTCGCTCTATCTCCCAGGCTGGAGCAGTGGCGCAATTTCGGCTCACTGTAACCTCCGCCTCCCCAGTTCAAGCGATTCTCCTGCCTCAGCCTCCTGAGTAGTTGGGATTACAGGCGCCCACCACCATGTCCAGCTAATTTTTGTATTTTTAGTAGAAACGGGGTTTCACCATGTTGGTCAGTCTGGTCTTAAACTCCCGACCTCAGGTTATACGCCCACCTTGGCCTCCCAAAGTGCTGGGATTACAGGCATGAGCCACCGCGCCTGGCCTTACTATCTTTTTAAGACTGTCCATATCCCTCTCCTGGGCTTATAATTGCAATGAATGCGCTCATCTGGAAAGCGTCTGTAGGTAAATCCTTAGGAAGCAGCTCAGTTCTTGAGCATGCAGGCAGGTGTGGCTCTGCCTGGCTCCCACTGCCCTCCCAGCCAGTGGCCCCTTCACCTGCTGAACTCTGGCCACCCCCTGCATGGAAAGCAGATAGATGCTCCCGTCTGAAGACTGAGAAATGATGGCTCTGAGTAAGATGCCTGGGGTGAGGGATAGAAAACCTTTCCCTTGGGACTACGACAAAATGATTTCATGCATTTTTCTGACTTTTTCTGTTTCCATGTTAGAATTTGTTCATCTGATAACTAGCATTATGAGGTTGAAGAAATGACATGGAAATTGAGTTCATTGTAAGAGGATATTTTCCTGGGCACAGATTGCAAAAACAGCTCAAAAACCCAGTAGTAACCTGGTCTCTTTTCTTTCCCTTAGAATGCAAAATACTCTTTAGAAAGGTGAGTTTTCATTTTGGATACAATTGGGTGAGAATCAGAGTCCAGTAAGATGTTGATTGAGATAGGGAGATTGCATTTGCTGGTAGGATGTAATGGGATCCATCCAGTAGACTAAGGGGCCTGTGGTCTGTGCAGATGACTGAGGCTGTCCTTTCTCTTCAGGAGCAAGTCACTGCTGCTTGAGCATCTGGAGCCCGCTCATATCACAGACCTGAGTTTATGCCACATAAGAGGACTCAGCAGCATGTTCAGAGTACTCCAGAGTAAGTTGACACATGTGAATACTCACAGGGCACTGTTCTGCATTTGAGAATCAGGTGACCATCCTGCCATAAATGAAAACAAATTCCAGTAGTTTAACAATTTTAGGCCAGCACAGTGGGTCACTCCTGTAATCCCAGCACTTTGGGAGGCCAAGGCGGGCGGTTTGCTTGAGGCCAGGAGTTCGAGACCAGCCTAACCAACATGGTGAAATCCCATCTCTACAAAAAATACGAAAATTAGCCAGTTGTGGTGGCGTGTGCCTGTAGTCCCTGCTACTTGAGTGGCTGAGGTGGGAGAATTGCTTGAACCCAGGAGGTGGAGATTGCAGTGAGCTGAGATCACACCACTGCACCCCAGCCTGGGCAACAGAATGAGACTCTGTCTTAAAATAAATAAATAAAAATTTTAGGAGACTGGAGAGCTTAATATGTTATACATATTAGATAAGGATCAAAAAAATAACTGTATGATCTCATATGAAAGCTCTTCCCATGCAAAATCTTTTTTTTTTTTTTTTTTTTTTTTTTTTTTGAGACAGAGTTTCACTTTGCCCAGGCTGGAGTGCAGTGGTGCGATCTTGGCTCACTGCAACCTCCCCCTCCTGGGTTCAAGTGATTCTCCTGCCTCGGCCTCCCAAGTAGCTGGGATTACAGGCATGCACCACCACACCTGGCTAATTTTTTGTATAGTAGAGATGAGGTCTTACCATGTTGGTCAGGATGGTCTTGAACTCCTGATCTCAGGTGATCCACGCGCCTTGGGCTCCCAAAGTGCTGGGATTATAGGCGTGAGCCACCACGCCTGGCTAATTTTTTGTATTTATGGTAGAGACGAGGTCTTACCATGTTGGTCAGGCTGGTCTTGAACTCCTGATCTCAGGTGATCCACGCGCCTCAGGCTCCCAAAGTGCTGGGATTACAGGCGTGAGCCACCACGCCTGGCTGCAGATTCTTTACCAGTTCCCCAGCCATGAAACATGATTGCAGGCAGATTCCACTGCTTAAAAATTTAAAACTTCTGGGGAAGAAATTCAGCATGTATAACAAAGGGTTTATATCTCCTGTCCTTATAGCTTTGCCTTTCCCAGAATGTCCTATCGATGGAATCCTACAGTGTGTGGCCTTTCGAGGCTGACAGCATACTGCAGTTGACATATAGAACGTCCAGGCTGCTTCGTGTATCAGTAGTTTGTTCCTTTTTATTGTTGATAATATTCCATTGTATAAATATACCATAATTTACTTATCCTTTTGCAATTCTACGGACATGGGTTGTTTCCAGCTCTGTGCTGTAAATATTAGCAGCAGATTTTTGTGTGGGCACAGCTTCATAGTTCTTGATTGACTGTCTAAGGGTGGGATTGCCAAACTTGTTTTCCAAATTGCCTGTGCCATTTTGCCTTCCCACCAATAACGTGCGAAAGATTCAGTTACTCTGTATTCTCACCAGGGTTTGGTATTGTCAGTTTGTTTTACTACATCCGACCCGATAGATGGGTAGTGGTATGTCATTTTAATTTGCATTTCCAGAATGACTAATGATGCTGAGCATATTTTCATGTGTTTGTTTTCCCTCTATCTCAACTTTGGTGAAATACATGTACAAACCCCTTTTCTAAATTGGGTTGTATGTCTCTTGAGTTTTATAATTTCTTTATATGTTCTGTTTAGCATTCATTTATCAGATAAATTTTGCAAATATTTCCTCCCAGCATGGTTTGTATTCTCATTTTCCTAATACTGTCTTTTGAAGTGTAGAGGTTTTGCATTTTGATGAAGTTCAATTTATCAAGTTTTTTCTTTTATGACTTCTGCTTTTTGTGTCTTATTTAAGAAATTTTGCCAAAGCCAACAAAGATTTCCTTCCAAAAGTTTTATGGTTTTCGGTTTTACATTGTGGCCTATGAACCACTGAGAGTTAATATCTGTATACAGTTCACAGAATGGTGCAAACCCTCTCCTCCCCCCACCTTCTATTTTTATTTTTTGACTCACATGTATCCATTTGTTCCAGTTTCATTTGTTAAAAACACTACCTTTGTCCATTCAATTTACTTGGCCCCTTTGTTGAAAATCAACTGGTATATGCGATCACGTCTATTTGTGACTCTAATAGGTCTATTGATGGTTGACTCTTTCCCTTTGCCAATAGCACACTGGCTTGATTGATAACTCTGTAGGAAGTCTTGAAAGCAGGTACTGTGCATTCTCCAAATTTATTCTTTTTCAGAATAGTTTTGGCTACTGTAGGTTGTTTGCTTTTCCACATAAATTTTGAAATCAGCTTGTTGGCTTCTTCAAAATGGACCGCTGGGATTTTTATTCATATTACATTGAATCCGTTGATCAGTTTGGGGAGAATTGACATCTTGACAATATTTGGTGCTTTCAGTCCAGGAATACAAAATATCTCCATTTATTTAGGTCTTCGATTTCTCTCATCAGTGTTTTGTCACTTTCAGCATAAAATGTTATATGTATTTGGAGATGTATCCCTAAGTATTTTATGTTTTTTACAGCCACTGTAAACGGTATTTTAAAATATCAATTTCTAATTGACATTTCATTCATTTCTAGTTCATTGCAAGTATATAGAAATGGAATTGTTTTATATATATTGACATTTGTACCCTATAACTATGCAAAACTCACTCATTAGACAGTGGATTTCTATAAATAGATCCTTCAGGATTTTCTACAAAGTCATGCAGTATATGAGTATAGATAGCTTTATTTCTGCCTTTCCAGTCTGTAAGCCTTTTCTGAATTTTTCTTGCCTTATTATACTGGCTCAGACCTGCAGTGTGTTGAACAGAAGTGGTGAGAGTGGACACTTGCTTATTCTCGATCTTAGGAAGAAAGAAAACATTAAGTCTTTTCACTCTAAATTCTGATACAGCTATAGCGCTTTTTGTTGTTGTTTTGTGTTTTTTGTTTTTGTTTTTGTTTTTGTTTTTGTTTTTGTTTTTTGAGATGCTGTCTGGCTCTGTCACCCAGGCTGGAGTGCAATGGCGAAGCCTCAGCTCACCGCAACCTCCTCCTCCCAGATTCAAACGATTCTCCTGCCTCAACCTCCCGAGTAGCTGAGTGCCACCACACTCAGCTAATTTTTGTATTTTTAGTAGATACGGGGTTTCACTCTGTTGGTCAGGCTGGTCTCGAACTCCCAACCTCGTGATCTGCCTGCCTCAGGTTCCCAAAGTGCTGGGATTAAAGGCGTGAGCCACCGCACCTGGCCCTAGCTATAGTTTTTTTTAATGGCTGCCTTTCATCAAATTGAGGATGTCCCCCTTTATTTCTGGTTTACTAAGAATTTTTATGAATCAATGTTGAATTTATCAAGTTCTTTTTCTCTTGAGATACTCCTGTTGTTTCTTCAACCTTTTTTGTTTTTGTTTTTGAGATGAGCCTCGCTCTGTTGCTCAGGCTGGAGGGCAGTGGCATGATCTCGGCTCACTGCAACCTCTGCCTCCCAGATGCAAGCGATGCTCCTGCCTCACCCTCCTGAGTAGCTGGGATTACAGGCCGCCACCAGGCCTGGCTGATTTTTGTAATTTTAGTAGAGATGGGGTTTCGCCAGGCTGGTCTCAAAGTCCTGGCCTCAAGTGATCCGTCCTCCTCGGCCTCCTAAAATGCTGGGATTACAAGCGTGAGCCACCGTGCCCAGCCACAGCTGTGCGTTTTTCCAGAGATAATTTGCATTTGTTTCTGCCAGTCTCCTGGAAATACTGAGAGTCTCAGACAATTTTTTAAAAATTCAAGACGTGTAGCTGTTGAGACCACCCTAATAATGTGAATTGGGCTTCAAATTCAGAGATTTAAGTTCATTAAATTTACTTCAGTCAAATAATAGAAATTAAGCTGGATTCCACATTACAGAAAGTAGGAAATAAAGGCCTTCCAGGTTTATGGCTTAGACAACTGAAGCAATGAGGGAGCTGTGAACTGAGAAGTAGAGACTGCAGAGGGCTGGCGTTGAAGTTCCATTTTGGGTGTGTTATGTTTGAAATTCCTGTGTTTTTTCCAACTGGTATTTAGCTGTTTATGGAGCGAGTCACAAACACAGAGAAGATGTTTAAAACTGAAGCTATGCACAGTTACCTGGGGGCAGTGAAGGAGAATATACTACTTGAAAGAAGAAGTCCCAGGACCAAGCCCTGAAAGATCACAATAGTTAGAGGCTGGGCAGAAAGAGATGAGAGGAACAGTCAGAGATAGGAAGAAGACGTATTCATGCAGGTGTGAGGAATTCATTGAGCCTGCGTGTTCTCAGCGTGAGTTTCTGGAGGGTCCACACAGGTGTTCCATCCTCCGCTGATAAATTATCTGATGTAATGCCTGATGTCCAGGGCCTGTTGTCAGCAATTTCCAGGCCTCTATGTCACCCTGTGGGGATATTTAAGATGTGTAGAGTACGGCATCGGGAGGGCCACGAATGAGTTGCTGCTGGCCGACTCCTGTGGCCGCTCCAGGCTTGGAGATCTAGAAGACCAGGGTTGGGCCCCAAGTGATATCTGGATGGAACTTGGCACCAGGACAGTTTGACCGTCTCTGGGGTGAAGCTGTTTTTTGTTTGTTTGTTTGTTTGTTTGTTTGTTTTGAGATGGAGTCTTGCTCTGTCGCCCAGGCTGGAGTGCAGTGGTGTGATCTCGGCTCACTGCAATCTCCGCCTCCTGGGTTCAAGCAATTTTCTGCCTCAGCCTCATGAGTAGCTGGGATTACAGGCGCCTGCCACCACACTCGGCTACTTTTTGTATTTTTTTAGTAGAGATGGGGTTTCACCATCTTGACCAGGCTGGTCTTGAACTCCTGACCTCGTGAGCCACCGCGCCACGTTGGATGAAGGTGTTTCTAAACCTTCCTTAGCTCATTCATCTTTGTTTTATTCTTCCCGCTCAGGTAGACTGTGTCCCTTTCCATATCTTATGGACTTTTTCCTCCATGAGGTCCATATTGAAGTTCAGCAGTTCCTTTTCCTGGACCCTCCCAAATTGCCTCTCCCGTATCTGGGCCTGGGACTTGTGCCCACTCAGTGGGAAGCCCAGGTGTGTTAGAAATCATGTCTCTGGCATTGGCATTGGTGAACTCCTAGGTTAACGAGGGTTTTCTCTCCTGATAGGACATTTAACATTGGATCCTGAAACAGCTCATCCCTGCCTGGCACTATCTGAGGACCTGAGAACTATGAGATTGAGACATGGGCAGCAGGATGGGGCTGGCAACCCAGAAAGATTGGATTTCAGTGCCATGGTGCTGGCTGCGGAGAGCTTCACCTCAGGGAGGCACTACTGGGAGGTGGACGTGGAAAAGGCAACCAGGTGGCAAGTGGGCATATACCACGGCTCTGCAGACGCGAAGGGCAGCACGGCCAGAGCTTCCGGAGAGAAAGTCTTGCTCACGGGGTCGGTGATGGGGACCGAGTGGACTCTCTGGGTCTTCCCCCCTCTGAAAAGGCTCTTCCTGGAAAAGAAGTTGGACACAGTTGGCGTTTTCCTTGACTGCGAACACGGGCAGATATCATTCTACAATGTGACCGAGATGTCCCTCATTTACAATTTCTCCCATTGCGCCTTCCAAGGAGCTCTCAGGCCTGTGTTTTCCCTCTGTATCCCAAATGGAGACACAAGTCCAGACTCCCTCACCATCTTACAACATGGTCCTTCTTGTGATGCTACTGTTAGCCCTTAATCTTCTGTGTGTAAAATCCAAGACCACGAGACACCAGAAAGTTGGAGAACAAGACTTTGAAAGAATTTGTGTAAACTAACCCAATAAAAAGCGTTCCAGGAGTAGGAGCCTGATTTAATATCCAGAGCCTTTGCATTTGTGTAACTGTCAACACCTGTGTGTAGTGGAAGAGGTTGCACTTAACCTGAATCATGAATGATAATAACGGGGAGATCCTATGCTAATGAGAAAAAATGCATATGCATCGTAAGCTTGGGGAATTAGAGAAGAAATACAGTCTGGGGTCCTTAGAACTAGGTTAGGAACTTGATGTATTTCTGAAAACATTTGCAGAATCAGGTATAATCAGGAATGAAAGCGGGACTTTAGATATGAGCATGCCACCATGCGGAACAGGTGTCCATTACTGACAGTGAGTATCAGGACTTCCTAAAGTGTTTTATTCCAAATAGAGAATAATAATTTATATAGATATTTTATGTGGATAAGAAGGAGTTGTGGAAAATGTGAATATTTTTAAATTTTCTTTTCTTTTTCTTTTTTTTGAGACGAAATTTCGCTCTTGTCGCCCAGGCTGGAGTACAGTGGCTCGATCTTGGCTCATCACAACCTCCCCGGGTTCAAGCAGTTCTCCTGCCTCAGCCTCCCGAGTAGCTAGGATTACAGGTGCCCACCACCACGCCCAGCTAATTTTTGTATTTTTAGTAGAGGCGGGGTTTCACCATGTTGGCCAGGATGGTCTCGAGCTCCTGACCTCAAGAGATCCACCAGCCTCAGCCTCCCAAAGTGCTGGAATTACAGGTGTGAGCCACCACACCCGGCCTACCTCTCTTTCTGATAGGAACAATTTGATTTATTAGAAGAAGCCCGACAGGTAATGGTTTGAATCAGGTAAGTAATACCGATGATGCCTGGTGTTCACCCTCTTCTTTCTCTGTTTGGTGGTCTACAGGCAAATGCCTTCTCTTACATCCTTGCTCAGGGATGGTTGTATAATGCTGAGAAAATAAGTATCTACATAGGGACTTTTATGTTTAAGTTCTATCATGCTTTATCTCCTTTAATGTTTTTAACAACCTATGAGTGTGCATTAATCTTTTTACTCATGTGGAAACTGATGCTCAGAGAGCTGATTTGTTTTTTCTAAAGTGACATTGCTGTTACATATCTAGTGACAAGGAGAAGGAATTAAATTGAGACGGTCATCAGATCAAAAAGCAAGCTCCGCCTTGACTCCTGTCGCACAGGGATCAGTTGTAATGAGCATGACTAGGTGGAACGGTGGTCCAGTTTTACTCAAATGTTCTCAAAATGCAAGTCAGTTCCCACAGAAAATAGAAGCAGCATATCATGTACACAGCCCTCTGTAGGTGGGCTCTGGCTCATGGAGGCCAAGTTCTTTAGGATGGGCAGAGGAGGAAGGAACGAAAGGCAAATGTCAGAAAATTGCCTCTGTTGACTCATGGGAGTCAAGGAAGATGTAGGATCTTGCTTACCTATCTTTTGGGGAGACATTTTTGACCATTTCGAATTCTCAAAATGTGCTTTTAAAAGATGTGAATAAGGCCGGGCGCGGTGGCTCAATCCTGTAATCCCTGCATTTTGGGAGGCCGAGGCATGCGGATCATGAGGTCAGGAGGTTGAGACCATCCTGGCTAACATGGTGAAACCCCGTCTCTAATAAAAATACAAAAACTTAGCCGGGCATGGTGGCGGGCGCCTGTAGTCCCAGCTACTTGGGAGGCTAAGGCAGGAGAATGGCGTGAACCCAAGAGGCGGAGCTTGCAGTGAGCTGAGATCACACCACTGCACTCCAGCCTAGGCAACAGAGTGAGACTCTGTCTCAAAAAAAAAAAAAAAAAAGATGTGAATAAGTATATTCTGGTAAAGATATACACTTGGAAAAGTCACAATACATCTTGTTGCTGAATCACATGGAGAATTGGGGGAAATGGCTCTATTGGAAAAGTCAGGGTCAGGTCAGATAAGTGAGCTGGAAGTGAGACAATTATTTGAAACACTGGGATGAAGAATTCAGAGCAGACCGAGCGCGATGCCTCACGCCTGTAATCCCAGCACTATGGGAGGCTGAGGCCGGCAGATCACGAGGTCCGGAGATCGAGACCATCGTGGCCAACATGGTGAAACCCTGTCTCTACTAAGATACAAAATGTTAGCCAGAGGTTGTGGTGCACCCCTGTAGTCCCAGCTACTTGAGAGGCTGAGGCAGGGGAATCGCTTGAACCCAAGCGATTCAGTAGAGGTAGAGGTTGCAGTGAGCTGAGATTGCACCACTGCACTGCACCCCAGCCTGGCAACAGAGCAAGATTCTGTCTCAAAAAAATAAAAATAAAAAAAAGAATTCAGAGCAATGGCTCTCAAACCCTTACCTAATTTTTTAAGAAAATATGATGATGACTCATAAAGGGAAATGTGAGATGATTTAGCAATAAATGTATAATTAATGTTCAAAACCCAGTAATAGACATCTCCATGTCTAGCTACTGCAAATTTCAAGCTAAGATAAATACTTTGGATCAAACATTGCTATACAACCCACAACATAAAAATAAAATTGTTTATAATAAGCTAGACCATGTCTGGAGCAATTTTTTAGTTGTCACCAGAAGAGCCGTGCCACCGGAATCTGGTGAATAGAGGCCAGTGATGCTGCAGTATATCCTGCGATGGACAGCGCAGCCTGACGCACAAAGAATCATTCAGCTCAAAACATAGTAGTGCTGAGGCTGACAAACCCTGACCTAGACCAACAATAATAGCAAAAAACGAGGGTAGCAAACTGAAAAATCAGAGAACGTTGTTAAACCATTATCAGCATTCTTTCTCCAAAGTGCAGGAATTCCTAATGTACCCATGTAGTGAGGGCTTTCCAAGTTTTATCTATCTATTTATTTATTTACTTACTTATTTATTTTTCTGTTGCCCAGACTGGAGTGCAATGGCATGATCTTGGCTCACTGCAACCTCCAACTCCAGAGTTCAAAGGATTCTCCTGCCTCAGCCTCCCAAGTAGCTGGGATTACAGGTGCCCACCAACACAGCTGGCTAATTTTTGTATTCTTATAGAGATGAGATTTCACCATATTCGTCAGGCTGCAGGTTATTTGTTAACAGCTAATTATCTTCGAATATTGAATTTAAGACAGAGAAAATTAATATATTGAAATTACCTTGTGAATATCATAATAATAACTAAGTTATTAGTTAAATATTTTGGTCATAATTCTATACATTTTCATCTGTTTTTTTTCTTTTCAGATGGAGTCTCACTCTGTCGCCCAGGCTGGAGTGCAGTGGCGCGATCTCAGCTCACTGCAACCTCCGCCTCCTGGGTTCAAGCGATTCTCCTGCCTCCGCCTCCTGAGTAGCTGGGATTACAGGCATGTGCCACCGTGCCCAGCTAATTTTTTGTATTTTCAATAGAGATGGGGTTTCACCATGTTAGCCAGGATAGTCTCCATCTCCTGACCTCATGATCCACCCACCTTGGCCTCCCAAAGTGCTGGGATTACAGGCATGAGCCACTTCGCCCAGCCTTTCATCCATATTTTTAAAAAATGCATTCATAATGTCCAAAAACTCCAATTCCAACTAGTTCTACATCCTGCAAGACCCCCTTTGAACCTTCCAACCCAGACCCTGTGTCTTTCCCCTCTTTCTCCATCTGACACACTGATAAGACTGTCAGGTTGTGTGCTTATGACAGAGAGCCTGACTCTGTCAAAGCTCTAAAGCTTTGTTCGATCAACAGGATTTTCGGATGATCAATCTTTCAAGGAGCCCAGCAGTCAACATTTCTCATCTTTTGAGCAACAAATTGCAAATTCACCTTCACCTATTCTTTCTCCTTTCTTCTGTCTTGCAATAAACCAATTTTTTCCTACCTTGTATTTCCTCCAAATTCCTGAGGGCTTTTAGGAAATCCTCACCTGGAGATCAGGGCTTGGCAAACTTTTTCTGTAAAAAACTAGGTAATTAATATCTTAGACTTTATTGGTCGTACTGTCCCTCTTGAAACTAACTCTGCTGCTCTAGTGCATACACAGCCAGGACAGTGCTTACATTAATGCATGTGGCTCTACTCTTCCAATAAAACTTTATAAAAACAGGGGCCACAGTTTGCCTACCCCTGCTATAGGTGATTCGTTTTCTCTTTTCAATATTGAAACTATTCCTCAATCAGGACCTTCTAAAATTAACTTTTAAAAAGCTAATGTAGGCCAGACGTGGTGGTTCCTTCTGTAATATGAACACTTCAGCAGGCCCAGGCAGTATGACACCTTGAGGCCAAGGCTTTGCGACCAGCCTGGGCAACACAGGGAGACATTGTCTCTACAAAAGATAAATTAGCTGGGCATGGTGGCTTGCACCTGTGGTCCCAGCTACAGGGAAGAGTGAGGTGGGAGGATCACTTGATCCCAGAAGTTCGAGGCTACAGTGAGCTATGATTGCACCATTGCACTCCAGCCTGGGCGACAGAGCGAGATGTTGTCTCCAAAAAAAAAAAAAAAAGACTATATCTCCCTTTTTTTTTTTTTTTTTTTTTTTTTTGAGACGGAGTCTCGCTCTGTCACCCAGGCTGGGGTGCAGTGGCGTGATCTCGGCTCACTGCAACCTCCTTCTCCTGGGTTCAAGCAATTCTGCCTCAGCCTCCTGAGTAGCTAGGTTTACAGCCATGTGCCTCCACGCCCGGCTAGTTTTTGTATTTTTAGTACAGATGGGGTTTCACCATATAGGCCAGGCTGGTCTCGAACTCCTGACCTCGTGATCCGCCCGCCTCGGCCTCCCAAATGCACTCTGGTGTGTGTGTTGGTTTATGCTATCCATTCCTGTGTTCAGTCCAATTTGCTTTCTGTCTCTTTCTGCCTACAGGTCTTAATCGCTTCCATATTGCTAAATCCAACTGATTTTATTTTATGTATTTATTTTTTTTTGAGGTGGAGTTTCGTTCTTGTTTCCCAGGCTGGAGTGCAATGGTGCAATCTCGGCTCACCACAATCTCTGCCTCTCGGATGCAAGTGATTCTCCTGCCTCAGCCTCCCAGGAAGCTGGGATTACAGGCATGTGCCACCATGCTCAGCTAATTTTGTATTTTTAGTAGAGATGGGGTTTCTCCATGTTGGTCAGGCTAGTCTCAAACTCCCGACCTCAGGTGATCCATCTGCCTCAGCCTCCAGAAGTGCTGGGATTATAGGTGTAAGCCACCACACCCGGCCACTTCCATTTCATATTACTCAAGCTCTCAGAAGTAGTCAATGCTATTAATCTCTTTATCCTTAATATATTCTTCCTTGACCTATAGGATGTGCACTGTCCTCATTTTCCTACCATTGTGCCAAATGCATCTTTCCTTTTAAATATGTAGTAAATACTTCATGTTCCTTCCTAGGATCTCACTTCTCATTCACTTCTAAGTGAACCTCATATCCACAGCCAAAACTATCAACTCCTCAGCAGTGACCCCTAAATGTATACAGTTAAGTGTTGCATAATAGTGTTTTGGTCAATGATAGATCATATATATGATGGTGGTCCCACAAGATTACAATACTATATTTTTACTGTACCTTTTCTATGTTTAGATACACAAAACCATTGTGTTACAGTATGCAGTCCAGTAACCTGCTGTACAGGTTTGTAGCCTAGAGAGGGCAACAGGCTACACCATATAGCCTAGGGGGCAACAGGCTACACCATATAGCCTAGGGGGCAACAGGCTACACCATATAGCCTAGGCGGGCAACAGGCTACACCACATAGCCTAGGGGGGCAACAGGCTACACCACACAGCCTAGGGGGGCAACAGGCTACACCATATAGCCTAGGGGGCAACAGGCTACACCATATAGCCTAGGGGGGCAACAGGCTACACCATATAGCCTAGGCGGGCAACAGGCTACACCATATAGCCTAGGCGGGCAACAGGCTACACCATATAGCCTAGGGGGGCAACAGGCTACACCATATAGCCTAGGGGGGCAACAGGCTACACCATATAGCCCAGGGGGACAACAGGCTACACTATACCATATGGCCTAGGGGTGCAGCAGGCAGTGCCATTCAGGTGTGTGTAAGTACACTGACATTTGCACAAGGACAAATCGCCTAAGGATGCATTTCTCAGGAACTGGGGAGACACACACATGATTGTACTTCTAACCCATGAGTTCAATTGGTAAAAATCGGTTCATGAGAGGTGAAAAAAGTCTTATATATTACTGTGGCTAGGGCCCTCCAAAAGAGCCCAGTCCATAAACATATGCAGTATGTATGTGGTAGTAAAATTTCATGAGGGAGGAAGTGATTAAGGAAAAAAGTCCAAAAAATCTGTAGACGGTCTGGTAGAAAAAGATCATCTCAAAGGTTTTCATTTTATAGCCTTGTGGGGTTTTAACCAGTTTTGTATCTAATGTAACGAAAATGTTGAGAGACATTGCTCTACCCCTAAGTTTTTTTTTGAGACAGAGTCTTGTTCTGTCGCCAGGCTGGAGTGCAATGGCGCAATCTCGGCTCACTGCAACCTCCGCCTCCTGGGTTTAAGCGATTCTCCTGCCTCAGCCTCCCGAGTTGCTGGGACTACTGGCGCCCGCCACCACGCCTGGCTAGTTTTTTGTATTTTTTAGTAGAGACGCGGTTTCACCATAGTGGCCAGGCTGGTCTCAAACTCCTGACCTCGTGATCCGCCCACCTCAGCCTCCCATAATGCTTGGATTGCAGGCGTCAGCCACCACGCCCGGCCCACGTGTTTCTTTTTTTTCTTTTCTTTTTTTTTTTTGAGATGGAGTCTCGCTCTGTCCCCAGGCTGGCGTGCAGTGGCACGATCTCGGCTCACTGCAAGCTCCGCCTCCCGGGTTTACGCCATTCTCCTGCCTCAGCCTCCCGAGTAGTTGGGACTACAGGCGCCTGCCACCAAGCCTGGCTAATTTCCTCTATTTTTAGTAGAGACAGGGTTTCACCATCTTGGCCAGGTTGGTCTCGAACTCCTGACCTCGTGATCCGCCCGCCTCGGCCTCCCAAAGTGCTGGGATTACAGGTGTGAGCCACCGCACCCGGCTGACCTGAGAAGTTTTTATAAATCCTAATATCTAAACCATATCTCCACAAGAATTATATCAGAATCTTTGGGGTTGAAAACTAGGCATCATTTTTTTTCAAAGCTCCTTAGTTGATTACAATATCCAACCAAGACAAACAGCAAAGTTGGCAGAAGCAAGAAATAGAAAACAACAGGCGGTTTGTTCAGTGGCTCTGGTGTAGTGTACGGTTTACTGTTTAAATGTAAAAATGTGTTGATGGTGCTAGGGATTAGTTATAATGAAACAGCTGTATTAGGAAGATTGTTAATTGGGCAAAGTATAATTGGAAGTAGCTTTAAGAAGTGATAAGTGGGCTGGGCGCAGTGGCTCATGCCTGTAATCCCAGCACTTTGGGAGGTCAAGGCAGGCAGATCACAAGGTCAGGAATTTAAGACCAGCCTGACCAATATGGTGAAACCCCGTCTCTATTTAAAAAATACAAAAATTAACTGGGCATCATGGTTCACGCCTGTAGTCCCAGCTACTCGGGAGGCTGAGGCAGGAGAATCGCTTGAACCCGGAAGGCAGAGGTTGCAGTGAGCTAAGATCACGCTATTGTACTCCAGCCTGGGCTACAGAGCAAGACTCCATCTCAAAAAAAAAATAAATAAATAAAAGCGGTAAGTGGCCAGGCATGGTGACTCACATCTGTAATCTCAGCATTTTGGGAGGCCAAGGCAGGAGGATCACCTGAGTCCAGGAGTTCCAGACCAGCCTGGGCAACAAGGCGAGATCTTGTCTCTACAAAAAATACAGAAATTAGCCTGGCATGGTGGCACACACCTGTAGTCCCAGATACTCAGGAGGCTGCGGTGGGAGGATCACTTGAACCTGGGAGATCGACGCTGCAGTGAGCCAAGAGCAAGTCACTGCACTCCAGCCTAGGTGACAGAGCAAAACCCTGTCTCAAAAAAAAAAAAAAAAGAAAGTGTAAGAGTTGGATATTTGAGCTAAGTAGACCTAGGAAGCCTTTGGCCAGTGGGGCCTCCAGTGCTATGGAACGCCTGGGATTACCTCACTACACTGAAAAGATGTCTCTGTATTTGTATATGGTAAATGTACCTTGGACAACAAATGTATCAATAAAGTAGAATATCTAGTTTTGTTCTGTAGTTATAACTTGGAAAAAGTGCTCTTACATGTGCAGGGATGTCAAGCTGTGAGTTTTTTTATAGCCAAATGACGAATACATTTCTGGGTTAAGGATTAGCGGGAGAGGCTCAGGAAATCTCACAGCTCATAGGAATCTAGACCAGCTCCTTCTGTCTTCAATGGAAAGGCAGGGCAGTCAGCTTGAAATAGTCTGTGTAGGGCTGAAAGAAGGAGAGAGGTAAGTGACCTCACTGCAGTTAATTTTTTGATCTTGCACAAAGCAGGAAAAGGAATTACAGGATAGAGAGGAGATAAGAATTCACAGGGAATAAGGAAGGAATTTGAAGCTTTGATTTTTCGGATTTTCTGACTGGAATGTGATAAATATTATCAATGGTACATGGAAGTTAAAAAACACGTAGGTGGGTAACGGCAAAACATGGGTAAATTTGCATTTCAGTTATGCCTCGACAAATTGGAACATATATAAGAGAATGAGACTTTTGACCTGGAAAAAATCAAGTATGAGATTGGAAATTTAACCTCACATGAGAAGAAGGAATTCTCTGTAATGATAGATGGATGTGGTAGAATGATAAATAGAAAGGATGTAAATGTAAATATTGCTTCTCCTTTCAAAATAGCAATTTCAGTTTGTCGTACATTTGCTACCTGCCAGGGAAGGTTCAGAATGCTTTCTATGACCTCATCTACCCTAAGTGGCAGTACTTTTTTTTTTTAACTGAGTCAGAAATAGAGCCAATACATTCAAAATCTCCAGAGAGTGATATTCAGACTCTTGAAACCTGGGCTGTTTATTCTTTCCAACCACACAAATTGTATCTCGTTAAAAGTATTTGCAGACAGATAACAGGCTCACTGGAGGGGAGAGTTGGGGAAGTCGAGGCCTGGCAAAGATGTGGAAGTGAGGTTCACATTACTCAAAGGAAGCCGTTGATGGAAACTTAAAATTATTTTCAAAAAGTGTATTTATGTAAAATAAAATTTTTAATTAAAAAACAGGTTAAAACCAGGCTGGGTGCAGTGGCTCATGCCTGTAATCCCAGCATTTTGGGAGGCCGAGGCAGGTGGATCACGAGGTCCGGAGTTCAAGACCAGCCTGACCAATATGGTGAAACCCCGTCTCTACTAAAAATACAAACATTGGCCGGGCGCAGTGGCTCACGTCTGTAATCCCAACACTTTGGGAGGCCGAGACAGGCAGATCACGAGGTCAGGAGATTGAGACCATCCTGGCTAACATGGTGAAACCCCGTCTCTACTAAAAATACAAAAAATTATCCGGGCGTGGTGGCGGGCGCCTGTAGTCCCAGCTACTCTGGAGGCTGAGGCAGGAGAATCGCTTGAACCCAAGAGGTGGAGGTTGCAGTGAGCCAAGATCACGCCACTGCACTCCACCCTGGGCGACAGAACGAGACTGTCTCAAAAAAAAAAAAAAAAGTTAAAACTATGTGAATAAGCTTTTCCCCTCCCTAACCGTTTTAGTGAGCTTTGTGTTTATCCCAGCACTCTCTGGTCAGCTAGATTACCCTGTTTTGTGTGTCTGTCTTATTTCAGATAGGAGAACTATGTGGTCATTCCAGATACTCAGAGATACAAGAGAACTTTGTATTTGAAAAAGAGGGTGGAGGTAAAAGCTCCTGTTGCAATCTTCTTAATGGTTATCATTGTTCTTTGGCCTGTGGAATTTCTGAAGCTAAAAGCTGTTCCTACATTGGATGTTAACATTCAGAGCTTCAGATAGGAGTGAGCTATAGTCCAGGAACTGTCCATGTCAATTTCCCCTGAGAATGTGCTGTCCCTATCTTCATTGTGGAGTTAGATTGCTTGTATGGAGGGAAAAGGAGAAATAGAATTCGTTTCCTAGGTCTACAGTGATGTAGGGAACATGCTTCACCCCTTTAGCCCGAAATCTCTTCCCAAATACTTATAAAAAAGACGTGTGAATGTTCATCAAGAATGTCTTCCCCACCCTGCCTGTGTTTTTATTGATTTCTTGGGGTAATTTAATTGGCTTTATGGGTAGAGCTGAATTAATGTGGAGTCGTAGTCAATGATGAATTGCTTGATAAAAATGAAAACCTATTTCCTCAATTTAGTTCTCTTCATCCTTCTGAATTACTACATTAGCTTCCCTTCTTGCCTGCGATTATAAACACAGCCAGGCTTTAATAAAGGGCCTCCTAAGCCCGCCTCAGCATCCTTTCTTCCTCACTTCTTTGCCACGTTTCTCCATAGCTTCAGTCAGAGCCAACTAGATTCCCAAATGTGCCACCCTCGCAGGCACCCCGTGCATTCTAAAAGCTTCAGGGGCTCATTCTGACAGCACAGACTTTGGAGCCATCCTTTATTTTGCTGCCATTCTGTGTTCAATCTATCAGCAAAGACTGTCAGCTCTACCATCCATATATGTCCCTCAGCAAACACTCGCCATCCTCCCTTTGACCACACTAGTTGAGGCTGTGATCTTTCATCTGGACCGCAGTGCTAGGCTCCAGCTGGCTGCCACCACACAGGCCTTTCTTGATCTGTCCTCCACAAAGAGCGCCCTCCCTGAACATTCTCTCCAATCCCCACTCATTCTCTTACCTCTTACCCTACATTATTTTCTTTGTAGCATTAATCATGACCTGATTTAACATTATGTATTTAACTTCCTGTCTGGAATGGAAACCCCATGATGGCAAAGGCGTTAAATGAATGAACAAGAAACCCAGAAAGTGTTTATTAAACAATCCCTGTATGTCGGGTATTTGCCTTACCTGAAGGAACAAAACAAAGATCTCAGCATTAATGAACAGATGAGGAAGCTTGATTTTGAAGTTTCACAGGACAATTTTATCTAAAAAACTCTACAAATTAGCTTTTGTTTGTTTTTGTTTTTTGTTTTGTCGAACTGATGGCTACTTAATCAAGCAGCTTCTCTAGTATGCCTATAATATTTCATCATGACCCAGCAACCATTAAGTTTTGCCAAGGATGTCTCCTGAGTACAGGAAAGCAAAGAGGTGAAGGAATTAGCAAAGTGATGGTGAATGGGAAAATTCCCAGGACGACAGCATCAGTTGGCCCTAATTAGAACAAAAGGTGGAAGATTCACAGAAGGGTACCTTGAAGGAAAAAATAAATAGAATTGATTATTTCCTAGCCGTTTGGCTATGTCAAGAAAAGCTTTATAGCTCCATAGGACAGTATAAGGGATGAATCTGTGTTTGGTACACTAGGAAAAAAAAACTAAATATATATAGAGAGAACTGTTAACTCCATAAAAAACAAAGGTGTTGATGGCTTAATAAAATGTTGCTTTGACTATATTGGAATGAGGTGGCAGGGAAGTTATCTGTAGCAAGTAAAAGGTAAAAGATAATCCTTCTTTCTTTCTCTTTTCTTTCTTTTTTTTTTTCTTTTCTTTCGACAGGGTCTCACCCTGTTACCCAGGCTGGAGTGCAGTGGCACAGTCATTCTGCCCATTCTGCAGCCTTGAATTCCTGGACTCAAGGGATTCTTCTACCACAGCTTCCCAAGTAGCGTGGACTACAGGCTTGCACCGCCACGCCCAGCTAATTGTTTACCTTTTTGTAGAGATGGTGTCTTGCTCTGTTGCCCAGGCTGGTCTCAAACTTCTGGACTCAAGCAGTCCTCCACCTTGGCTTCCCAAAGTGCTGGGATTACAGGTGTGAGTCACTGCAACTGGCCAATCTTTCCAATTTAGATTTCTATTTCCAATTTCTATTTCTAAGGAAATAGAAATAGAATGCCTCATTCTGTTTCTTATAGAATATACATGATATTCCTTAACTTAAATGAAAGATGAGGGAATATCATGCATATTCTATAAGAAAGAACTGAGAGTTGGACATGACTGTATCTAGATAGCCGGAATGGGGGAGAAGAGAGGATTTTTTTTTTTTAATTATAAACCTTCGAGCACTTTTTGATCTTTGGTACTAAAATATATGTATTATTTTGGTGAATTAAATTAAATTCAAAACAATGGATAATGGATAAATGATGAATTGTGTTTCTATTAAAAGCGAAGAAAATTTTAGTGTCAGAGGTTACTAGGAATGTCAGATTATTTCAATGACAATTATAATATAAGGGATTTTTTTTTTTTTTGAGACAGAGTTTTGCTCGCTCTTGTCACCCAGGCTGGAGTGCAGTGGTGTGATCTTGGCTCACTGCAACCTCTGCCTCCCAGGTTCAAGCAGTTCTCCTGCCTCAGCCTCCCGAGTAGCTGGGATTACAGGTGCCTGCCACCACATCCAGCTAATTTTTGTATTTTTAGTAGAGACGGGGTTTCACCTTGTTGGCCAGGCTGGTCTCAAACTCCTGACCTCAGGTGAACTGCCCATCTCGGCCGCCCAAAGTGCTGAGATTATAGGTGTGAGCCACCGCAACCAGCCAATATAAGGGGTTTTTTCAAAGGTATATTGACTAAGGTGTTATGAAGATTTTTAGCTCTCAGGAGAAAATCTATATACTAACAGAGAAAGGCCCCCCAAAAAAGTAATATAATAAGGAAAACCTTACTAATTGAACAAGGAAAATAAGGAGATGCTAGCCAATAAGAGACAAGTCATTGAAGACCTGGGAAATTAACAGACAAGCTTGAATTCTGGGCAAATAAAGTGAAAATTTGGTGAAAATAAATCAATAGATTATTGCAATTGCTCCAAGTTTGCAGAAGTTGGCATACTTATGATAAAGTTAATAAAGTGAAAACAGTCTAATATAGAAAATTATTCTTGTAATAACAAAACTTAAAAAAAAGAGAAAGAAAGAAAGAATGACATGGAGCTATTCCAACTGGCCATGGTCCAGAGGCCGGTAATCAGCCACTGGTTATTTAGTGAGTGCTTTTGTCCTCCAGCAATACTCAAATGTTTCCCTAAACTTGTGTCTAACTAAACATTTGGCTTCCTAGGCTAATGGTTTCCTGGATTAATAGCTGTACAAAATTGTGAGCAATTGTTTGAATTGTGAATGGATGGAAATTGTTTTGAATACTTAAAATTAATGGACTACAGTCATATGCTGCCTAATGACGGCTCCAGTCAACTGCGGACATATACGACGGTGGTCTCATGAGATTATAATACTGTATTTTTACTGTGCTTCTTCCAGGTTTAGAAACACAAATATTTACATTGTGTTACAGCTGCCTACATATGTAAAATAAAATTTTCAGCCTACATTTTCAGTACAGTCATATGCTGGACAGGTTTGTACCTAGGAGCAATAGGCTGTACCAAATAATCTAGGTGTGTTAGGAGGCTACACCATCTGTTTGTGTAAGTACACTCTATGATGTTCACACAATGCACAATTGCCTAATGATGCATTTCTCAGCATATGTCCCCATTATAAAACAATGCATGGCTGTAAACTGATTATTAATACTTTTAAAATACATTGATTTATCCTCTGGGGACACAAGATCTACCAGACACCCAGAATCAGAAGATTGAGAGCATTAACTGTGAGGGAAGACTATGCTTTTTACCCCAGGGTAAAGGTGTGTTCCGCTGACACTTCCTATACCAAAGCCTGTGGAATTTCTATGAGTGGAAATGTTACAAACAAAACTGTGTGTGTGAGTATTTTTGAATAGTAAGTTAGGCACTATAAAATGTCCATGGCTCAGTTTGAAATGAAACCTTTGGGATCCGTCGTGACACTGATTTGCACATTCTCAGTAGCATCTGGAATGGAAGATGCACCAAGCCCTCTGCTCTTGCTATGTGTGACCCTCCTCCTCCAGCGAAGTTTCTCTACTATTTATAAAAACAAATTGGGAATGTCATCTGGCCTTGTCAAGTGTATACAACACCATTGACATAAGTAATTCCATCTTAACAAAAGACTCCATCTTCTATTTCACAAAGCACTTTGCCAACAGGGACCAAATGTTTCACCTGATCAACAAAGAGTGCATCCAGCCAGATAAGGGCATCACCAGGCACACTCCTCCACAATCAGTCCTCACCAGAGGACTCTGGGGCTATCAAACAGCAGGACTTCACCAGCTCGAAACAGCCATCTTAACAGACCCCATCTTGCTGTCACTGGTAATTGGTACCCAGAATCTACCACCAAAGGCTCTGCCCACATCAAAGACTCTTCCTTGCAAGACTGATGGGCCACCTGGGCCAGACCAGGAGATTCTTTGGGACTGGTTCATTAACGCTCTTTCCTATCCCCTTTCTCTTGGTGTTAAATGCTACTTTGTTTGTTGTGGAATTTTGTTTTGTTTTGTTTTTTTGAGACGGAGTCTCACTCTGTCACCCAGGCTGGAGTGCAGTGGCACGATCTTGGCTCACTGCAAGCTTCGCCTCCCGGGTTCACGCCATTCTCTTGCCTCAGTCTCCCGAGTAGCCGAGACTACAGGTGCCCACCACCACGCCCTGCTAATTTTTTGTATTTTTAGTAGAGACGGGGTTTCACGGTGTTAGCCAGGATGGCCTCGATCTCCTGACCTCGTGATCCGCCCGTTTCGGCCTCCCAAAGTGCTGGGATTACAGGCGTGAGACACTGCGCCCGGCCAACATTGATATATTAATTAGGTATACTATGATGTATGGTTTGCAATATCGACTGACATGTGGAGTGGCTTGAGCCTGTGTGCCCGCAGCTCTGACCACCGAGTGACCAGGAAGTACTAAGGAGAACTGCCTCCCTGGGAACTCCATGGAGCTGGTGGCTTTTATGATTTAAATAGCATCAATACAAGTCTGACGTGGAAAGACAGCATGTACGGGCCTGGTTATCTCTGACCTTGAGCCACTCATGATACCAAGGGTTTGTCTGGGCTTCTGTGTCGAGTGTGCCTGCCTGCTCTTCCCACCAGTCTGCAGCTCCCTGGGGATGTTCCCCCTCTGCTACAACAGCATTGAGCAGGTAATCCCAGCTACTCGGGAGGCTGAGGCAGGAGAGTTGCTTGAACCCGGGAGGCGGAGGCTGCAGTGAGCCGAGATCGCGCCATTGCACTCCAGCCTGGTGACAGAGCGAGACTCTGTCTCAAAAAAAAAATAATAATAAAATAAAAAATAAATAAACTTTGCAGAAGATGTTTATTTCATTTTCAACAGCAGGTTGACGATGTTCTAAATAATAGTAAGGAATTCGAGGCCTAGAGATGGATTGATAATCCCTCAGTGAAAGGTATATATCTGATTTCATCTTTTTCTCTGATGCATGGGTTTACACAGAAAATTCCTAGCCATAAGATACATCTCCTGTACTCGGTCACATCATATAAAAGAATGATCTTCTACCATTGGAATATGTGTTCCTAGATACCAGAGTCCCAATTCAGAACATATTGGTGAATCAACGAAAAGATACCTCCTCAGCTTACTGTAACCATACAATTCTGTCCCAGGCCCTCTCTGGTAGACTAGAATGGATATACAGGTCTCCAGTGAATTGCTTTCCTCCTGAGGGTGGGGGAGGAGTTAGAACAGTTCTTTTGGTTCACAACTGAACCCTGGCTGCTCTGTAACGCTGCCATCTGAGAATACTGTGAGGACTGAGGACTACACAGAGTTATCTGATTTTTGTCAAATCAAAACAAGAGCCTGAATGTGTATGTGTGTCTGAGAACAGCGAGAAAGTGATAAGCCCAATTTTGCAAAACATGGACATATGTAGAGATGGTCATTAGAATTCTTTTTCAACTTTACTGAGATTTGGCTTTTTTCAAAATAAAAAGCTGAGGTTAAAAAAAGAAAAGGTCATGGCCAGGCATGGTAGCTCACACCTATAATCTCAGCACTTTGGGAGACCGAGGTGGGCAGATCACCTGAGGTTGAGTTCAAGACTAGCCTGGCTAACATAGCAAAACCCCGACTCTACTAAAAATACAAAATTAGCCGGGCATGGTGTCACATGCCTGTAATCCCAGCTACTGAGGAGGCTGAGGCAGGAGAATCGCTTGCACTAGGGAGGCGGAGGTTGCAGTGAGCAGAGATCGCGCCATTGCACTCCAGCCTGGGCAACAAGAGCAAAATTCGGTCTCAAAAAAAAAGAAAAAAGAAAGAAAAGGTCTTTGTTGAATGACCTGGAAGAGCAACTGAATGTTTTTCCTACACAGGAGGAAGGAACTAATGTCATTTTTCTTCAAATATTGTCAGGACAACTCTCTATTATAGCTTATGAAACACACTAAGTGTATTACAAATCTGTGAACTTTCATTATAAAAATGGAGAAATATGAACTGCCCCTCTGAGTTTCATTACCCCAATACAAGTATAATTAATTTGATAGAGAATATTTTTTGCAATTCCCTTTCCTCTGTTAAGGTTTTAATTTGTGTGACTGAAATCATTCTACGTATAATCACAAGATGCAGTTAATTTGGTATGATCATTAAATTACAAGTCTATGTGGAAACTTGTTTTTAAAACTTATTTCTTGAATAGATAATACACTTTCCATATCTATTTCTCTATCAGATATCCCTCTACAGAGAGTCTGAATGTATATATTTCTTTTTAATAAACCAATTATGTCATACTTTTCTATATATTTTTCCCCAAATAATATATTATGAAATTATTTTTTTTTTTGAGAAAAAGTCTCATTTTCACCCAGGTTGGAGTGCAGTGGCGCGATCTCGGCTCACACAACCTCCGTCTGGTGGGTTCAAGCAATTTTCCTGCCTCAGCCTCCTGGGTAGCTGGAATTACAGGCATGCGCCACCACGCCCGGCTAATTTTGTATTTTTAGTAGAGTCAGGGTTTCGCCTTGTTAGCCAGGCTGGTCTTGAAATCCCAGCCTCAGGAGATCTGCCTGCCTCAGCCTCCCAAAGCGGGGGGATTACAGGCGTGAGCCACCGCCTCCGGCCGATCTCATGAAATTCTATCTAAAGACTTTGTGTGTGTGTGTGTGTGTGTGTGTGTGTGTGTGTGTGTTTGTGTGTGTGTGGCTACAGCTGCATGTGTATTCAAAAGCACAGTAGTGTGTTTTATATATTAGGCTCCCTGTCAATAATTTGTTTTCAAATTTTCACTAAAACACATGATGTTACAATAAATAGATTTGTATAATGTAATTTCATATAATACATGTGCAGTTATATATGTGGAGTGAATTTCCTGGAGGTAGAAATACTGGATCAAAAATTATGTGCATTGGAATTTTTATAGATGTCATAGTTCTCCAGAGAAATGCTCACATACATTTTTACTTGCAAGTCTCTCTTCCCCTTTACTCCAGCCCGTGGTGTAATCAAAACTTTAATGCATGTGATTTTTTTTTTACTCTAAATACAGAATATATGCATGTATATTAGTGTGTGTAAATGTATGTGTATATACACGCATACACATGTTCACACAAAGAGACTTAAGAATAATAAAACACCTCTGTACCCGTCACCTAGTTTATACAACAAAGAATAGGATATTAACTAGTACCTTAGAAACTTTCTGTGGACTTCTCCCTGATTGCTTTTGTCTCCCTTCCTCCCTGAAATAACTACTATTCTGTATTTATATATCTTTTTTTTTTTTTTGAGACGGAGTCTCACTCTGTCTCCAAGGCTGGAGTGCAGTGGCACCATCTCGGCTCACTGCAACTTCCACCTCCTGAGTTCAAGTGATTCTTCTGCCTCAGCCTCCCGGGTAGCTGGGACTACAGGCACCCGCCAACACACCTGGCCAATTTTTGTATTTTTAGTAGAGATGAGGGTTTGCCATGTTAGCCAGGCTGGTCTTGAACCCTGGACCTCAGGTGATCTGTCCACTTCGGCCTCCCAATGTGCTGGAATTACAGGAGTGAGCCACCGTGCCCAGCCTATATGTCTTTTTTTTCCTTTTTTTTTTTTTTTTGTAGAGATGGTATCTCACTATGCACCCCAAGCTGGTCTCAAACTCATTGGCTCAAGTGATCCTCCCATCTCTGCCTCTCAAAGTGCAGGGACTACAAGGCATGAGCCACTGCACCCAGCTTGTATTGATAACTTGTGTATACTTGCATTGTCTAGTTTTCTTGGTTTACAGACAGTATTTACAGATTAAGGAAGTTAATCCTTTGTCTATGATGTCAGTTGCAGATTTCTCTCAGCTGCTTGTTTTGATGGTTTTTCTTGTGGTCTTTGCCAAGTAGTCAAATCTTCTGTAGTTTTTGAAGTTTGCGTTATGTTTGGACAAATCCTCCCCACTGTGACACTGTGAGATTGTTAAAAAAAAAAAAAAAAAAAACCTCCTTTAATGAATAGTTTTTTTCTCTTTTCAATTGGTTTTTCTTTCTTTCTTTCTTTTCTTTTTCTTTTTTTTTTTTTTTTTTTGAGGCAGATTCTTACCCTGTCACAAGGCTGGAGTGCAGTGGCACGATCTCAGCTCGTTGCAACCTCTGCCTCCCAGGCTCAAGCAATTCTCCTGCCTCAGCCTCCTAAGTAACTGGAATTATAGGCATCTACCACCACACCTGGCTAATTTTTGTATTTTTAGTACAGATGGGGTTTCACCATGTTGGCCAGGCTGGTCTCAAACTCCTGACCTCAAGTGATCCACCCTGCTTGGCCTCCCAAAGTGCGGGATTACAGGCATGAGGCACCGTGCCTGGCCTCGGTTGTTATGTTTACATAGATCCTTTTCTGAATTTCAGAATTGGTAATCATTCCTTAGAATGGCACTCCCAACAGAGACTGATACTTATATACAGAGTCTGTGTACAGAGTCTATATACAGAGTCTTACATATTTCCTTTTTCAGAATCTCTATTAGAAAATGGCCAGTGTTGGCTGGGCGTGATGGCTCATGCCTATAATCCCAGCACTTTGGGAGGACAAGATGGGCAGATCACAAGGTCAGGAGTTCAAGATCAGCCTAACCAATATGGTGAAACCCCGTCTTTACTAAAAATACAAAAATTAGCTGGGCATGATGGCACACGCCTGTAATCACAGCTACTCAGGAGGCTGAGGCAGGAGAATCACTTGAACCCAGGAGGCGGAGCTTGCAGTGAGCCGAGATCCCACCACTGCACTCCAGCCTGGGCGACAGAGTGAGACTCTGTCTCAAAAAAAAAAAAAAAAAGAAAAGAAAAGAAAATGGCCATTGTTAAATAATTAAAACCTTATACGTGGGGCTTCTGGTTCGCCTGGTGTTGTAGCTCCGAATTTTACAGAAAACAGTCACTAATTCAGAATTTTTATTTTAATTTATTTTAGAGACAGGGTTTTGCTCTGTCACCTAGGCTAGAGTGCAGTGGCACAAATCACGGCTCCCTGCAGCCTAGAACTCCTGGGCTCAAGTGATCCTCCCACCTTCACCTCACTCCTAAGTAGCTGGGACTACAGGGAAATGCTACTATGCCTGGCCACTAATTCAAAATGTAAAGAATATCTGGCCAGGCACGGTGACTCATGCCTGTAATCCCACCACTTTGGGAGGCTGAGGTGGGTGAATCACCTGAGCTCAGGAGTTCGAGACCAGCCTGGCCAACATGATGAAACTCCATCTCTACTGAAAATACAAAAACTTAGCTGGGTATGGTGGTGGGCACCTGTAATCCCAGTTACTTGGGAGGATGAAGCAAGAAAATCACTTGAATCCACGAGGTGGAGGTTTCAGTGAGCTGAGACGGTGCCATTGCACTCCAGCCTAGGCATCAGGAGTGAAACTCCGCCTCAAAAAAAAAAAAAATCTGGCTTTAGAAGTATACTGAATATTTTAATATTGAAATCTGTTTTCATTTTTAAAGAGTGTTAATACCAGTTATAGAGAAAATTTGGATTGGCTACATCAAATTCTACCACCTGGAGATAAACCAGTGCTGCTAACATTTTAATGTGTTTTCTTTCTATTTATTTCTGTATGATTGTATACATATTTTTATATTAAAAATAAAGTAGAATTGGGATATTTAGAATTTTAGATCCTGCTGATTTCATATTATAATTTGATACATCTTTCTGTGTCAGTACAAATCTAATCATTCTAATAGCTACATGGCTACAGGCTATTGGTTTCCCATAAATGAATTACCCAAGTTTTTATTGAATCCAGTTATGTTGTTTATAATTTTTGCTTATCTGTACATATGATAGACAATACAACCTGGTTTCAATCACACTTAATTTTGCTATTTTGGGCTGAAGTTTCCAGGAAAGTGCATTTCTTTTGTTTTTGTTTTTTGTTTTTTGTTTTTTGTGAGACGGAATCTCACCTGTTGCCCAGGCTGGAGTGCAATGGTGTGATCTCGGCTCACTGCAACCTCCACCTCCCAGGTTCAAGTGATTCTCCTGCCTCCCGAGTAGCTGGGATTACAGGCGTGCACCACCAAACCTGGCTAATTTTTGTATTTTTAATAGAGACAGGGTTTCACCATGTTGGCCACTCTGGTCTCGAACCTCTGACCTCGTGATCCACCCGCCTTGGCCTCCCAAAGTGCTGGGATTACAGGTGTGAACTACCGCGCCTGGCCAGAAAGTGCATTTCTTTTTTTTTTTTTTCGAGACAGAGCCTTGCTCTGTCGCCCAGGCTGGAATGCAGTGGCTCAGTCTTGGCTCACTGCCACCTCTGCCTCCCAGGTTCAAGCGATTCTCCTGCCTCAGCCTCCCAAGTAGCTGGGATTACAGGCGTGCACCACCACACCCAGCTAATTTTTGTATTTTTAATAGAGACAGGGTTTCACCATGTTGGCCAGGCTGGTCTCAAACTCCTGACCACAGTTGATCTGCCCACCTCAGCTTCCCAAAGTGCTGGGATTACAGGCGTGAGCCACCACACCTGGCCAAGTATAGTGCCTTTCAAATGGACATAATGCATAGAGATTGGGAGCCTTTTGATATATCTGTAGAACCGGGCCCAGCCACTTAAAAATAATCCAGGATCCATGGTCAGCAGTGAGAAAGACGCTTGCATTAAAAAGTAGTTCCTGGCTGGGTGTGGTGGCTTTCACCTGTAATCCCAGCACTTTGGGAGGCCGAGGCGAGTGGATCATGAGGTCAGGAGTTTGAGACCAACCTGGCCAATATGGTGAAACCCCATCTTTACTAAAAAATACAAAAAACTAGCTGGACGTAGTGGCCTGCGCCTATAGTCCCAGCTACTCAGGAGGCTGAGGCAGGAGAATTGCTTGAACCGGGAGGCAGAGGTTGCAGTGAGCCGAGGTCACACCACTGTACTCCAGCCTGGGCGATACAGCAAGACTCTGTCTCAAAAAAAAAAAAAAAAAAAAAAAGGTTCCTATACAATTACTTGAGGAGAATTAAAAGAACAAATGCAGCTTGAAGTCTGATATGCAAAATTATGTTTGTATTGGATGAAGAGGGGCCGTTAGGCTGATACCAGTCCTGCTCAGGCCTGAGTCAGTGAATATATAAAATCTAATTCCACCTGGAGAGAGGGGCACAGCTCAGAGCTTTCCTTCTAGAACTGTACCGACCAACACACTAGCCACTAGCCACATGTGCTTAACTAAATTCAAACTGATTAAAACAAAATGAAATGAAAACGTCAGTTCTTCAGCCAGCTGAGCACATTTAAGTACCCAGTAGCCACCTGTGGCTAGCAGTGACCATATCAGATGCAGCAGGTCTACAACACTGCCATCCTTTCCAGAAGCACTGTGCGAGGAAATCAAACTGACAGCCTTTTGCAAAATATGCTGGAGCCAGAAATTGGGTTGGGAGGATTCTATTAGAAAGCTATTTTTGTACCCCATTTGAAGACAGTGTTAGTAAAAGGGCTAAGAGATTGATATGAGACGATATTCAGTTATTATAGAGTGTAAAATGGGATGCTGTAATTTGTGGCTTGGGAGACGGGCAGATAGAAATGTCAGGAAGAGAAATACGGAGCACAGAGGATGAGCCAAGTGTAGAGGAAAGGTCCTCTGGGGATGTGCTAAGTTGAATAGTCAGGGGTCTCCATAGAAAGCAGGTCAAAGTATTGGTGCTTAGAATGATCTGAGTCTTAGACTGATGAGTACATTTTGGGCACAAGCCAGACAATGACTTTCTTTTTATTAGTTGCTTATTTGGCTGCTCTTTGATTTGTTTTGAGAGTCTTTTGCTTTTGTTTTATTTTAACTTTTTTTTTTTTTTTGAGACGGAGGTTCACTCTTGTTGCCCAGGCTGGAGTGCAGTGGCGCGATCTCAGCTCGCTGCAACCTCCGCCTTCCGGGTTCAAGCGGTTCTCCTGCCTTAGCCTCCTGAGTAGCTGGGATTACAGGCACCCACCACCATGCTTGGCCAATTTTTTGTATTTTTAGTAGAGATGGGATTTCATCATGTTGGCCAGACTGGTCTCGAACTCTTGACCTCAGGTGATCCGCCCACCTCGGCCTCTCAAAGTTCTGGGATTACAGGCATGAGTCACCACGCTCAGCCTTATTTTAACTTTTATTTCATGACTAGATATACAGAAGCCTATTAGGAAGCTTACTTTTTATAAAATTAGGTAAATTTTTTTTTTTTAATTTATTTTTTTATTGATAATTCTTGGGTGTTTCTCACAGAGGGGGATTTGGCAGGGTCATGGGACAGTAGTGGAGGGAAGGTCAGCAGATAAACAAGTGAACAAAGGTCTCTGGTTTTCCTAGGCAGAGGACCCTGCGGCCTTCCGCAGTGTTTGTGTCCCTGATTACTTGAGATTAGGGAGTGGTGATGACTCTTAACGAGCATGCTGCCTTCAAGCATCTGTTTAACAAAGCACATCTGGCACCGCCCTTAATCCATTTAACCCTGAGTGGACACAGCACATGTTTCAGAGAGCACAGGGTTGGGGGTAAGGTGACAGATCAACAGGATCCCAAGGCAGAAGAATTTTTCTTAGTACAGAACAAAATGAAAAGTCTCCCATGTCTACTTCTTTCTACACAGACACGGCAACCATCCGATTTCTCAATCTTTCCCCCACCTTTCCCGCCTTTCTATTCCACAAAGCCGCCATTGTCATCCTGGCCCATTCTCAATGAGCTGTTGGGTACACCTCCCAGACGGGGTGGTGGCCGGGCAGAGGGGCTCCTCACTTCCCAGTAGGGGCGGCCGGGCAGAGGCGCCCCTCACCTCCCAGACGGGGCGGCTGGCCGAAAATTAGGTAAATTTTATATTGAATCAGGTGAACAAATCTTAAGTGTAAATTCAATGAGCTTTTATATACAGTGCTTATCTACCAGTGACGTTACCACCTAGATCAAGATTCAAAAAATGTCCAACAGGCTCCAAGGTCATCTGATACCCTTCCCAGATAGTACCTAATCTCTCAACAGATAGCCATTATTCTGACTTTTTTCACTTTGTCACACAGGCTGAAGCGATCCTCCCACCTCAGCCTCCCAAGTAGCTGGGACTACACATGCGTGCCACCATGCTCAGCTAATTTCTTATTTTTTTTTTTTGTATTTTTGGTAGAGACAGGGTTCCGCCATGTTGCCCAGGCTAGTCTCAAACTCCTGAGATCTGCCTGCCTCGGTCTCCCAAATTGCTGGGATGACAGGTGTGAGATACCATGCCTGGCCCTGATTTTTATTACAAGATTAGTTTTGCCTGTTCTTGAACTTTATATAAATGGAATAAAAGAGTATGCATTTCTTGATGTGAAGTTTCTTTTGCTCAAGATGAGGGTCATGAGATTTTTCATGTGTATCCACATCAGTAGGGATTTTATTATTGTTGCTTCTGTCTGTATCGTATCCCATTTGCTCATCTGTTCTCCTATTGGTGGACATTTAGATTGCTTCTAAATTTTAGTTATTGTTAATGAAACTTCTGTAAATATTATTGTTCATGTTTTTGATGGTCGCATGCATTGGTGTCTCATGGATATGTACCTAGAAGTGTAATGAGTTCTAAGACATGTGCCAATAAAATAATATATCCAACATCTCACGTATAATTCATGTATTGGCATTTTCTTATTTGTTGCATGATGTGTGTGTGTTTGTGTGTGCGCAGAGATCTACAGCATTTTGTAGATGTTGTCTTAGTGGTAACTAAGTTAAAAAATAGAATGGCAAAAATGATCTCTGAAATTTTTTAAAACCTTCAATATTATAAAATACCTAGGAATTAATAAGAAATGTGAAAGATTTATGGGGAAGTTAATCATAAGACTTACTTCAGCCAGGCATGGTGGCTCATGCCTGTAATCCTAGCACTTTGGGAGTCCAAAACGGGTGGATCACGAGGTCAGGAGTTCAAGACCACCCTGGCCAACATAGTGAAACCCTGTCTTTACTAAAAATACAAAAATTAGCCAGGCGTGGTGGTGGGCACCTGTAATCCCAGCTACTTGGGAGACCGAGGCAGGAGAATCTGCTTGAACCTGGGAGGCAGAGACTGCAGTGAGCCAAGATCGCGCCACTGCACTCCAGCCCTGGGGGACGCAGTGAGACTCTGTCTCAAATATATATATATATATATATATATATATATATATATATATATATATATATATATTTGTGTATATATATATATATATATTTGTGTATATATATATATATGTGTGTGTAAAAATACATATGTAAAATATGTATAATATATATATTTTATATATATGTATAATATATACATATATATAAAAAATAAGACTTACTTAAAAGACTTTAAAAGTGGGAGGACGCACAATTTTCCTAAGTGGAACACTTGTATAAAGACAAATGCCAATTCTCACCTAATTTCCAATGTGAGTCCAAAAATAGTCTCTCCAGAATTGTCTTGGAATGCAAAAACTGTTTCTAAAGTACACGAAATAGTAAGTATGAAAATAGCCAATAAAAGTGCCTAAAAGAAAAATAATGATATGGAGAATCCCAACCAGATATAGATAATAAACTCTTCAATTAACAGGTTGGGACAGTAGGCTACATTTAGGAATAAAACATATATCCTAACTGCAGTAACAAATTCCAGGCTTGGCCCAGTGTCTCATGCCTATAATTCCAGCACTTTGGGAGGCTGAGGCAGAAGGATTGCTTGAGACCAGGAGTTTGAGACCAGCCTGGACAAGACCCTGTCTCTACAAAAAAATTTAAAAATTAGCCAGGAATAGTGGCATGTGCCTGTAGCCTCAGGTACTTGGGAGGCTGAGGCAGGAGGATTGCTTGAGCCCAGGGGGTCAAGGCTGAAGTGAGCTATGATTGTGCTACTGCACTCCAGGCTTGGCAACAGAGCAAGACCCTGTCTCTAAATAAAATAAAGTAAAACTGTGGGTGGGACTGTAAACTAGTTCAACCACTGTGGAAGACTGTGGCGATTCCTTAAGGATCTAGAACTGGAAATACCATTTGACCCAGCCATCCCATTACTGGGTATATACCCAAAGGATTGTAAATCTTGCTGCTATAAAGACACATGCACACATATGTTTATTGTGGCACTATTCACAACAGCAAAGACTTGGAACCAACCCAAATGTCCATCAATGATAGACTGGATTAAGAAAATGTGGCACATATACACTATGGAATACTATGCAGCCATAAAAAAGGGTGAGTTCATGTCCTTTGTAGGGACATGGATGAAGCTGGAAACCATCATTCTCAGCAAACTATCGCAAGGATAAAAAACCAAACACCACATGTTCTCACTCATAGGTGGGGAATTGAACAATGAGAACACTTGGACACAGGGTGGGGAACATCACACATTGGGGCCTGTCATGGGGTGGCGGGAGGGGGGAGGGATAGCATTAGGAGATATACCTAATGTAAATGTCGAGTTAATGGGTGCAGCACACCAACATGGCACATGTATACATACGTAACAAACCTGCACGTTGTGCACATGTACCCTAGAACTTAAAGTACAATAAAAAAATTAAAAAATCATAAAAAAATAAAATAAAGTAAAATAAAATAAAAATAAATGCCAGATGGCTTAAAAACAGAAGTTCAAACAAAATCCAACAGTGTGAAAGAGTTTACCAAAAAAAGCTTTTTAATTCTGAAATATAAAAGGCTTTTCTAAGCATGCAATAAATCCCAGATAGCCTAAAATGAAGGCTGAAATATTTAAAACTACATGAAATTAAAGACAAATGGCAAACTAGAGAAAATGTTCTGTAACATATGTGACAAAATATTAATAGTCTTACTATAAAGAGTTCTAACACATCAATAAAGAAAAGACAAAGAATCCAATACAAAACAAGTTGAGGACATAAAAATGTATTTCACCTTGGAAGAGACAAAAATACACAGTCCATATGCACTTGCCTTCACTAATAATGCATGTGTCTAGTTCCTTGTTGACAAGGGTGTGAAGAATCAGACACTGCCACCATTAACTGGAGGGTGTGTATATGAGTACAATCTCTTTGCAGGGCAAATTGGAAAAAAGATATATGAAAATGCATTGGTGTTTACCATATCCAGTTCTGGGACTTACCTCATGGAAAGAATTGGGCAGGTGCACAAATACATATTATGAGACATTTATTACAAAATTGTTATAAAAGGAGAAAAGGTCAATAGGGGAATGGCTAAATAAATTAAGAAACATTCTGTAGCTATTAAACAGAAGACAAATTATATAGAGATAGAGAGATAAAATAGATTTACAAAATTACTGTAATATATTTTGAGTAATAAAATCAACTTCCATAAAAACTTTTAGATTTATATGTCCTGAGAATTCCAGGCTAAGTAGTTTACACGGATCATCTCATTCAATCCTCAGAGCCCTGATTGTCTAGTACATCAAAACATTTATTACAAATGTGTCTCTTCACTAAGAGCCGCCTTCAATGCACAATACAGCAATGGCCAAGGCTGTTGTGGAAAAATTTTCTGACTTTTATGGTTCAGTCTTTAATGAATTTTTATTATTTTTGTTTTGTTTTACTTTTATGGAATTTTCAAACGTATTAAAAGTGGGGAGAAAAATAAAATGCGTCCTCATGTGTTGCCAGAGTAGCCTCAGTGAGCGCCAGCACCTGCCCGTCTTGTTCCAGCTCTACCCCACCTGTCCTGGAGAGCTCTGACCCGAATCGTGGACGCCGTCACTGCACCACGGACATTCCGGTGAGCAGCTCCAAAGCCAAGCCACAGCCTCCCTTATGTACCACTTTGTTGTCAACGTGATAGCTATATTTCTTTTTGTTTGTTTGTTTGTGTTTGTTTTTTTATTTTCGCTCTTGTTGCCCAGACTGGAGTGCAGTGGCGTGATCTCGGCTTACCGCAACCTCTGCCTCGCTCAAGCGATTCTCCTACCTCAGCCTCCGGAGTAGCTGGGATTACAGGCATGCACCACCATGCCCGGCTAATTTTGTATTTTTAGTAGAGATGGGGTTTCTCCATGTTGGCCAGGCTGGTCTCGAACCCCTGACCTCAGGTCATCCGCCCGCCTCAGCCTCCCAAAGTGCTGGGATGACAGGCGTGAGCCACCGCGCCCGGTCTCATAAGAGCGCTATTTATTTTTCTGCGCTTTCAAACTTATTCTGTGCATTTAACTGCATGTTAGTATTGTATAGTACGGGCACAGCACAGATTTTTAAAATCATTTCTCTATTAATATGCATTTTAGCTGTCAGTTTTTCACTGTAACAAGCTGTGCTGTAATAATCTTTCTACAATGCTTTTTCTTTCTCTTGTTGGGGTGGGGGCGGGAGTAGGGTGGCGTATGTTGAATATTTCAGATAGATGCCCAGAAATGAATTGGTTGGATATTTAACAGATAGAAAAATAAAATAAAATAAAATTTATTTTTTATTTTTATTTCTTGATAAGGGTCTCGCTGTCTTGCCCAAGCTGGAGTGCAGTGGCGCGATCTCAACTCTCTACAACCTCCGCCTCCTGGGTTAAAGTGACTCCCACCTCAGCCTCCTGAGTAGCTGGGATTACAGGCGAGGACCACCACGCTCAGCTAATTTTTGCATTTTTTTGCAGAGAAGGGGTTTCGCCATGTTGTCAAAGCTGGTCTGGAACTCCTGGGCTCAAATGATCTGCCTGCCTCAGCCTCCCAAAGTGCTGGGATTATGGGTGTGAGCCACTGCACCCTGCCCCAAATTTTTGTATGATATTTCTATGCTGTAAATCTGCCAGGGACTTTTCATCTCATTCAGACTAAAAGTCAGAGTCTTATAATGGCCTACAAGGGCCCCAAGGGTGATCTGGACCCTCATGTCCCACCTCCACCCCCACTAGGGCATTATCTCCCATCTCCCCTCCTCAGACTGAACTCTCTGCTGCAGTAACTCCAACTCCCCTGTTCTTCAAACACACAACACGCACTGCCAGTCGAGGCCCTGACACATGCTGGCCATTAGGCCTGGAATACCCTCCCGGAAACAGCCCCACGGCTCCTACCCATGCTGCTTCCATCTAATGCTCAATAACAATTTTAACAGGAATTTTTTAAACTAGAAATCTGATTCTGAAGAAGGTATGGAAAAATAAGTGAATAAGAATAACAGGCAAAAGTATAAATCTGAGAAATACTTTATGCAAGTAATTAGCCCTACAAGATAATAAAACAATAATAATTAGGCTGGGTGCAGTGGCTCACGCTTGTAATCCCAGCACTTTGGGAGGTCAAGGCAGATGAATCACAGGGTCAGGAGTTCGAGACAAGCCTGGCTAATATGGTGAAACCCCATCTCTACTAAAAATACAAAAATTAGCTGGGCGTGGTGGCAGTTACCTGTAATCCCAGCTACTTGGGAGGCTGAGGCAGGAGAATCACTTAAACCTGGGAGGCAGAGGTTGCAGTGAGCAGAGACTGGGCCACTGCACTCCAGCCTGGGAGATAGAGCGAGACTCCGTCTCAAAATAAATAAACAAATAAGTAAATAAATAAATGAATAAAATAATAATAATAACATTGAAAACACAGTATTACTAGAATATGAAGATATAGACTCATCAATGAAACAGAATGAAGTCCAGTAAAAGACTCAAATACATATGGAAATCTAGTATTGATAAAGGTGATATTTCAAATCAATTGAGAAAGATGGATTATTCTACAAATAGTGTTGCAACAAGAGGAGCTATTTGAAGAAAAAAATTAATTGTATCTCTACCTCACACTTTAAACCAAAATAAATCCCAATGTTCACATACTTACACTTCAAAACTGATACCATAAAAGTGCTAAAAGAAAACACAGTTGAATACTTTTATAAAATTGGAATATATTAGCCTCCTCAGTATATTAAACTCAAAAACAACAAAAATCACAGATTGATTTGACTTTTAAAATAAGGCCGGGCGCAGTGGCTCACGCCTGTAATCCCAGCACTTTGGGAAGCCGAGACAGGCAGATCACCTGAGGTCAGGAGTTAGACACCAGCCTGACCAACATGGAGAAACCCTGTCTCTACTAAAAATACAAAATTAGCTGGGCGTGGTGGTGCATGCCTGTAGTCCCAGCTACTCGGGAGGCTGAGGCAGGAGAATCGCTTGAACCTGGGAGGCGGAGGTTGAGGTGAGCTGAGATCGTTCCATTCACTCCAGCCTGGGCAACAAGAGCAAAACTCTGTCTCAAAAAAAAAATTATAATAATAATAATAATTAAAATTTTTCACATAACTAAAAATTTAAAATAATAAAGATGAAATAAATGTTAAATTAGAAAGCAAATATATGTCTTATATCATAGACAAGAAACTAACTTAATCTATGAGATGCTTTTTCAAATGAATGAGGAAACAAACAGGAAAATAGGCAAAGAATGTAAGAAGTAGTTTACAGAAGAATGTAAATTGTTCTTAAGCTTATAAAAGATGTTCTTAATAAGGAAAATGCAAACTAAATCTACCGGAGATAACGTTTCTTACCCTTGAATTTGTCAGTAATTCAAAATGTTGACAACCTACTTTGGGCAAGGCTGCAGAAACAGAGGCCCGCTGGGACCACAGTCTGTGGGACCGTGAAGCTCTCTGGCTCCACCGCGGTCCGTGGCACCGTGAAGCTCTCTGGCTCCACCACGGTCCGTGGCACCGTGAAGCTCTCTGGCTCCACCACAGGGGCCTCTGTGTGTGTTCTCCCAGGCACTTCCACTTAGAGCTTCCTTTGTTAACGCCTAGTTAATGCTGATGCATTCGTCCGAGCCCACTTCAGCATCATCTCCTCAAGGAACCCTTCCCTGACCTGGCTTCCATCCCCAATCCTCTCCTGCCCTGCATGCTCATAATACTTATTCATAGCACCTCTCAAAAAGGGTTATTTATTCATCTGGCACTTGCTTTTCTCACTCAAAGTCAAAATTTACAAGGTCAAAATCTTTAGCGATCCTTTCCTCCAATATTTGGCTCCTACTGGGTGTAGTTGCATGGCAATTAAAGAATAAACTTTTAGTTATCTGTGCCATTTCATTACGTTCTCTCAGCCTCTGTTGTCTCAAGAAAATATAAGCGTCCTTGGGAGATTGTGACTGTTAAATGAGATATAAAGTCCATAACATAATGCTTGACACAGAGTAAACCCTCAACACAGGGAAGCTATACTAATATTTAATTATAATTATCATTACCAAGGCAATGTGTGCCTGGTTGGGACAGATTAACATGTGCCAAGCTTCAGTTGTTGGTTTTCTTTTTGTTTTTGTTTTTGTTTTGAGATGGAGTCTGGCTCTGTTGCCCAGGCTGGAGTGCAGGGGCGCGATCTCGGCTCACTGCAAGCTCCGCCTCCCGGGTTCACGCCATTCTCCTGCCGCAGCCTCGGTTGTGCTCACCTCTGCTCCACTACTGTTGCAGTGGCTATGTTCTGTCGAAACTCTTATTTACTGAATATTTTACTTTCAGTGACTAACTTCTTTAAATTAAATGTCTACTTTAACCTCACACAAAATTAATCTCTGCAAAAGTATTAGTTTTTTATGTATTTTCTGCAATAAATCGTTATCTAATAAAAAGCTTTCCTGGTGATCACCAAAATTATCATGAGAAGATGCTACTTGACTCAGTCCTTGGGAAATGCGGAGATAAATAATCACTTGATGTTTATCATTCCCCTTCTTTGCATGTCTCTAAATTGTACCTATTAGAATTATTTATCTCTGTGTTTATCTTCATCATTAACTGGGATGTCTAAGGGCAAGGACTGTGACTGTAAATTCTACTGCCGGTGATTACTAAGATACTTTCCCAGAACAGAGGCTCAATAAATATTTGCTAAATGAATTAAACAGTTTTTGAATGCCTACATTGATTAAGAAATATGCTAGACATGTTGGCAGGACTCAAAGAATAATCAGAGATTCTCAATCAAGAAGTTAGCAAGTTATAAAAGAAATATGTTTATTTTTCTATAAAAATGTATATGTTATACAACTTATAGGTATGTTATACGTATGTAGTTACTTTCCATGAATGTTAAGAGTAAAGATAAACAACTTTTTAGCTAAAAATTACATTCAAGCTATACCTTGACAAATAAGGATGTGAATTGACAATGTGTGTGTTTTTGCCTGTGTTTGCTTGTATAGAGGTTACATGTAAGCTTCCTACAAGATGCAAAGGTACAAAAGGTGTTGCAGTGAAAAGTAAGTTTCCCTGAAATCTCTGACCCCGTGTGCCAGTTCTTCCACCCAGGACCCCTTGTTACAAGTTTCTCCCCTCCACTACCACTTGGAGCTATTCTGTGCATATGGAATTAAGATTCCAATTGAAGATGGAGGGAGAGGCTGGAGAGAGGCAATTCCAAAACAGAGAATTACACATGCAAAGCCGTCGAGGTGAAGAAGTGGAGAAACGTGAGGGAAAAAGTGAGGAAATAATGAGTGAAATTATGACCAATAGAGCAGGAAACAGTGAAGCAGGGTACTGTGGCTCATGCCCGTAATCCCAGAACTTTGGGAGGCCAAGACAGGAGGACGGCTTGAGCCCAGGAGTTTCAGACCAGCCTGGGCAACATAGGGAGACCCCAGACCCATACATTTTAAAAAATAAATTAGCTGGGTGTGGTGGTTTGTGCCTGTGGTCCCAGCTCTTCAGGAGGCTGAGGTGGGAGGATCACTTGAGCCCAGGAGATGGAGGCTGCAGTGAGCCGAGATTGCACCACTGCACTGCGGCCTGGGCAACAAGTGAGATCCTGTCTAAGAAAAAATAAAAAAGGAAGAAAGAAAGGAAAGAAAGAAAAGAAAGGAAGAAAGGAGGGAAGGAAGGAAGGAAGGAAGGAAAAAAGAAAGGAAAATGAAGGAAGAAAATAATGGCAAAAATCAGTTGGTAAAATGTAAACAGTCCCTGGCAATTACAAAAATGTAATCATTAATGCCTTTAGAATGTGAGGATAATTAATAAATTTCACATTAAAGAAAAGAACATTAAAGTAATAGTGTGATATCGCTTTTCAACTATAAATTATAATGATCTCAAAATGTGATAGCAATGTGTTGGCCAGTGTGAAGGAAAATGGTGCTTTTATACATTGCTGATGGAAGTATAAACTGACATAATCCATGGAAGAAAATTTGCCAATATTCATTAAAATTTTAAATGCATTTACTCTTTGATATGGCAGTTTTACTTCTAGGATATTGCTATGGTTTTAATGTGTCACCTCCAAAATTCAGGTGTTAAGGGAGGGCCAGGAAAGCTCCTTCCCTTGTGAATGGAATTAAGGCATGTGTATATATATGTGTATGTAAATTGTATATATAAGGCCTTTGTGTGTGTGTGTATACACCTTTAAAGCCATATATATATAATATATATATATATATATATATATATATATAGGCTTTACCCAGGTTTTGGCTTCCTTGTCCTTCTGCCTTCTGCCATGTGAGGACACAGCACGTCTACCCCTCCAGAGGGTACAGCATCAAGGTGCCATCTCGGAAGCAGAAGGCAGCCCTCACCAGACAACTGGCACCTTGACCTTGGACTTCCCAGCTTCCAAAATTGTGAGAAAATAAATTTCTGTTCTTAATAAATTATCTGGTCTCAAGTGTTTTGTTATAGCCGCACAAGGAAAAATTATTTTCCAAACACTCATATGTATGAGCAATGCTATCCATACAAGAACACGTAGTACAGCATTGTTTAAAAATCACAAAATTCGGCCGGGCACAGTGGCTCACGCCTGTAATCCCAGCACTTTGGGAGGCCGAGGCGGGTGGATCACCTGAGGTCAGGAGTTCAAGACCAGCCTGACCAACATGGAGAAACCCCATCTCTACTAAAAACACAAAATTAGCCGGGCATGGTGGCGCATGCCTGTAATCCCAGCTACTCGGAAGGCTGATTCAGGAGAATCACTTGAACCTGGGAGGCGGAGGTTGCGGTGAGCCGAGATCGTGCCACTGCACTCCAGCCTGGGCAGCAAGAACAAACTTCTGTCTAAAGAAAAAAAAAAAAATCACAAAATTCTAGAAATTGAAATACCACCAATAAAAGATTGGTCAAATAAATTGAGGACACAGTTATACAAGGAATGCTATGTCACTTTTATAAAGAAGAGAGAGTTTTCCCAAAATTGATATAAAATTACACCCAAAATACAGTTGAGGCAAAAGGTAGAATACAGGAAATATGTACAAGATGTTCCCATTTGAAGGTAGAAAAAAGGATATCTATGGTGTGTACATACACGCATATATGTCTAACTGTCTTTATATAGATATACACATGCTTAGGTGGGCTTATAATATCTCTAGAGAAAGACAAAACAAATAAAGTTGCGACTGCCTCTGGGGGTAGAAACCAGGTATCTATAGGGATAAAAGGAAAAGTTACTTTTCACTTTTTACCATTTTGTAGCCAATGAATTGTATAGTCATTAAGTCAGCAAATATTTGTAAGCACCTACTAAGTATCAGGTACTTTTGCAGGCATTGGAGATAAAGTTCCCACTCTCCTGAAGTTTATATTGTACATGTGCATGTTATTTAAAAATTAAAGTTCATAAGACAAATATGATCTATGTACTGTAGCTAAAACAAATATTATTTACTTTTTAATTCTTCTCACTACATAAATTAAAAGTAATTATTTTAACACTTTTTCTTTTTTAAATCTAAAATTGTATTCGTCTTTTTTTTTTTTTGAGACAGAGTCTTGCTCTGTCACCCAGGCTGAAGTGCAGTGGTGTGATCTTGGCACACTGCAACGTCTGCCTCCCAGGTTCAAGGGATTCTCGTGCCTCAGCCTCCCAAGTAGCTGGAATTACAGGCGCACACCACACCATGCCCAGCTAATTTTAGTATTTTTAGTTCAGATGGGGTTTCACCATGTTGACCAGGCTGGCCTCGAACTCCTGACCTCAAGTGATTGACCCACCTCGGCCTCCCAAAGTTCTGGGATTATAGGCATGAGCCACCGCGCCCAGCCAGTCTTTAAGATAAAATACAAGCATTAAAAATTAATTACTTTTTTCACATCAGTTTTAAGTACAAGTAAAACTATGTATTCAAAATTATTTTTTATTGTAAACTTTTAAAAATTAGGAAGTCAAATCTCAAAGTTAAAAAGTTAGGGATCAGATAAAGGGTACTAAAGTTAGGATAATAGATTTAAAAGTTTAAAAATGAAAGTGTCAACTTTGGTTGACTAATTTAAAGATGATTACACTGGTTCTTTCAGCGGGTTTTATGAAGCTGAATGAACAAAATGGCAGTGCAGGGAAAGCAGGAGGAACAAAGACAGCCCCAGTGCAGTGATCCCAACTTGGGTTCGGAGGTTTTAAGGGCCTGGAAGTTTACACGACCCTGAAGATTTGAGACTGGTTGACTGAGGTAGACTGTGCCCTCATGAAAGGGAGAGGTAGACTGTGCCCACATGGAAGGGAGAGGTAGACTGTGCCCGCATGGAAGGGAGAGGTAGACTGTGCCCGCATGGAAGAGAGAATGAAACCTGGAGCTCATTGTAGAATCTCTTCAGTTCCAGATGATGTCAGGCCTCACCATTAGAAAGAGATGAGAATGAGGCCGGGCGCGGTGGCTCACACCTGTAATCCCAGCACTTTGGGAGGCCGAGGTGGGTGGATCACGAGGTCAGGAGATCAAGGCCATCCTGGCCAATACTGTGAAACCTCATCTCTAATAAAAATACAAAAATTAGCTGGGCTTGGTGGTGCGTGCCTGTAATCCCAGCTACTCGGGAGGCTGAGGCAGGAGAATCGCTTGAACCAGGGAGTCGGCCGTTGCAGTGAGCCATGATCGCACCATTGCACTCCAGCCTGGGCGACAGAGACTCCATCTCAACAAAAATAAAAATAAAAAAAGAGAGAGATGAGAATGTGACTCAAGGACTAGAGCGAAGCAGACAGGTCTGGGTTTGAAATTTAATTTTTCGTGTTTTACTCACACACGAGGTGAGTGTGATCATGCAGAAAAGACCCACAGAAAGAAGGCTTACCATTTGTGGCAAAGCCTAGAAGAGGAGCCATGGAGATCGAAGGGACAATGAATGTACTATGGGGGACACAAGGAATCCAGAGGCAAGGAAACCTATGGCCTTTCTGAAGAGATGAGTTTTTGTTTTGTTTTGTTTTGTTTTGTTTTTGAGACAGAGTTTTGCTCTTGTTGCCCAGGCTGGAGTGCAATGGTACGATCTTGGCTCACTGCAACCTCTGCCTCCTGGGTTCAGGCAATTCTCTTGCCTCAGCCTCCTGAGTAGCTAGGATTACAGGCATGCATCACCACGCCCAGCTAATTTTGTATTTTTACTAGAGACGGGGTTTCTCGACGTTGGTCAGGCTGGTCTCAAACTCCCGACCTTGGGTATCTGCCCACCTTGGCCTCCCAAAGTGCTGGGATCACAGGCGTGAGCCACTGCGCCCAGCCCATAATGAGTTTTGTAAGAAGAATAATGTAGGTAAAGGGTTCAAGTTGTGCAGGTGAAGGTGCTAGATAAAAGGAAAATCAGGAGCTAGTTGGGACAGCACTTTGGAAGTGTTCTGAGGCTGGAAGGCATTTTGTTAGAAGTTTTTTTTGTTTTTGTTTTTGTTTTTGTTTTTGAGAGAGTCTCGCTTTCGCCTAGGCTGGAGTGTAGTGGCGCAATCTCGGCTCACTGCAACCTCCACTTCCCGGGTTCAGCAATTCTCCTGCCTCAGCCTTCCAAGTAGCTGGGACTACAGGCACATGCCGCCACACCTGGCTAATTTTTTTCTGTATTTTAGTAGAGATAGGGTTTCACTGTGTTGCCCAGGCTAGTCTTGAACTTCTGAGCTCAGGCAATCTTTCCGCCTCATCCTCCCAAAGTGCTAGGATTACAGGCGTGAGCCACCGCACCCGGCCTAGAAGTTTAAGTAGTGAGCTACAAGAAAAGGCAGCAGGAAAGAAAAGTAGAAATATGGGTTATTATGAGGTCATGTAGGAATGACTGAGGGATGTTTATTTTTTTGCAGATCAGTTAACTAAGGCCATGAAACTTGAGTGTGTTTTGTGGTGTATCAAGAGATTTGGAAATGCACAAATATTCCACACATGATACACTAGTACCATATTGAATGTGATTGTTCTCCTTATTCAATTGATTGAATTAAATGTCTTTTTGTTTCATTGAGCTGCCTAATTGCTCCATTATAATTTCTATGTATTCCCCAAAAGACCACTTTCCTTAGGTTAAGATACAATGGAATAGCCCACAGAGATAAGCAAAGTATAGGCATCTTCTCCTCCTTTTCGTTGAAGTAGAAATTTATTTGTTTTTGTGTTAAAATTGGATTCAGTGGGGAGGCAAACTCTATTAAATTAAACCATAAAGAAGTTGCATGAATATGGATGGATGGGGTGTTTGTTGGGTGCCTTTCCAACTGTCTACGGAAATCTGAGCCACAGAGAGGCAAAGTCAAACTTCCTTGGGGCAGTGCCGAGAGAGGGCCCGGGGCATGACAGTGCTTTAAACATTAGAGTCTTAGGAAAGCTGTAGGTCACTGGATGTCTATGCAATTGAGCTAGTGTAACACTAAAAAAGGGTCCAATTTTGTCTATTGCTAACTGTAAGAATTATATCCATGAATAAAGAAGATAGCTATGTGGGTGTATTTGTCCATTCTCATGCTGCAATGAAGAAATACCTGAGACTGGGTAACTATAAAAAAAGAGTTTTAATTGACTCACAGTTCCACATGGCTGGGGAAGCCTCAGGAAACTTACAATCATGGCAGAAGGCACCTCTTTACAGGGCGGCAGGAGAGAGAATGAATGCAAGCAGAGGAAATGACAGACGCTTATAAAACCATCAGATCTCATGAGAACTCACTCACTATCATGAGAACAGCATGGGGGAAACTGCCCATGATTCAAATACCTCCCACCAGGTCCCACCCTCACCATGTGGGGATTATGGGGAGTAAAATTCAAGCTGAGGTTTGGGTGGGGACACAGAGCCAAACCATATCAGTGGGTCATATCTGAAGATAGCCAAAGATAACTTAGTAGTTGAGTTCGTTTAGGCTATGTAATCCCACCAGAGATCTTTGAATGTAGGGACAAGTTTGGCCAAATATCTCAGGTACATCTGTGGAAAAGGAAAAGCTAGCCCCTATGTTCCTGACTTGAATAAATGTTAACTTCCTGTTTGAGAGACAGAGCCTTAATTTGGGGAAGATGACCAAAATCAAAAAGAAACACACAAATCTCGTTTCTTTAATTAAAAGTGAAGTGAATCCAATGTGAAAACCAAAAAGCACCAGGCGCAGCGGAAATGACTTTGTCAGCAGGACCAGAGGCCCTTTCGTGTTCTCTTTCCACTTTCAGGAGCCTATGGCTCATTAAGTGCTTCCCAAAGGGAAAGGCGCGATGCATGGCTGGGAGATGTAAGGAGGCAGCAGCTCCTGCAGGCAGGTGGAGCGTGTCACTCACCAGCACATACACATGGGGGAGACTGTTCTGAAACTAAACAGCTGTCCACTTAGGGCTCATCTTAAGCTAAGAAGTCTCCAAAATAGAATTAACCTGCAAAAAGTATATGCGAGAGATGCTCGCTCCAGGTGCTTTTTGAAAAATGAGAACCTTCAGACAGTGATGTGCTACTAATTTATGATTGTTATTTTTGTGAATGATGGTGGTTATTTAACACAAATCATTCCTCTAAGGAAGTGCGGTTCATTTTGTTGTAAGGTTTGGCTTCCTTCCATTTGTTTTGTTGTTATTGTTGTGATTACTGTTTCTGTGGTATCCAAGTTTTGTGATCTATGCAGTTTTCTGATTTCTGCACTTTGGTATTTCTGTAACAAGATTGGGTATCTTTTTTATTTTTTTTTAATGAGACTCAGTCTCACTCTATTGCCCTGGTTGGAGTGCAGTGGTGCAATCTTGGCTCACTGCAACCTCCACCTCCTGGGTTCAAGCAATTCTCCTGCCTCAGCCTCCCAAGTAGCTGGGACTACAGGCGCGTGACACCACGTCCAGCTAATCTTTGTATTTTTGGTAGAGATGGGTTTTCACCATGTTGGCCAGGCTAGTCTTGAACTTCTGACTTCAGGTGATCCGCCCACCTTGGCCTCCCAAAGTGCTGGGATTACAGGCATGAGCCACCATGCCAGGCCAAAATTAGGTATCTTTGGTGATTGTCTTTCTTTTCTTTTTTTTCTTTTTTTTTGTTGTTTGTTTGTTTTGACTGAGTTTTGCTCTGTTGCTCAGGCTGGAGTGCAATGGCACAATCTTGGCTTACTGCAACCTTCGTCTCCTGGGTTCAAGTGATCCTCCTGCCTCAGCCTCCCAAGTAGCTGGGATTACAGGCACCCGCTACCACATTCGGCTAATTTTTGTATTTTTCCGTAGAGACGGGGTTTCACCATGTTGGCCAGACTGGTCTCAAATTCCTGACCCCAAGTGATCCACCTGCCTTGGCCTCTCAAAGTGCTGGCATTACAGACGTGAGCCACCTCGCCCAGCCTTTGGTAAGTCTTTAATTTAGAAGTCATATTTGTGGTTAGATAGATTGGCCTTTTTGCAAAACCCTTTTTCTTGAAATATTGAAGAATGTCAGACATACAGACATCATGCAATATATCTTGAAAAGTAATCCACGTGAATGTAAGGGGTCCAAAGGAGGCCTTAACCTGAATGAATCTTTATTCAAAATAGGTGCTTTTTACAACGAAAATCTTATCTAACTTTATCAAAGTTATTCTCTAACATTTTCTAATTTTTGTGTATGTTTCCACATGTTCTTCATTCATTCCTCCGTTCAGCTGTGCTCTTTTCAAACATACATGGAATTGCACTAGATACAGGGTTCTGCAACCTGCCTTCTTCACTAAATAATTTCTGCATAGTAGTCTGTCTCCTTATACAGAGATCCTCGTCTTTAGTGACTGCATGATAGTTACATAACCAATGTTCCACATTAGGTTTATTAAGCCCCTTCTTGAAGAAACTGTTTCTGCATTTTTGTGCCTACAAATATTGCTCGAATAGACTCCTGTAGTAAAATCATGAACTTGACAAGTGTCCGGAGAGTATCTCCAGATGTGGAATTGGTGATCAAAGGAAAAATGCCAAAGTTTTAGAATGTAATACCAAGAATGGGTTGGTACTTCATTTTTACTGCAATTTTCTGAAATTTAAGGATGTGTTCTCAAAAAACGATTATATATATTTGCTGAAATCACTAAAGTCTCACTTACAGTCATTAGGCAATAATATCTCATTTGAATTAAAAACATGAGTTTTGTGAATGTGGTGACATTTTATTATACACACTGGTGATGAAATTACAGCTCAATTTAATAGTAGGGTAAGTATTAAATTTTTGTTTTTCTTTTTTTAATGTTGCTTTGTGTATTTTGTTCAATAATGGTAGGGTAAGTATTAAATTTAAGAGTAGGACAACTAAATATTACATGCTAATGTGATGCAATCATAAAGTATAGCACAACTTATAAAACATCTGGCCAAAACTACTTACCTGGCAGCTAATGAAACCTTTAGCTCTCACTTTCACATTATACAAAATACACGTGATAAGCAAAGCTAAATGACATCATGAGGAAACACTTGGACAAATCTAGAAGGTAGAACATTATAGAAACCGGACCAATCTCTTCAATATGTCAATAAGATTTTGAAACAAAAAGGGGCTGCTCTTTTAGATTCAAAATAAGAGATAGAACAAAATGAAAAACTTGCTATTCATTGTTTATCGGCTTAAGCAAGGATGTGCTGAAAACCCATAGGGACATGTCACAGGCTAGGCAAACCAGCTTAAAAGCACACCTGCTTGTAAATCTGGGAATATTTGACCATCCGAATAATGACAAGAATGTATTATTAGGTTGATGCAAAAGGAATTGCGGTTTTTGTCATTAAAAATAATTGCGGCTGGGTGAGGTGGCTCACGCCTGTAATGTCAGCACTTTGGGAGGCCCAGGTGGGCAGATCACGAGGTCAGGAGATTGAGACCATATTGGCCAATGTGGTGAAACCCCATCTCTACAGAAAATAAAAAATTAGCTGAGTGTGGTGGTGCATGCCTGTAATCCCGGCTACTCGGGAGACTGAGGCAGCAGAATGGCTTGAACCAGGGAGAGGAAGGTTGCGGTGAGCTGAGATCGCACCACTGCACTCCAGCCTGGGGACAGAGCGAGACTCCGTCTCAAAAAAAAAAAAAAAAAAATTGCAAAAACTGCAATTACTTTTGCACCAATAGAAAATCTTAATAAAGGCTGGGCAAGGTGGTTCATGCCTGTAATCTCAGCATTTTGGGGAGGCCGAGGTGGAAGGATGGCTTGAGGCCAGGAATTCAAGACCAGCCTGGGCAGCATAGTGAGACCCTGTCTCTACAAAAAAAAAAAAAAAATTAGCTGGGCACAGTGACACGTGCCTATACTCATAGCTACTCAGGAGACTGAGGTGGGAAGATCACTTGATCTCAGGAGGCCAAGGCTGCGGTGAGCTGAGATTGCACCACTGCACTCCAGCCTGGGTGACAGAGCGAGACTCCATCTAAAAAAAAAAAAAAGCAAACACACTTGGCAGCTAAATGCAGTGTGTGTGCCTTGATTAAACTTCGAGTTGGAGAAAAACAAACAAACAAACCTAACTATATTAGGACAAATGGGAACATTTAAATATGACCGCATATTACCGTATAATGTAGTACTGTTTTTAGTTCCTGAATATGAAACTTATAGTGTGGTTTTATAAGCAAATGTACTGGCTCTTGGGAGGTTTCCACAAAAGTATTTAGGAAAAAAAAGTCATGTTGCCTGCAACTAACAGGCATGTAATGGTTCACCTGTTCCTTCACCCCTGCCAAAAGTGTGGTAGACATGCGTATACATATGTACACACATATGTATGCATATGTATGATGTGTGTGATAGGTTGTATGTGTATACTTCACATGTTAGTGTGTGTGCATGCCTATGCATGTGTGTTTGTGGAGACAGAGAGAGGGATCACAAAAATGTGACACAATGTTAACAATTAGTGAACGTATAAGAAAGGTATAAGGTATATTAGTTCGCTCAGGCTCGCATAATAAAATACCACTTACTGGCTGGCTTAACCAGCATAGATCCATTTTCTCGGAGTCCTGAAGGCTGGAAGCCCAAGCTGAGGCTGTCGGCGGGGTCCTTCCTCTCCTCTGAGGCCCCTCTCCTTGGCTCTTGCAGCTGCTTCACAGGGGTGTCCCAGGGTGTGTCCCAATTTCCTCTTCTTACAAAGACAGCAGTCAGATTGGATTAAGGCCCACCCTAATGGCCTTAACTTCATCACGTCTTTTAAGATCCTCTCTCCAAACACAGCCGCATTCTGAGATACGCAGTTTAGGACTGCAACATACGAATTTTGTAGGGACACAATTTAGCCCATCACAAAGGGTATTCACTGGACTATCTGCAGCTTTTCAGTGGGTTTGAACATTCTCAAAATAAAAAGTTGTGGGGAAAAAATTAAGAACCTGGCTGGTCCCATCTACTTCTCTAAAATCAAATTATTCTGAGAGTCAGAAATATTTTGGCATGTGTTAAACATTGACTAAACTACTGAGACGAGCAGTGTAAGATATTATGGGAAGACTTTTTTTTGAAAGAAAAAGAATCAACAGAAGCTGGACTGTGTTAGTCAATTTCTATCTCATACCAACACCCCCCTACACCACACACACACACACACACACACACACACACACAAACATCCTGCAAACTGAAGCACAATTTTTTTAAAATTCAAAATAAAAAAACTGCCCTATCATTTTGGCAAAAGTCATAACTTCTTCATTAACTTATTACATTTAATGTCTTATTGATAAAGAATATTTGTAATGTGACACAGGTCAACATTATGACAATGCTCATTGTTATAATTACAGTCTTCAGATTTAAAAAATGTTTCTATTTCGAGATTTTTTCCATTATAATTTAGCTATAAATTGAATAAATATAATGGCATTCACCTTTCATTTCCAATTCCTCTTGATAGTTTTCATTCCTAAAGTTTTTTCACCTCAAACTGTGATCTGTCAGGTTTCATAAGCTCTGAGTATTGTCAGCATTGCCGGTGTGTGGATGGGAAGACCCTAGAGAAAATCGAGGCTCTGTAGAAAAGGCTGGTGATTCAGGAAGTGATGCTCATTCCTCCAAGTGCGGGTTGAAGCAATGCCCCAGCACGAGAGCTGCGCTCTCTTTTAAAATGACATAAAACAGAGGTCTTAACTTTAGTATGAGACGCTTTCTTTGAAAACCTCCAGAAACCATCCCAGTTTCAGATTTCATGAGTTGTCTTAGAAATTTTTTTCACATGTATTCAAAAGTTTTAATACTTCAAGAGATCAGAGGAACTTTACTAAGTTGCAAATATATCTTTATTCCCTGACTCCTTTTTCAAAAGTATTTTTCTGATTATAAAGTTAGAATATGTTTGGTAAAAAAAATTTCAGAAATAAAAGTATAAATGAAGTGAAAACTCATGCATAATACTCTACCTAGGGATCAGAGAATTGTTAGTATTTTATCAATGAATTATTCTAAAGTCTGGTAAATAAAAAAGTAAAGGATTTATCCTACTTTTCTTGTATGAACTATATCTCAGAACAGCTAAAGGGTGAATTCTGGGTCAAATCCTGACCTAATTTGTTGCCAATCTTTCTTATTTCTTCATTCATATATTTAAAGTTCTTTACTTCCCTCTAGATACTGCTTTGGCAGTGTTCTACCAATATCAACATGGGGTGCTGCTGTCATTTATTCTACATTCTTCAAAATGAACCTCATTTTGCTCAGAAGATTTTAATTTTTATTTATTTATTTATTTTATAGATGCTCGGCACCTTTAATTATACAAAATCAACTTGTTTCAAGATACGAAATTAATGTTGATATGTAATTAATGAAAAAAAAATATGTTAAAAAGAAGACTATACAAATACCCACACAGGCCAGGCACGGTGGCTCAAGCCTGTAATCCCAGCACTTTGGGAGGCAAAGGCGGGCGGATCACTTGAGGTCAGGAGTTTGAGCCCGGCCTGGCCAACATGGTGAAAACCTGTCTCTACCGAAAATACAAAAATTAGCTGTACATGGTGACACACGCCTGTAATCCCAGCCACTCAGGAGGCTGAGGCAGGAGAATCACTAGAACCTGGAAGGTGGAGGCTGCAGTGAGCCAAGATTGCACCACTGAACTCCAGCCTGGGCAACAGGGCAAGACTGTCTCAAAAGAAAAAAGAATACCCAGACATATGCTGTATTTCCACTTATACATGTGCGATCAATAAACATCCACACACTCACATAGAAACTGATTTCATTTATGAATGAAGGCCATATTTTGTAGATATTTTAAGGATGCCAGGACGCCGCGGAAGCTGGAGAAAGGAATTGAGGAGCAGTACGTGCTGGCCACACAAAAACTATGTTTATTTAGCTGGTGAGTACCTAGAGTCGCAAATGACAGCAATCAGGCTCACAAACACCCAGAAATGGGAATTAAGGGTTTCAATGTAGTTATAAAGCTCATAAAAAGTCCGATTAGACTGAGGTACAGTTACTCAAAATTTTGAGATTCGTTAAGTGGTGGCAAACAAAATAACTCCTCAGACAAATGCACATTGTTCAGTATACACAGTATTGCAGGGACGGAGGGAGAAGAATGTGCCTTAACTGGTGAAATCCATCAAGCTGCATATCAGGATTCTGTTACACCAGTTTGAAGACAGGGAAATGTTCTAATACAATTTCAGGTTTTGTTTCATTTGGCTAAAATAGAGCTTAAGGTTGCCTTCTCATGTTAAAAGTTTATTACAAAGATTTTTCACATAAACATGTAGACTTGAACTCCAGGACTAAATATGGCGTGATTATTTTGCTTTTAATCTGTCAAGTAGCTAAAAATTGACCATTCTAAAACTACAACAAAGAAAAAGTTGAAGTAGTGTGGCTCACATCGTTGAACCATTTCTAATGGTTAACTGTTAGCATTTAACAAGTTCAAAGAGTTAATGAATCCTTGCTTTCATTTGGTTCTGCATGCCTCAGCTAGGATGCACAATCACAAAAGGCAGCAGGCACTGGCAAAAGCTTGCTCAGAAGTTTTTAATTGCATGTTGTAAATGTCCCGGGCATAACATTTTAAATCAATCATCTACTAATGGTTTCAAATTTACTGTATTATCAGCAGACCACAATCTTTATAATATTGATCTTCAGAATGGATTAAGGTTTTCCTCGTATGCTAGCACGTGAACATGATTTTAAGATTTCATGTGTGCTTGAATAATTATTGTATTTTTTCTGATTGATAGGCATGAAATATTTTCTTTTTTTTTCTGGAGATGGAGTCTTACTCTGTCTCCCAGGCTGGATTGCAGTGGCACCATCTTGGCTCACTGCAACCTCCACCTCCCGGGTTCACGCCATTCTCCTGCCTCAGCCTCCCGAGTAGCTGGGACTACAGGTGCACGCCACCACGCCCGGATAATTTTTGTATTTTCAGTAAGATAGGGTTTCACCATGTTGGCCAGGCTGGTCTTGACTTCCTCACCTCAGGTGATCTGCCCGCTTTGGCCGCCCAAAGTGCTGGGACTACAGGCGTGAGACACATATGCCCAGCCATGAAATATTTTCTATAGCTAATAATTCAAACATTATTTTTAGGGGCTTACTTTTAAATTTTAGACTGATCTTGAAAATCATAACCTAGGAAGTGTTTTGGATTTCTATTTAAATAAAAGTAGATTTAGACAAGTTCAGAAAAAAAGTACTAGCCTTTTGCATACAGTTTATTGACACCGTCACAGGGTAGAGTGGACCCCACACGTGTTTTCTTACTCTTACTCTCCTTTACTTACTCTTACTCTCTGCCTCTCAGATTCCCACCCTCTCTGCCGTAGCTTATTAGCTTTCAGAGCTAGTTAGGTCTCCAACTTATCACTTTAATTTCTAAAGGCACATAATGAATTTTAACCAGTAACTAACCATTGTGAGAGCGTGGGGAGATCCTTCTGCTTTTTTTTATTTTTTCTGAGACAGAGTTTCACTCTTGTTGCCCAGGCTGCAGTGCAGTGGTGTGATCTTGGCTCACCACAACCTCTGCCTCCTGGGTTCAAGCGATACTCCTGCCTCAGCCTCCCGAGTAGCTGGAATTATAGGCATGCGCCACCACGCCCGGCTCATTTTTTTGTATTTTTGGTAGACGGGATTTCTCCACTTTGGTCAGGCAGGTCCCGAACTCCTGACCTCAGGTGATCCGCCCACTTCGGCCCCCAAAGTGCTGGGATTACAGGCGTGAGCCACCATGCCCTGTCATCCTTCACCTTTTTAGTTCAAATAAATCTCATTTAAGCTAGTAAGCTCATGTGAAGAAACCTGGAGATGGAGGCACAGCAGGATGGGAGTAACTGATGATCTAGACATCTGAAGCAGTGTGACGTTTAAAGTCCTATGAACCTGTTGATTCAATTGGTCTTACTTACGACCTAACAGCTTAATACCATTCACTTGTGAGGAGTTGCTGGCTGTTTCTGAATTTGTGATGGTGAAAGGTGGGAGAGAATGTGCATAGGCAATTAGCATGAAGAGTGGAACTATGTTCTTTAAGGCTTGTTGAAGCAGCACTTATTAACATGCCATGGAACATGCTTGGAGTGACTGAGTACCAATGGAGAGAGGGGTTGCCAGGAAGACCAGAGTCCCTGGTATTTATATGCCAAGCTTACCAGAGTGGGAATAGCAATTACGTCTTTCTGTTTTGGGAAAAAAACAAAGCAAAATACCCACTTCTTTCCTCTGCCACTGATCTTTCTAGGGCTGACTTTTTCATTGTGGTGGGAGCACATCCCACCAGGGCTGCCTGTAGCACAGAAAGATGTCTTTCATGGAGCGCCCATGAAGGACTCCAACACGTCCCATGCAATGGCAGCCACACTAGAACTAGCAGGAGTCACACACTGGGGAGCGTTTGGGACCTCATTTGATATATGGGTTCGCATCCCTTCTGCTCCTGGATTTATTATTATGCCATGCCATGCCGCAACTGCCAATTTTTAATGAGTTTTGCATCCTGAACACTCAGTTTAATTCCAGAGAATTCAGAACAGGGCCCTTTATTGTTGGTGCTATATCCCCAAAGGGAACCCAGTGGTGTTTACTGATTCACTGAATGATATATGGACCTTCCAGATCCATGTTATTCTCAGGGCTAGGAGTCATCCACTGCACCCTTTCCTTTCGCTGCAAAGACTTTCGGCTTTCAGGACAAGTCGGCCCTACTGTTGCAGAGAAAAATCACAGCATTTTCTTGTTCTAATCACAGTGACCAACCATGATACTTTCAAGGTGAGAATCACTTGATCTCCACATTGGGGTCAGTAGAAATATATTTCATCTTTAAAGGAAAACAACCAGATTTCATCACAGAAGAGGGTTTTTAGAGTGTGAAAGCACTTCCTACCCAGAATATGCACTTATATAATTGTTTAATAATAGAAAAAGAGGTTCCATGGAGGAATTGTCACTAGTCAGGGTTCTGCAGGAGACCAGTTGGCCAGGGAAGAGGCTTTTGGGGACCAGCTAGTGGCTATATGCAAATACCATTCTCATTTATTTATTTATTTAGTTAGTTAGTTTTTAGACAGAATCTCACTCTGTTGCCCAGGCTGTAGTGCAGTGGCACGCTCTTGGCTCATTGCAAGCTCCGCCCCCAGATTCAAGTGATTCCCGTGCCTCAGCCTCTGGAGTAGCTGGGATTATGGGTGTGTGCCACCATGCCTGGCTAACTTTTTTTTTTTTTTTTCTTGAGACGGAGTCTAGCTCTTTTGCCCAGGCTGGAGCGCTGTGGCACAATCTCGGCTCACTGCAACCTCCGCCTCCCGAGTTCAAGCGATCCTCCTGCCTCAGCCTTCCGAGTAGCTGGGGTTGCAGGCGCATACCACCAAGCTCAGCTAATTTTTGTATTTTTAGTGGAGACGGGGTTTCACTGTGTTGGCCAGGCTGGTCTCCAACTCCTAACCTCGTGATCTGCCCGCCTCGGCCTCCCCAAGTGCTGGGATTACAGGCATGAGTCACCACTCCCCGCCAACTTTTGTATTTTTAGTAGAGAACGAGGTTTCACTATGTTGGCCAGGCAGGTCTTGAACTCCTAGCTTCTAGTGATCCGCGTGCCTTGGCCTCCCAAAGTGCTGGGATTAAAGGCGTGAGCCACCATGCCCAGCCCCATTTTCATTTTAAACTTAGGTGAGCACAGCACTCAAACCTCTCAAAGAAAAACAAAAACACAGCATTACTTCTGAAACTTGCAACAGTTACTCTGTTCTCATCACCATTTGACTGGTATTGGTAATCTACTGCTGTGTCATGAACCATTCCAAACCTTAGTGTCCTAACACAACAATTGTCAACTCATGATTCTATAGATCATCACTGGAGCGAGGCAGGACACTTTGCTTGCTATTTTTGGTGAGGCTCACTCATGCATTTGTCTTCATTTGCAAATTCTGGTGATCAGTCAGTGGACTGGTGAGGGCTAGTATATCCAGATGGCCCCACTTACCCTCTGGGAGTGGCTTTCTTTTTTTTCTTTGCTTTTTTTTTTTTTTTTTTGAGACGCAGTCTCATTCTGTTGCCCAGGCTGGGGAGCACATAATCTTGGCTGACTGCAAACTCCACCTCCCGGGTTCATGCACTTCTCCTGCCTCAGCCTCCGGAGTAGCTGAGATCACAGGCGCCCGCCACGCCCAGCTAATTTTTGTGTTTTTAGTAGACACGGGCTTTCATCATGTTGGCCAGGCTGGTCTCGAACTCCTGGCCTCAAGTGATCCACCAACCTTGGCCTCTCAAAGTGCTGGGATTACAGGCGTGAGCCACCGTGTCCGGCCCTGGGAGTGGCTTTCTATCGGCCAGGGTAGGTTGGTTCTCTTCCCCTGGTCTCATTCTCCGACAAGATAATCCGATGTGTTCACATGACAGCAGGGTCCCAGGAGCAGCAGGAAGCAAAACCCCAACGTCAGTTCTTCTTAAGCCTCTTTATCATGTTTGTTAATTTCCCATTAGCAAAAGCCGTGTTAGTCAGTCAAGCCCAGACTCAAAGGAGGAGAAAATGGACTTCACCTATTGATGGGAGAAGATAACCATCACATTGCAAAGGGACATGCATTAGGGGTGGCAAAAAGTCATGCACTAAGTCGCTACTGCTGACTTAGCTTGAATATTCACAAAACACTAAGAAAATATGAAAAGTTAAGCTCAGGGAATTAAAGTTATTCATCTAAAACCAGACAGCACCTGGTAGTGGCACTGGCCAAACCATTTATATCAGTCTTCAAAGACTGTTTAAAAAAAAAAAAAATCACCAAACCTCAAAGTTACAGTACCAGGAGGAGACTTACTCTCTTCCCATCTGAAAGGCCCCCGCAGGGTGTGCAGTTGGGGTGTGGCTCTGGCTCGCTTCCCGCTGCTCAAACCTCCAGGGGAGCTTTGTGCGGCTCCGACCCCACGGCGGTGTCTGCGGTGGATGTTTACGGCTCCTGAAGACCCAGGGGGCGTCTGTTACAAGGTGTCTATAGGCGGCTCATGTTAACCAGCTCAATAGGCCCCCTTCCTTATCGCAAGGAGAGAGGGATTTCTGTATCCCGGGTTCTTGCCTTGGTGTACCTGAAGAATCGCAGCACACCTGGGCTTGGAGAACGAGTGTCAAGTGTTAACTCTCCCACGATGGGGAGCCAGAAGGAAGATGATCTTCCCCTGGCTCTCCTCCCACTGCCCGGGCCAAACTCCGCCTGGTCCTGCCGGTCAATGGCCTGTCCGTGTGCCGGTATTTTCTTCTGCGCGCGTGAGCCTCTCGACCTCCTCTCCACCGCCAGCGGCTGTGGCGTCTTCTGCTGACTTGTCCTCTCAACGTCTGGCGGCCTCTGTCACTGCCTTGCTAGCATCTTGGGTTTTTATAGGCCCAGGATGCGGCCATGGCAGGCCAGGGTGGTTTTGGGAAATGCAACATTTGGGCGGGAAATGCAACATTTGGGCAGAGATGCCTGTCCTCACCTAGGTCCGTGGGGGCGGAGCCCTAGCTAAGGACCACGCCCTCCTTTACCCGGCACATCCCTTCCCCACTTCCGAATTATTTAAAGGGACCATGCTCTTCTCTACCCAGCACTTCTGTATCACATACACTACCATTAAAAATACATATATAAACAGTTGACATTTCTGCAACGTCAAGTAAAGATCTACACAAGTACAGTCTAAAATTGCCTGCCTGGCATGCCCCATGCCTGTCCCTTTTTTTTATGAGATGGAGTTTGGCTCTTGTCGCCCAGGCTGGAGTGCAGTGGCGCAATCTCAGCTCACCACAACCTCTGCCTCCCGGGTTCAAGCGATTGTCCTGCCTCAGCCTCCCCAGTAGCTGGGATTACAGGCGCCCGCCACCACCCCAGGCTAATTTTTTGTATTTTTGGTAGAGACGGAGTTTCATTGTGTCGGCCAGGCTGGTCTCTAACTCCTGACCTAGTGTTCCACCCGCCTCGGCCTCCCGAAGTGCTGGGATTACAAGGGTGAGCCACCGCGCCCAGCCGAATGCCCGTCCTTCTGAGATGTTTGCTGACCCTAAGCCCTCTGTGTGGAAGTCCTGTAGGCTCCTTTGCATGTATACATATATTCCAGAGGTCACCAATCATACCGCATTGTGATTGTCTATTAGCCCGTGAGCCTCATCAGCAGCACTGTGTTTATCAAGTGCCTGCCAGGGTAGCATGTATAGAGGTGGGGTCTTGTTCTGTCACCCAGGCTGGAGTGCAGTAGCAGGATAGTGACTCACTGTAGATTTGAATTCCTGGGCTTAAGTGATCCCCCTGCCTCAGCCCCCTTGGTAGCTAGGACTACAGGTGCATGACACCACGCCTGGCTAATTTTTTTTTTTTTTTACAAATTTCCTTCTTTTTTGTTTGTTTGTTTGTTTGTTTGTTTTGTTTTGAGAAGGAGTCTCGCTCTTGTCACCCAGGCTGGAGTGCAGTGGCACGATCTTGGCTCACTGAAACCTCTGCCTCCCGAGTTCAAGTGATTCTCCTGTCTCAGCCTCTCGAGTAGCTGGGATTACAGGAGCCCGCCACCACGCCCAGCTAATTTTTCTACTTTTTTTTTTTTTTTAAATAGAGACGGGGTTTCGCCATGTTGGCCAGGCTGGTCTCAAATTCCTGACCTCAAGTGATCCGCCTGCCTCGACCTCCCAAAGTGCTGGGATTACAGGCGTAAACCACGGCGCCCAGCCTACAAATTTCTCTGTAGAGACAGGGATCTTTCTATGTTGCCCAGACTGGTCTCAGACTCCTGAGCTCAAGCAGTCCTCCCACCTAAGCCTCCCAAAGTGCTGGGGTTACAGACATAAACCATCTCGCCAAACCTAATGCATATTTGTTGAACAAATTATCAGTTAACAACTGTTAGCATTTACTTTCTTCATTTAGAGGTATAATGGAAATATCTCAGATAAAAATGTTTATATGTAGGCAGTAGGCAGGTTTTTTTTTTTTTTTTTTTTTTTGGTAATTGCTGTATAAAAAGAACCCTGTAATACACAGAAAATCTAGCATATGAATAGTGAAGAAGAGACAAATCTCCCATAGGGAATTCCAAATAATGTATGTAAATATTTCCCCCCTCGATGAGGTGGAGCTGAATTCCTCTCTACCCTAAGTGTAGGTGATGCCAGCAGCTTGTTTCAAGACTATGGAAAAGAGGTGGAGGAGTGGTAATTTTTCAGGGGGAAGCCTGACAAGCAGTCCTCAGCCAGGCAGTCAAGGTGTTAATTGCATCAGGGAAGAGTCAGGTTGATGGCATGCACCCGGATATGATATGGTAAGAATCATATCATATTCAGGCCGGGCGCGGTGGCTCATGCCTGTAATCCCAGCACTTTGGGAGGCCGAGGCAGGCGGATCACAAGGTCAGGAGTTCGAGACCAGCCTGGCCAACATAGTGATACCCCATCTCTACTAAAAATACAAAAACTAGCTGGGCGTGGTGGTCCACAGCTACTCCAGAGGCTGAGGCAGGAGAATCACTTGAACCCAGGAGGTGGAGGTTACAGTGAGCTGAGGTGGCGCCATTGCACTCCAGCCTGGCGACAGAGCGAGACTCCGTCTCAAAAAAAAAAAAAAAGAATGCTACTTCAGTGTTGTGATATTCTCCCCAATCACCCATAACCTCAGTCTATTCATAAAAACATCAAACCAAGATGGAAGAACTTTGTATAGGGGCCTGGCCAGTACTCCTGAAACTGCCAGGGTTATCAAAATGGGAAGTCTGAGAAATTGTCATAAACTAGAGGAATGTAAGGAGACACATATCTAAATGTAATGTGGGATCCTGATGGCCTCCTGGAACAGAAAAAGGATAGAAGGGAAGACTAGTAAAATGAAATAAAGTGTGGGGTTTAGTCAATAATAATACGTCAGTGTTGGTCTTGAGTTGTAACAAATATACCATCATAATGTACAACGTTAACAATGCAGGAAATTGGGAGTGAGGGTGTGTTATCTTTTCATCTTTGCTGTAAATCTAAAACTTTTCTAAAATTAAAAGTTCATTTAAAATTTAGAAACTATTTTAGGAAAACAGAGAAGGCAATAAAAATAATAAAACAAATTAAGAAACGATCACAGCTTACAAACGAAGAAAAAGAGTTGAGACAGTTTACATCCTGTAGAAGTGAGAGGAAGTGAATATTAAAAGAATAAATGATGCCTTGAGCTTTACTTACACAGTGAGATAGAAGTCCATCTTAAATTAAGAAAAGTTGGCTGGATGCGGTGGCTCACGCCTGTAATCCCAGCACTTTGGGAGGCTGAGGTGGGCAAATCAGGAGGTCCAGCGATCAAGACCATCCTGGCCAACATGGTGAAACCCTGTCTCTACTAAAAATACAAAAAATTAGCCGGGCATGGTGGCACGTGCCTGTAATCCCAGTGACTCATGAGGCTGAGGCAGGAGAGTCGCTTGAACCCAGGAGGCGGAGGTTGCAGTGAACTGAGATCGTGTCACTGCTCTCCAGCCTGGCAACAGAGCGAGACTCTGTCTCAAAAAAAAAAAAGAAAGAAAGAAAAGTCATAGAAAGATTAGAGAATGTGATCTATTTAGAGAAACAGGTCAGAATTGAAAATGCAGCCACATTTTCCTGTTACGAGAACTTTCCAAGAGGTTATGAAACAATGAAGGAGTGTAAACTGATCTCAATTGACCAAAGTTAAGTGAGCAGGCTGGAGCCTGGGTAGCTGGGGGCTTGGTATGAGAGGGAGATTTGCTTTGCATTGTAAATCATTTTGTTTTTCTACTTTTGTAATGGGTGCATGCATGTATTACCTACTCTTAGAAATTAATTAACAGTTGGCTCTGTTTAGAAAAAACAAACATAGCTAAAACCCTACATGTGGGTGAAAATCTGCTTCTCTCAACCAGAAATGACAAGATTAAACCTCGTAAGCTATACAAGCAGTGGCCAGGTAAAGTAAGCTAGAGGGCGGATGCCTTTTCACGCCTGGCAGAATTTTAAAATTGAGGCTACTTCAACATCTGAATCATGCCAAATAATATAACCAGGGTTAAAAAGAAAAACCTGCTACAGTCTAAAATCTTTTTATCATGAGTATTAAATATTAGCAAAACAAAAAGGCAATTTGATAGTATTAATCCCAGCACTTTGGGAGGCCAACGCGAGCAGATCACCTGAGGTCAGGAGTTTGAGACCAGCCTGGCCAACATGGCAAAAACCCATCTCTACTAAAAATACAAAAATTTAGCCGGGCGTGGTGGTGGGTGCCTGTAGTCCCAGCTACTCAGGAGGCTGAGGTAGGAGAATCGCTTGAACCTGGGAGGCGGAGGTTGCAGTGAGCTGAGATCACGCCACTGCACTCCAGCCTGGCTACAGAGTGAGACTCAGTCTCAAAAAAAAAAAAAATTCTTATCATAAACCTCTAACCTCTCATGACTATTAGCCCATGAGAAAAATCAGAAAATCTCGTAGAAATTTAATCAACCTAAAGGTTAAAAGTTTCTTTTCTTTTTTGTTAAGCTTATCTTTTCTTTTTACTTTTTTTCTTTTTTTTTTTTTCTTTTTTTTTTTTTTTTTTTTTTTTGAGACAGGGTCTTGCTGTGTCACCCAGGCTGGAGGGCTTATTGCAGCCTCGACCTTCTGGGCTCAAGCAATCTTCCCACCTTCGCCTCCTGAGTAGCTGAGACTACAGGCATGCGCCACCACATCCACCTAGTATTTTATTTTTTTAAATATATTTTTTACTTTTGTAAAAACAGTCTCTCACTATGTTGCCCAGGCTCATCTCAAACTTCTGGGCTCAAGTAATTGGCCCGCCTCGGCCTCCCAAAGTGCTGAGATTACAGGCATGAGTCATTGCGCTTGGCAAAGTTAAAAGTTGTGCCAGGAAACTTATTTTTGGAGTATTTTGAAGAAAATTTTCGACATTTCATATCATGAAGAACTATTTTATTTATCTAATAGATAAGGAAAATTCGGAAACATGATCACAATGCCATCATCACATCTAAAAAATGTATAATAATTCACTTCAAACGATTTTTTCTATAAATATTTTTACCATTAATTTTTTTTCTTTGTAGCACACTCATGTATTCTTGGAGAGTATAAATTAGTGATTTTCCTGAAGAGGTATGCCTACGAAGCAGGCAACTGGGGTGAGGAGTGGTTGAAGGCACTTCACTACAAACGAAGCCGTCTTTGCTGCTCTAGCCCTCAGTGCTTTGAACTGTAACATCCTCAGTCTTCACAACACAATTTAGCTCTTCATTATGAATTACCTTTTATACTCAATTTATGTTCACTTTGCTCCCCAGCTATAGTAAACATGTTGGAGATAATGAATTCTTTTTTTTTTTTTTGAGACAGAATCTAGCTCTGTCGCCCAGGCTGGAGTGCAATGGCGCAATCTTGGCTCACTGCAACCTCTGCCTCCCGGGTTCAAGCGATTCTCTTGCCTCAGCCTCCCGAGTACCTGGGATTACAGGTGCCTGCCACCACACCCGGCTAATTTTTGTATTTTTATAGAGATGGGTTTTCGCCATGTTGGCCAGGCCGGCCTTGAACTCTTGACCTCAGATGATCCGCCAGCCGTGGCCTCCGAAAGTGCTGGGATTACAGGCATGAGCCACCGTGCCCGGCCGATAACAACTACTTATCAAGCTTTATTTTACACAGAGCTAGAGTCAAGCTCTAGATCATTATTGCCTTCTTTGTAAAAATTCTTTGAAATCTCTCATCTCCATTATTCATAGTTGTTTCTGATAGCATTTCAGAATACATATAAAATTAAAAGATGAAATTCAGGATCCATTTTTAATTGAGAGATTTCTGGGTTTTTTTGTTTTTGTTTTTTTCAGATGGAGTTTCGCTCTTGTCACCCAGGCTAGAGAACAGTGGCACAATTTCGGTTCACTGCAACCTCCGCCTCCAGGGTTCAAGTGACCCTCCTACCTCAGCCTCCCCAGTAGCTGGCATTACAGGTGCGAGCCACCACACCTGGCTAATTTTTGTATTTTTAGTAGAGATGGGGTTTCACCATGTTGGCCAGGCTGGTCGCAAACTCCTGACCCCAGGTGATCCTCCCAGAGCCTTGGCCTCCCAAAGTGTTGGGATTACAGGCATGAGCCACCGCACCTGGCCTCTGTTTATTTTTATAAGCAGGGAAAAATAAAGCTTTTTTTTTTTGAGGAAATATTTAATGTTTGTTTTTTGGTCCGAGGGAAAATGTACATGTAAAAACAACAGCATCAAGACACCTACATCAAAATGTCAAGTCCCTACTGAAGGAAGCCAGAGTGAAGAATTACTGGAGACTGTTGGCTGCATGTCCCTCACTCTTGCCGAAATAAAGAAAAAGGGCAATAAGAAAACCTGGAAAGTGAGCCAAGATCGCGCCACTGCACTCCAGCCTGGGCGACAGAGCGAGAATCCGTCTCAAAAAAAAAAAAAAAAAATCAATTGAGAGACCATTAGGTTGAGCTGGCCCCAATCCCTTGAGTTCCTCTGTCAGCAAACGGAAACAGTGCTCAGTGTGAATAGTAAATTAAGCTTAACCAGCCTCTTTCTACAAACATCTTATAAAAGTAGTCCCCTCGACTCCCCTCCTTGGTGGAGCCCAACTGCTTGCCGTCTGGAGCTGCCCAATTTATGAATAGCTTTTTGCTCAGATAAACTTTAAAATTTTAATATCCGTAAATGTCTTTTAAGAGAATCCACCTGTGTGCCTTTCAACGGGTCCCTTTGTCTGTGCTGAATGGAATGGGAAACCACAAAAAAATACAGGAGCAGGCCCTTTGTGTAGGTGCCATGAGACTCTGTGCCCACAGTGGTAAGAAAGCTCCCATAATCGCAAAGACCTCTTCGGCCTCTGAGCGCGGGGGGAACTCAGCTCTTCCGGGGCAGCCAAGTGATCTTTGTGAAGCATTCAGATTTAAACCTAATCTTTAAAAATCTGGATTTCGATAAGTGATTTGCAATTTTAAATATTAGTCAATAGGATGGTATATCATACCATCGTAATATACTGTCACATAAGAGGAAGACCTTTTGTGTCAGTTAAAGAGAAAATGTAAAATTGTGCCAGACTCGGTGGCTCACACCGATAATCCAACCACTTTGGGAGGCCGAGGCGGGTGGATCATCTGAGGTCAGGAGTTTGAGACCAGCCTGGCCAACATGGTGAAACCCCATCTCTACTAAAAACACAAAAAGCCGGGCATGGTGGTGCGTGCCTGTAATCCCAGCTGCTCGGGAGACTGAGGCAGGAGAATCGCTTGAACCCGGGAGATGCAGGCTGCAATGAGCCACGATCTTGCCACTGCACTCCAGCCTGGACGACAGAGTGAGACTCAGTCTAAAAAAAAAAAAAATTGTGCTGGGCGCAATGGCTCACTCCTGTAGTCCCAGCACTTAGGAAGGCTGAGGCGGGCAGATTACCTGAGGTCAGGAGTTTGAGACCAGCCTGGCCAACATGTTGAAACCCCACCTCTATTAAAAATAAAAATAAATAAATAAATAAGTAAAAAATCAGCCGGGCATGGTGGCAGGTGCCTGTAGTCCCAGCTATTTGGGAGGCTGAGGCAGGAAAATCGCTTGAACTCCAGGAGTTGGAGTTTGTAGTGAGCCAAGATCGCCCCAATGCACTCCAGTCTGGGCTACAGCGTGAGATTCCATCTCAAAAGAAAAAAAAAAAAAAGAAAATGTAAAATTGTGAAACTACTTCTCTACATTTTTCATTACAGGAAGAGTTTTCCAATTTTATGGCTCAGACTTTTTTTATAATTAAAAGCAAAAGTAATTGGGGTCACCTACTGTCCTTTGGTAATCCAATTAATTTCCTTTCTATCAAATATTTTCTACCTAAGAGGCTTGAGAGAGTAGGTATAGGTGTTTTTACTTCAAATATGCCATTTTGATTAAATCCAAAGAATTTTCAGTTGTTATATAAAGTACTAACAAACTATTTGAGCACATTTTTCCAGGTTTTGTGTTTGTGTGTGTGTGCGTGTATTAAAGAGTAGTCTTGCCGGGCGCGGTGGCTCACACCTGTAATCCCAGCACTTTGGGAGGCCGAGGTGGGCGGATCACCTGAGGTCAGGAGTTCGAGACCAGCTTCAACGTGGAGACACCCCGTCTCTCCTAAAAATACAAAATTAGCCGGGCTTGGTGGTGCACGCCTGTAATCCCAGCTACTCGGGAGGCTGAGGCAGGAGAATGGCTTGAACCCGGGAGGCGGAGGTTGCGGTGAGCTGAGATCGCGCCATTGCACTCCAGCCTGGGCAACAAGAGCGAAACTCCGTCTCAAACAAAAAAAAAAAAAAAAAAAAAAAAAAAAGAAAGAAAGAAAAAGAAAAGAAAAAGAAAAGAAAAAGAAAAAGAAAAAAAAGTAGTCTCATTGGTTTCAACAGCTGCTTAATCCCTTAAAACCGATAGTAATAAAAATAACAATATTAAACACATATAGCACTGTTCTAAAGACTTCTGCACATGTGGACACTAACTACTCACAGATAACCCACAAAGTTGGTGCTGTTCTTATCTTTATTTTACTGATGAGAAAACTGAAGAGCATAGAAACTCACCCACAATCACCAGCCAGTAAGCGGCCGAGCCAGGATTGAAAACCGTAGTGTCAGGAGACGAGACCCTCTCAGGCTTACAGCTTCTCAGGGGAAATGGTAATTGAACTTCATTTTGAAAAGGCCAATGTTAAATATTCAGAAATGCCATATTGTTTACAGATTTTTAGAATGCTAAGGTAATTATTTTAAGCAACTAAATAGAACTTGATAGGAATACTCCTAGAATCTACAGGTTTTGTGTATAATTTTGTGTGTCGTATATCTTGATCTACTTCATTATCTGCTGGGACATCAGAGGCAATTTGTTTCTTCAACTTTGTTTCCTTAACCTAGATCTGGGCATAGAATCATGATGATATTAAAAATTAAAAATTGAATTATTTGATCCCATGAGTATTTGTAAAGAAATAAAGAAAATCCGTTGTTGTAAATAAGGTTTTATTGAAACAAGACTGCTTTAGAAAAAAACAAAAAACAGAAAACTTCACATCTGTGTGACAACTGTATTTCTCAGATGCACGCAGTGTCTAATTTTATCCTAAATCTACGCAAAGTAAAACCAGGCAGGTGCTATTATTATTATTTTTTTTTGAGACTGAGTTTCACTCTGTGGCTCAGGCTGGAGTGCGGTGCCGCGATCTCGGCTCACTGCAACCTCCGCCTCCTGGGTTCAAGCGATTCTCCTGCCTCAGCCTCCCCAGTAGCTGGGATTACAGGCGCGCACCACCATGCCCGGCTAATTTTTGTATTTGTAGTAGAGACGGGGTTTCACCATGTTGACCAGACTGGTCTCGAACTCCTGACCTCAGGCAATCCACCCGCCTCGGCCTCCCAAACTGCTGGGATTACAGGCGTGAGCCCCCGCGCCCGGCCTATTATTAATGTTTTACAGATAAGAGGTTGAAGCGCAAAAACGAAGTGCATTTCCCTAGATGGCTGGGCGAGTTAGAGGGAAAGGAGGGTCAAGAGCGCAGCTCTCCCAGCGCCAGGCTTTCCATTCCCCTCGTCGGAGGAAACCACTGTCCTCGTTGAATGTCTCCCGTTGTTTCCTTTTGTGTCTTTTGAAGGCACATTTCTAGAAGGACTCTTGACAATAGCCTTGGTTTGTCTGTGTCTTGGAGATGTGGAACTCATTTAAAGTGCATTTTTAGTACTTTATACAATTATTTGTATATACTTGGGACTTTTCGTGGAGTGGAGCCGCGATAGAGCTGTGTGCTGCGTTTGAATATCCGCATGGGCAATGAATAGTAATGAGGTGGTTGCCGAATTCGTTCAACTTGTGTGACTGTTGGGCAGGCCGACAAGGGCAGAGAGGTGACCCCGACTCTGACAGGAAACTAATGACAATACCTTAACCAAGAGAAAAACAGCTTCAGCCTCCGTAAAGAGGTCCTAGTTCAGAGTAATTATCATTAGTAAGTGATTAGAGAGGAGCTTTCTGAAGTGGGCTGATGGGCTATTTGCATCTGAATCACACGAGGCATTTGTTAATCCGGTGGGTTTCACCCTGGCTAGGCTGAATCAGGAGCTCTGGGCTGGGATCATGAATGTATAACATCATCTAACTTCAAGAGGAACCAATAAAATAAAATTAGCTAATGAAAGAGAATTTGTAGTTGTTTTCGAATGTGTACGATGTTCAGTTTTAAAAACAGGGTGGATAGAGCCGGAGCGAAACTCCCGCTTGCCTAAGGAAGGGCTGCACTTTCTGACTTTCTTCCCAGGAGCGCGGTGTGGAAAAAGGATCTTACGGTGGAGAAACCTGACAACACACCGCAGTCCGGGATCAAGGCCCGCACCCACCGCGCTCAGCCACGGCCGTCCTTTCCGCAGGAAGCGAGGAGGGTGGCACATCATCCTCAAAACTCATGTTCTACACCCGAGCCTTCAGATCCTGTGACTCTACCTTCAAAACAGAGAATCTGAGCCCTTTTCACCTGCTCAGCTCAGTCCTGCAGCAAGAAAGCCATAGGCATTATGCAAGTGAGTAAGCAAGGCCAGTGTTTCGGTAAAACTTTATTTAGGAAAAACAGGGCGGAGGCCACGTTTCACCTGCTGGATGTAGTTTGCCAATCCCCTGCTTTGGCCTAACTTATAAACAGAAAGGTTTTTTTCTTTCTGATTTCTTTTTTCTTTTTTTTTTGAGACAGAGTGTCGCTCTTGTCACCCAGGCTGGAGTGCAGTGGGGCTCACTGCAACCCCTGCCTCTCAGGTTCAAGAGATTCTCCTGCCTCAGCCTCCTGAGTAGCTGGGATTACAGGTGTGCGCAACCAGGCTCGGCTAATTTTTGTATTTTTAGTAGAGATGGGGTTTCACCATGTTGGCCAGGCTGGTCTCGCACTCCTGACCTCAAGTGATCTGCCCACCTTGGCCTCCCAAAATGTTGGTATTACAGGCATGAGCCACCGCACCCAGCCTTTTCTTTCGTTTTTTTTTTCTAGATGTTTACTAGTTTTATTTTAACATTTGTGTCTATGACTCATTGTGAGTTCCCTTTCCCTATCACCCTGGTTCAAGCCTCCATCAAAGCTTGCCTGCTTATTGTGATTCAACGGCTTCCACACATGTAAGCATCATTTAACAATAAGTCACAGTGTAGAACAGGTCCATCTTCCATCTCCCTCCAACTCTCCTCATGCCCTTCCTAGTTAATCCTCCTGTCACAACCACCACTTTCATGGTCTCTGGCAGCCACTGATCTGCTTTCTCTAACTGTAGGCTTGCTTTTCTGCAATCCATTTTTATTTAAATGGAATCACATAGTATGTGCCCTTTTGTGTATGGCTTCATTCACTTAGCAAATGCATGTGAGATTTGTTTAGGTTGTTATATGTAGTAGTGAATTATTCCTTTTGAGGGCTCAGGAGTATTGCATTGTATGTACATAGGGTAATGTGTTTATCCATTCGCCAGCTGATGGACATTTGGGTTGTTTCCAGTTCTTGGCAATTTGGAATAAAGCTGCAATGAACATCACAGGGCATGTCTTTGTGTGAACATGTTTTCATTTCAGTTGGTTGAGTACCTAGCAGCAGGTTTGCTGGGCCATACAGGAGGAGAGGGTAAACTTTTTAAGAAACTGCATACTTTTCATTTTGCATTCCCTCTAGCAATTTGTGAGAGTTCCAGTTGTCTCATACTCTTGACAAAGCTTGGCATTGTCAGCCGCTTAAAATTCAGCCATTGTAGTGGCTACGTAGTGGTATCTCGCTGTAATTTTAATTTGCATTTTCCCAATAACTAATGATGTTGAGTATGCTTTTATATGTACTTGTTTGCCATTTATATATATTCATTTGTGAATTGTCTATTCAAATCCTTTGCCCAGTTTTTAATTAGGTTGATTTTTTTTATTATTGAGTTATAAAAGCGCTTTATGTATTTTGGATACAAGTCCTTTATTAGATTTATGTTTTGCATATATTTTCTTCCAGATTATGGTTTGCCATTTTGGAGTTGTGCCTTTTTAATTATGGTGAAGTGCAATTCATCATTTTTTTCTTTTATGGTTTGTACATTTGTTATCCTATCTAATAGATCCTTGTTAAGAACTAAACCCTTCTCAAATTGATCTATAGATTCAATATAATCCACATCAATATCCCAACAGTGTTTTTTTGTAGAAATTGGTAAGCTGCCCCTAAAACATATATGTAAATGAAGGGACACAGAATAGCCAAAACAATTTTAAATAAGAACAAAGTTAAAAGACTTAGATTACCTAATGTCAAGATTTACCATAGGCTGGGCAAGGTGGCTCATGCCTTTAATCCCAGTACTTTGGGAGGCCGAGGCAGGTGGATCACGCGGTCAGGAGTTTGAGACCAGCCTGGCCAACATAGTGAAATCCCATCTCCAGTAAAAATACAAAAAATTAGCTGGGCGTGGTGGTGGGCGCCTGTAATCCCAGCTACTTGGGTGGCTGAGGCAGGAGAATCGCTTGAACCTGGGAGACGGAGGTTGCGGTGAGCCGAGATCGTGCCATTGCACTCCAGCCCAGGCGACAGTGTGAGACTCCGAAAAAAAAAAAGACTTACCATAAAGATACAGTAATCAAGACAGTGTTGTATTTGTGTAAGAATCAACATAGAAATCAATAGAGCAAAATAGAGAGTCCAAAATAGAGAGACAAATACACACACATGCACACACACACAGGCGCACACACACACGTAAACACACACAGAGGCACACACAAAGGCGCACACACACAGGCGCACACACAGGCACACACACACGTAAACACACATAGAGGCACACACAAAGGCGCACACACACACAGGCACACACACAGGCACACACAGGCACAGACATGCACACACACAGGCGCACACACGTAAACACACACAGAGGCACACACAAAGGTGTACACACACAGGCACACACGGGCACATACACAGGTGCACACACAGGCACACATACACAGGTGCGCACACACACAGGCGCACACACATAGGTGCACACGCACACAGGCGGGTACACACAGGCACACACATACAGGTGCACACGTACACACAGGCATGCACACACAGGTGCACACACACAGGCACACACACAGGTGCACACACATGCAGGCGCACACACAGGCACACACACAGGCACACACACAGGCGCGCACACAGGCACACACACAGGTGCGCACACACACACACAGGCACACACACACAGGTGCGCAAACACACAGGTGCGCACACACACAGGTGCACACGTTTAGTTGACTTTTTTGTTTTTTGGAGACTCTGTCGCCCAGGCTGGAGTGCAACCTGCAACCTCAGTGGAACCTCTGCTTCCCAGATTCAAGCGATTCTCCTGCCTCAGCCTCCTGAGCAGCTAGGACTACAGGTGCGTGCCACCACGCCTGGCTAGTTTTTGTATTTTTAGTAGAGACAGGGTTTCACCATGTTGACCAGGCCGGTCTCGAACTCCTGACCTCAAGTGATCCGTCTGCCTTGGTCTCTCAAAGTGCTGGGATTACAGATGTGAGCCACTGTGCCCCACTCAATTGATTTTTGACTGAAGTGTCAAGGTAAAGGGAAAACATAATCATTCAACAAATAGTGCTGAACAATTAGATATCCATAGGCCAGAAATATGTTAAATATAAATAAGACATATTTTCTATATAAACTCAAGCATTAGCTAACACTCACACAAATAACCTCAAAATGAACCACAGACCCAAATGAAAAAATAGGGGCCCATGTCCTTAGGATCTCCCGAGGGCTGTGACATGGGCAACTGGCCACTCATGTTTTGGCTCAGAATAAATCTCTTCATATATAAAAAAGGAATAAATACGATTATAAAATGTCTAGAAGAAAACAGAGAGAAAAATTCCTTGTGTTTATAAGTTAGGCCAAAGCAGGGGTCGGTAAACTATGGCTGGCAGATAAAGCATGGCCCCGTGCCTGTTTTTGTAAATAAAGTTTTCCTGAAACAGAATCATGCTCATTCACTTACATAACTGCCTATGGCTTTCACACTATAGTAGCTGAGTTCAGTAGCTGCAACAGAGATCATATGAACCATAACGTTTAAAAATACTCATGATCGCCGAGCGCAGTGGCTCATGCCTGTAATCCCAGCACTTTGGGAGGCCGAGGCAGGTGGATCACCTGAGGTCCTGAGTTCGAGACCAGCCAGACCAACATGAATAAATCCTGTCTCTACTAAAAATACAAAATTAGCCAGGCATGGTGGCGCATGCCTGTAATCCCAGCTATTCCAGAGGCTGAGGCAGGAGAATGGCTTGAATCCGGGAGTTGGAGGTTGCGGTGAGCCGAGATCCCGTCATTGCACTCCAGCCTGGGCAACAAGAGCAAAACTCCGTCTCAAAAAAAAAAAAATACTCATGATCTGGCCCTTTATAGAAAAAGTTTGCTGACCCCTGGGCCGGACGATTTCAAATGGAAGCACAGGTACATAACAAAGAAACTGTCAGAAGTGCCGGTACTGTCTTGTGTGGTTCTCTGGATCTCCACACTCCCAGGTCTCTGAACCCATCTACTCTACTATCTCCCCCAATTCCCCCACCTGGCTCAGGGCTCTGGGCATGCTTTTGATGGTGAATCAACATAGCCGGCAATTCTTGCCTTAGGGCCTTTGCCCTGGACAGTCCTTGCCTGGAACACTTTCTACTGATACTCACTAGGTCCTCACTTCCTTCCAGTCTCAGATCCGACTTCACTTTTGTATTGAGGCCTATATTTACCACCTGTCACCTTTGTCACTCATGCTGCCCGCTCCCTCAACACCTATTCCAAGCCAGTTCTGCTTTTTCTTTTTCTCTGCATAGCACTTACCATCTTCTCATATTCATTTAAACTTGCGTTTTATTTTTTATTTATTTGTTTGTTTGTTTGTTTGTTTTGAGATGGAGTTTCACTCTTGTCACCCGGGCTGCAGTGCAATGGTACAATCTCTGCTGACTGCAACCTCTGCCTCCCGGGTTCAAGCGAGTCTGCTGCCTCAGCTTCCCGTGTAGCTGGGATTACAGGCACCCGCCACCATGCCCAGCTAAGTTTGTAGTTTTAGTAGAGACAGTGTTTCACCGCCTTGCTCAGGCTGGTCTCGAACTCTTGACCTCAGGTGATCCACCTGCTTCGGCCTCCCAAAGTGCAGTGCTGGGATTACAGGTGTGAGCCACTGCGCCCGGCTAAACTTGCTTTTTAAAGTGTTTTTTATGATTGAAATGAGATGAACAAAGTATAATTTCATGAATCACAGTTTATTGCCATGTAAAGAGGTTTTTTTTTGTAGCTTTTGTTGTTGTTTATTTCAGTGCTCAAAAGGGGGAGAATAATGAGAACAGCTCTCACAGGGAATCCACTCCATGGAGGAGGGAGGTCCATTAACCACAGAGTAAGTGAGTTCTAATTTTATTAAAGTCTAGTTGGTCAGTTAGGATGGCAGAAGGCCTCTGTAGCCGTACAGTTGAATGCAAGTGTGAGGTGTCTCTTTCTAGGAGGTGTCCCTTTCTAGGAGAGGTTCTTTGGAGAGTGAATTTCAGCAATGCAGCATAGATCCACCATGACACAAGGCCCCTGATGCCAGCCAGTGGTGCCAGTGTTGGTGGGTACGGCTTCAGAGACTTGCCTGAAGGTTGGCAGACAGTATTCTTGCCACAGCCTGAACTCTCAATGTGCCTGTCAAAATCTCACATTTTCTGTGTTTGGGGTCTAGAGGTTGAAGCCAGCAACACATATGTGGCCTGATAAAGTGTGACCCAGCATTCTCGTGGGGAAGATTACACTCCATGTTTTTATCACAGGAAAACGTTAAGTCACTCATGTAGCAAATTACGTGTTTGAACTCATTTCAAAGCTACATAATAAAATCATTTCTCGGCCGGGCACAGTGGCTCACGCCTGTAATCCCAGCACTTTGAGAGGCCGAGGCAGGCAGACCACGAGGTCAGGAGTTCGAGACCAGCCTGGCTAACATGGTGAAACCCCATCTCTACTAAAAATACAAAAAAATTAGCCAGGCGTGGTGGCAGGTGCCTGTAATCTCAGCTACTCGGGAGGCTGAGGCAAGAGAATCGCTCGAACCCAGGAGGCGGAGGTTGCAGTGAGCTGAGATTGCAAAATCACACTCCAGTCTGGGGGACAAGAGCGAAGCTTCGTCTGAAAAAAAAAAAAAAGTCATTTTTCAACTTCCGCCTTTCCAAAAGGTAAGCTCTATGACTGTGGGAACTGTTATCTTACAAAGCACTAAGGGTACTTTTCATGTTGGAGATGCTTCCTGTGTATTTTATCATACTTAGCTTTCATGGAGACATTTAGCTAGTGCCTATTATTTGCTTTGATAGAAAAGTATTATCCCTATGTATAATTATCTAGCTTAATAATTGCTACAATTTACGACATGCCCATGAAGAGGCCAGGTGTAAAGACCCACATCATCTTATTCAATAGTCACAATAACCTGGACACATAAACTGTTATCACAGTGTTACAGAGTCACCTGGTAATTTGCTGAGGATCACACAGTTCACTAAATTGCAGACAAAATATTCAAACAGGATGTCTCATGATGTCCTTGCTTTGTTCAGTGCTTTACATTCTGGAGACACTACACTCCAGACTACCAGCAGGCAGCCACCTGGATTTCAGGCAGCGGCCCACAAGAGCAGCATAACTGTCTCTAAAACACGCCAATTGAATTTTATTTGAGGTTTGCCAATTTCTTTATATTGATATCTGGAAAATGCAAGTATTAAATTTAAAGGGTATACTAAATAAATTATTATGTTACTATATTAATTCATTATTTGTTGGTGTATAAATTGCAAAGGACCAAAATGCCTTTTCCAAAACCCCTGAGGTCAGATATTTAGAATTCACAGTGTTTTTCTGTTTTGTTTTGTTTGAGACGGAGTCTTGCTGTATTGCTCAGGCTGGAGTGCAGTGGTGCAATCTCAGCTCACTGCAACCTCTGCCTCCCAGGTTCAAGTGATTCTCCTGCCTCACTTGAGTAGGTGGGACTACAGGTGTGTGTCACCACGCCCAGCTAACTTTTGTATTTTTAGTGGAGACAGGGTTTCACCATGTTGGCCAGGCTGGTCTCCATCTCTTGACCTCGTGATCCGCCCTCCTTGGCCTCCCAAAGTGCTGGGATTACAGGCGTGAGCCCCCGCACCTGGCCTCAGAGTGTTTTTTAGAGACAGGAGACAATCCACACACCATCTATCAGTTCTCCTAAGAGGGATTTGGGGCAGTATATTATGATTATACATATTTCTGCAGGAGAATGTATAAGTATTCATACTTAATGGGGTATGTAAAGATTGTAGAAAGCTTTGCATATGTTTTGCTACCAAATGAGGTCAGAGAAGTTTTGGTCTGAAGCCCTTCAGCCTGCCAGCTCTGTTTCCTCTGGCAAATTATTCAACCATCATGTGCCTCAGTTTCCCAATCTATACAAGTGGTATCTACATTCTCGCATGGCAAAGATGTTTAAGGTAGTATATGCGTGGATGTAAAGAGTTAGGCTGGGCATGGTGGCTCACACCTGTAATCCCTGCACTTGGGGAGGCTGAGGCAGGTGGATCGCTTGAGCCTAGGAGTCCAAGACCAGCCTAGGTAACATAGTGAGGCCCTGTTGCTAAACAGGTAGAAAAATTAGCCAGGTGTGATGGCGTGCCTGCGGTCCCAGCTACTTGGGAGGCAGAGGCAGGAGGATTGTTTAAGCCTGGGAGGTTGAGGCTGTAGTGAGCGGAGGTCACGCCACTGCACTCTAGTCTGGGCAACAGAGTGAGACCCTGTCTCAAAAAAAAACAAAACAAAACATTAGACCTTAGTAACCGCACATAGTAACTGCTCAGTAAGTGTTGGCAAAGGGTATACGTGTTCTGTGGCGGGAAATGAGAATGATCAACAGGCTTTTCTTCAGTAAAATGTTAGAATACTTAGTTTTCTGTCAGAATTACAAAATAATTTCACTCTTCATAATATAGAGCTTTTGTTTCATTTATCTTAACTTATAATTTATGGAATATTAAGGTCACCTAAAAGAGTGACTCCAGGGTCAGTTTTTCTTTTAATGCAATTTCCTTGCTTCTTTTTGATTCACAAATAAACCACTCAATATGCTTCTTAAGTAGCCTGTTTCTCATTATCTCATCCCTGTCTGTATTAACATAATCTATTATTTATTCTCAGACCAAATTACCATAATATTTGATGTTTCAGCTAGGTTAGTGACTTCCGGCCAGGACTAGAATACACTGCTGAAAGTGGTTTCAGCATTTTAATGATTCATACTATCCTGGATGCAGCAGAGACTCTGCCATCCTTTCCATCCTGAAGTGAACAAAGTAAAATCAGTGTAAACTATGTCAAAACCTTCCTGAGGTTAGACACGCAATCTCTGAGCAATGTTAAACTGTGGTAGAAAAGGTGCAGCCCTCTCTGCCTCTGCTAGCCCGTCACTAGCCACCTGGCTGTCTCTCAAAGCTCCTTTTTGAATGAAAATGCTGGGACAGCCTGAGGCGCTTTTTCTTTTTCTTTTTTTTTTTTTGAGATGGAGTCTTGCTCTGTCACCAGGCTGGAGTGCAGTGGCGTGATCTCGGCTCACTGCAAACTCTGCCTCCTGGGTTCAAGCGATTCTCCTGCCTCAGCCTCCCAAGTAACTGGGATTGCAGGCATGTGCCACCACGTAGTTTTAGTAGAGATGGGGGGTTTTGCCATGTTGGCCAGGATGGTCTCGATATCCTGACTTCCTGATCCGCCCACGTCACCCTCTCAAAGTGCCGGGATTACAGGCTTGAACCATCGTGCCCAACAGAAGCCTTTTTTATTTCTATTTTTATTTTTTTGAGACAACGTTCCCTCTGCCTGGAATATTTGGGTCCTCCCTCCACCACCATCCCCCCTCCTCACCCAGCTTCCTGTCGTCTTTCATTTCCCAGCCTAATTAGAAGTTCCATCAGCAAAGCCTCCCCTGAGTCCACACGTTTGGTTTGGATGCCTCTCTTAGCACACAGCGTAAACCTCGATTTTACTGTTGAGTAAAATCATGGGCCCAGCATGTTATAACTGGGCTTAGAAAGTGAGAGGAACCAGATCTGTCTTCTTCCAGGTTGCATTCCCAGAGCTTAACAAAGCACCTGGGATGTGGCAGTTATGATTTGTTAAGTAAATGAACCTCTGAAAAGTTCTCTTGAGTGGAAGAATAGCATAATACCATTGCCCTATAGAGTTATGATAACAAAATAAGGTGCTGTGTGTGAATATGCTTATGTATGAAATGCTTAGCAGGCAACGGGCATTCAATAAATCTTACTGGAATATGAAATCTGCACTTTCTCGGAGTCACAATATCACAGCTTTGTAGTTTTGCTGTAGATTCAGTTCAGACGACTATTCTGTCCACAGATATTATACACACTAACGCTCCTTTCACTCTACACACCAGTTCTTTTGTTTGTTTGCTTGTTTGTTCAATGGATTGGAAAATATGCGAAAATATAAACACGCTTTTAGTATGGTTGGGTGCCTGATTGCTCTTCTAATTTTGGAATGCCTTAAACTGTTGTTGGGCTCAGAAGACGTCCTCTGGCTTGCTGAGGACTTGGAGCAAAGGGCCTGGGAGGGCCTTGGAGGGCCTCAGAAGCAAAGTTTCTGACCTTCTCCTCGCCTTCCTCCTCCTGCTAAACTTTCTCCCCCAAGGCCGACCATAGAAACTAGGAAACTAGGGCCGGGTGCGGTGGCTCATGTCTGTAATCCCAACACTGTGGGAAGCCGAGGCGGGTGGATCATCTGAGGTCAGGAGTTCGAGACCAGCCTGTCCAACATGGCAAAACCTGGTATCTACTAAAAATACAAAAATTAGCCGGCTGTGGTGGCGCATGCCTGTAATCCCAGTTATTCGGGAGGTTGAGGCAGAAGATCCACTTAAGCCTGGGAGGCAGAAGTTGGAGTGAGCTGAGATTGTGCCACTGCACTCCAGCCTGGGCAACAGAGTGAGACTCCATCTCAAAACACAAACAAACAAACAAGGAAACTAAAATCCCTCTTCCCCAAGGCAAGTCCATAGAAACCAGAACCATTCTCCCTGAAAGCTAGCCTTAAAACCTAAAAAAAAATTACTCCAATCTTCCCCTGCCTTTCTGTGTAAGAGTTGGCCATAAAGAAACTATCTGGTCTATTTTGCCTGCACGGAGGTCATAAACCCGCATTCCAGAAGGGCCCTGCCCCATACCCAGGAGGAAGGGATGCTGCATGCTGCAGGGAGAGGCTGAGAAGAATCTGAACAGACAGGCCTTGCTGGGTGTCTGCACTCAGTCTGTTAGCATTAGAGCTTCCCCTTTTGTTCACTCACATTTCTACAAAGATGTCCCCTAATCACCCAGCCTAAGCATAAAAACAGACAGTTTTCTGGGGACCTCTGGGGCTTCATTTCTGAAGGTTCCTTTGTCACGTAAAAAAAAACTTTGATCAAATAAATATGTTATGCTTTTCTCTTGTTAACCTGTCTTTTATTACGGGAGTGTCAGCCAGGAGCGTTATGATGGGGAAGTAAGGGGTCATACTCTTTTCACCCCACAGTGTTTTGCAAACACATTTTGTTCAATAAAACCCTAGAACTCATTTTGTAAAGGACATTTTCTATTATTTTCTAAGTAAACATATTTTACAGAAAATTAAAGCCATTCATTTCTGATTTATTTATACTCAGGAAACAATGAACAACCTGCTTTAAGAAGTCATAATAGTTCATTATTATTACATGTATACACAATATGTTCCTTCTATCAGTGATAATAGTTTATTATTATTTCATGTATACACAATATGTTCATCAGTGGGTACTATTGGGTGAAAGCATGATAAAGAACAGGATATATGCGTAGTCTCCAAGTATCCCCCAGAAGTTGCTTATCAATAACAAAGGAAAAACAGTAACTTGCCTGTCGAGAAATTAAGCAGACACCACCTTACCAAGTGCTCAAAGAGAACATCACCTTGGAAGCCATCGCCATCATGTCCCTTTGATTCGATGCATGGTGAAGGTGACAACATCACTATAGTTGTATTTCTGCCAAAAATGCACAACCTGAATCTAATCCCAAGGAAACATCGCACAAACCCAAACTGACACATTCTACAAAATAACTGGCCTGGACTCCTCAAAAAATGTCAAGGTCAAGAAACACAAGAAAAGGCCAAGGAACTTTCTTTTCTCTTTTTTTGAGACAGAGTTTCGCTCTTGTTGCCCAGGCTTGAGGTTGCTTGAACCCGCAACCTCCGCCTCCCGGGTTTAAGCAATTCTCTTGCCTCAGCCTCCTGAGTAGCTGGGATTATAGGCATGCACCACCAAGCCTGGCTAATTTTGTATTTTCAGTAGAGACGAGGTTTCTCCATGTTGGTCAGGCCTGTCTCGAACTCCCGACCTCAGGTGATCCACCTTCCTCGGCCTCCCAAAGTGCTGGGATTATAGGTGTGAGCCACTGTGCCTGGCCCCCAAGATTTTTAAGAGAGGGATTTAGGGGTAATTACTCAAGCTCCAAAGGTTAAGAATCACGGCATATGTAGGAACTGTGCAGTGGTGGTAAGGGCACCAGAGGAGCCAAATAGAAAGCAATGTGTAATTGTTTTTGTGCCAATAAATGAGAATAATAATCTAGAATTAATCAGTCACTCAACAAGCCTTATGTTGATATCTACTTTACCATGGGCCTCTCATTTCAAAAAGTTTAGCAGAAAATTAGCTGGACGTGGTGGTGCCCCCCCTGTAGTCCCAGCTACTTGGGAGGCTGAGGCAGGAGAATCACTCGAACCCCAGAGGTGAAGGTTGCAGTGAGCTGAGAACAGCTGGGCGACAGAGTGAGACTCCGTCTCAGTAACAACAACAACAACAAAAGTTTAACAGCTAAAGTAGGATCACGGAGCTTGTTTTGTGATATTTTTATTATTGATTCTACCATCTCCATATTTCTATCATCTGCACATATCCACCTGCTTTATCCTACTTTCAGCTACACTCCAACTGCCGTACTGAGTCCTATCAGACAACAACTCTAAAGATTTGTAAATAATCACTCAGATTTGTAACAAACGACTGTATCATGTCACTTCTGTGATCAATAATTGGCTATGCCTTTAACATTTTTATATATTTATACTATTTTGAATATGAATAAAAATTTTTTCTGATTTAACTAATCAAAGTAAGAACTCTTACTTTAGAAGTACATTAGGCACATTTAAAATATAGATTTTGACCTTGGAGTTTCTGGAAAAATTATTCTATGTGTCCTCTTTTATGACAATGGAACTGTCACTTAGGATTTACAGAAGACAGCCGGATTCTCATATCTGCTTCTGTATTCAATCCGTTTTGATATGTTGACTGAGTGAAGTATATGAAGAAAAGCCAGCCTCATACAGTATTTTAATAGCTGTTTCAGATACCTGTGGATACTCTTTGAATCTACACCAAACCTTTACAGGTGTAGGTCTTTTTTTTTTTGAGATGGAGTCTCGCTCTGTTGCCAGGCTAGAGTGCAGTGGCATGAACTCGGCTCACCACAACCTCCACCTCCTGGGTTCAAGCGATTCTCCTGCCTCAGCCTCCTGAGTAACTGGGACTACAGGCGCTCGCCACCACGCCTGACTAATTTTTTATATTTTTAGTAGAGATGGGTTTTCACCGTGTTAGCCAGGATGGTCTCGATCTATTCACCTCATGATCCAACCACCTCGGCCTCCTAAAGTGCTGGGATTACAGGTGTGAGCCACCACACCTGGCCTATCTCTTGCACTTTTAATGGATCTCTCCTCATGTATAATTTTGTAATATGATACATTGAAAATATTGGTTCACTGAGTTATTCAGATCTTCCAAATGTTGACATATTTCAGTAGATAATGTTGAAAAATTATATTCATAAAACAACATGATAATCTTATCAGAAAATTTTAAAGTACGGGCAAGCTGCGAAGTTCACAGTGATAGATTCAAGTTTTTAAAATTTTTAAAATTTCTAGTTTTCTTGTGAAAACTCAAATTCTATCCCTGACCAAAAACAGTTTTTTCTTTGAGATCACAGGCCCATTTCACTTGTTTCTAAGAGTATGTCTGTATATTTTTGAGAGACACCCCAATCTGAATAACCATACCCAGCATCTTCGTCATTCTTTCGAGTAAAATTTATGTTCCATGAAAAAAATCAGCTAAGTCAGCTCTCAAGTCCACCAATTTCATAGATTCTATTCTTTGATACATTTGTTGTACTTGGGTACTTGGGCATGCAACAGATACGCTTTATGCGTATGTCCGTTTCACCAGAGAAAATATTAAAAAATACTTCATAATAATGTGAACTCAAGGGCTGAGATGTAGTAAAACTGACTCTTTTTAGTGCTTCATTAAAACATTTCAAGTTTTAAAATTTCTATTTATTTATTTTTAAACCGACATCATCAAGACATTCAAAAAATAAAACTGGCTCTTGTTTGCTTTGATACATGGCAGTGACTACTAGTATGTAATGACTACTAAGACAGTTTGGTGCCACTGGCTTGATTCGTTCTAAGGCACCAACTGGTTTATCCATCATTGCTTTTGCACCATGAATGTCAATGTCCACACTGTGAAAACGGCAAAGAATGCATTAGAAAGCTCCTATTCATCACTTAAGAAAATGCTTTAGAGGAATTTCCTCTCTTGCTTTGGAAAACTGTTCAAAAATATCCTTTAAAGCTGATCATATATACATCCAAAGAACGGGCAATTCTAGTTATATACAGAAGAGGCTGGGCATGGTGACTCACACCTGTGATCCCAGCACGTTTTGAGGCTGAGGCAGGATGATCATTTGAGCTCAGGAATTCAGGATGTGCCTGGGCAACATGGCGAGAGAGACCCCATCTCTAAAAAATTTTTTCAAATTAGCTGGGTGTGGTGGTGTGTGCTTGTAGTACCAGCTACTTGGGCGGCTAAAGTGGGAGGATCACTTAAGCCCAGGAGATCCAGGCTTCCGTGAGCCATAATCATGCCACTGCATCCAAGTCTGAGTGACAGTGAGACCCCTCCTCTAAAACAAAATAAAACCAAAAAAACAAAATATTCATCACAGCACTGTTAGTAATAGCTGAAAACTGGAGACTTCTCAGATGCCATCAACAGCAAATATGGCGTTAGAGGTTAGTAGAAAGATTATCTTTTGCGGTAGGGAAGGTAAAGTTTGGAAGCAGGTAAGGGGAATATAAGAGCATTTATGACTTATTTTCTGTCTCTAATATTTCAATAAAGAATTTATATTAAAACGAATTTGATGAATGAATGATGAGTTCTTGTACTATTTTAAGAATATTTGTTACTTCTCGTCTATACACGTTTCAGAATTGATCTTTCCCACGTACATTCATTCCACATATGTAGTTAGTTTCTGTCTGCTTACTACGTGCTAGACAACTTACACTAGGCATCGGGAAAACAGAGGTAAGCAAAAAGGTACAACTTCTCTCTCTTTATGTAGTCAGCAATGCAGTTTATTTACTTTGAGCAAAATAATATTAGTGTCACCACTTCTGAACAAACCTGGACAATAATTCATTGATGGAATGTTCTGTGACTCAGTTGTTTTTTTTTATTCCTTTCAACTATTTCCTTGATCAGGAAGTCCCTATATCCAGATAAAACTTTACATGTAAAAAATTTGTCTTAATCTTTAGTGGTTAAAGATGTCAAACTTCCTGATTTCTTAGATATTTAGATTTGACCGTATTTAAGCTCCAAGAAAGGAAGCATTTCATTGAGACCACATTTCTTCTGAGCTTGTTTGTTAATGAGAGAGTGATCTGCAAAAGTGCATGCTCTACATTTTCTTCCTTTAAGACTTATGTGAGGCATTATCAGTTCCCCATATTTCTTTGGGAAGGACACAAAGGGACACCATTATCTCCTCCCCATCTTTAAATGTGAGAAGCGTGTGTCCAATTAAATCTAGTACTTCCTCTTCATTGTTCTGTATGAAAATACTGTTTTCCTCTCTGTTTATGTCTACCTATTTTGCAACACAGAGTTAAATTATCTTAAGGACTTGATAACATTTTGGAATGAGAGTTCTGTACAACTCTCAGTTTCCCTAGTCAAATTTGATCAGGCTCATTTCCATGGTGATTTATTTTTCCAACATGCACAACTGCCATTTCAGAATAATTCTTATCTTCAGCCGAACTGTCATGCAGTCTCCCCTTCTGGCTTCTCTTCCTGCATTCCCAGTTCCCATCTCCTTCAACCGCATCTCAATCCATTCACTCCAGCAAGCTGAATACCTCAGGATCCTCCTGCCTGTCTGCTCCTCCTCCTCCCTCCCTCACTCCGCGTACGGCCCCAGCTTGATCACTTAACCCAAACATGTCCTTCCTCCTCTCTCCTCCTTATCCCGACAACTGTGCTTTTTCCAGGCTTTCCATATTTCTTATTTCCAAACCAACAATTCTCCAGTCTTTCCCTCTTTTCTGCTTCACATCTGCTTATATCCACGGGCCACACAAAGGTGTCAGATACAGCATGCAAACCTGAACTTACTGCTCCTCTGATTAAACGCACTACTTTTTTGAAGAATGCATTCACCAGAATGGTTCCTTAGAGCTCGTGAATTTTTGGTGCTTATGCCTTTTATTTATGCTTTATAGGTTGAGGTATTTCTTGAAAATGAGCTCAGTTCTTATGAGCAATTTAAAAAATAATACAAAATATTAGAGCTCTACCTTCAATGGCTTTAGGTTCTAAATGTGAGAAACCGAAGCTCCTACGCACAGTATGAAAGCCGCCTTAGTGCAAGGCGCCTCCCAGCATCTGCACTCTTCCTTCCTTCCTTCCTTTCCTTTCTTTTCTTTTTCTTTTTTTTTTTTTTTTTTTTTGAGACAGTCTCGCTCTGTCGCCCAGGCTGGAGTGCAATGGCATGATCTCTGCTCACTGTAACCTCCACCTCCCGGGTTCAAGCGATTCTCCTGCCTCAGCCTCCTGAGTAGCTGGGATTACAGGTGCCCACCACCATGCCCAGCTAATTTTTGTATTTTTATTAGAGATGGGGTTTCACCATGTTGGTCAGGCTGGTCTCGAACTCTTGACCTCGTGATCCGCCCACCTCGGCCTCCAAAAGTGCTGGGATTACAGGCATGAGGCACCGCGCCCCACCTGTTTTTTAAGAGATAGGGCTCACTCTGTTGCCCAGGCAGGGATGGCAGTGGCACAATCAAAGCTCACCATAGCCACAAATTCCTGGGCTAAAGAGATCCTTCTACCAGCCTCCGAAGTAGCTGGGACTACAAGCGTGTGCCCCCATACCCGGCTACTTTTTTTATTTTTGTAGAACCGGGGTGTTGTTATATTGCCCAGGCTGGTCTTGAACTCCTGGCTTCAAGCCATGCTCCTGCCTCCGCCTCCCAAAGTGTTGGGATTATAGGTTTGAGCCACTGTGCTTGGCCTCAACATACTTTTCAAACGTTAATATATGTGCTCACTAAGGAAACATAAACATGGCAATTTATGTCAACCACCTAGAATGTGCTATAAAACTGTAATACCTTCAGGGGGCTGGGTCATTGTCTTGGCACAGTAAAGAATAACAATACCCTGGATAATAATTCATGTCCGTACTTTAGCTTAGGACTTTTTTCTCTGTTGTCTCATTTCACCTTTATAACATGTCTGATAGGTATTATTTACATTTTAGAGATGATTAAAGGTTCAGAGAAGTTACGTCATTTGTCCAACGTCACACAGTTTCTACGGGATGGAACTGGGTTTCCACTCAGTCTGCTTGATTTCAAAGTCTGTGTTCTTAACACAGAATGTGTAACCTCCTGGGTGTTTGAATTTTTGCGTTATTACTTCTGATGAAAGTGACTGTAAAATAGTTAAGAAGTCTATAAAAGTTTGCATAAATGGTTTTTTTAAATAACAGCTTTATTGAGATACAATTCCCATGTCATAAAATTGGCCCTTTCAAAGTATACAACTCAGCGGTTTTTACTGCATTCCCAGAGTTCTGCAATCACTGACACTACCTAATTTCAGCACATTCTTAACATGCCACAAAAAGTACCATGAGCGGCCACTCCCTACCGCCTCCACGCCCTCGCCCCGGCAACTGCTAACCTCTTTGGGGAACTCTTTGGGTTTGAGTTCCTTTGGGTCTGTCTGTTCTGAACATTTCACATAAATGCTACTTTACAATATGGGTACTTTTGTGTCTGGCTTCTCTCACTTAGCATGTCTTCAAGGCTTATCCAGGTTATCACACGTATTAGTGCTACCTTCTTATGGCTGAAATTTTCATTGTATGGACACACTACATTTTGTTTATTCATTAGTTGGCGAGCAGTTGGATTTTTTCTTCTTTCTGGCTATTATGTATTATGCTATTATGATCATTCATATATAAGTTTTTATGTGGACAGATTTTTTTCATTTCTCTTTGGTATACACCTGGGAGTGAAACTGCTGGTTTATGTAACGATGCTTAATATTCTAAGGAACTATTAAACTGTTTTACGTTCTCACCAGCAGCGAATGAAGGCTCAAATTTCTCCACATCTGGCTAATACTTCTTGTTTTGATTATAGGCAGCCTTGAGAGTGTGAAATGGTATCTGAGGGTGGTTTTGATTTGCATTTCCCTAGTGATGAATAATGTTGAGTATCTTTTCACGTGCTTATTGGTTGTTTTTCTGTCTTCTTTGGTGAAATGTCTACTCAAGCCCTATGCCCATTTTAAATGGGTGTATTTACCTTTTGATTGTTGTGTGTCACTGACTTTAAGTTTAGTGCATCTGTCACTTTTCTATGTTTACTACTGCTTGGAAATCCTTTTAGCTTTGTCTAGTCAAGCATATATTCAAACATCTATAATCACTTACTGTGCTCTGTGCCTGTGCTGGAAACTAAGTCCAGAAAGACATGTCACCTCACCTCTAGATTATGGCAACAGCTTCATCTTTTCCTTCTCCCAATCCATCTTTAACTCTGCACCCTAAATGAATTTTCTAAAGAGTGAATTTGATCATGTCACTTACTTGCTTATTAATCCCTTCTATGCTTCCTTTATTGACTACAAGGCAAAGTTCTAACCCTTTACGATGGGTTACAAAGCCTGCAAAACTGCCCCTTGCCAGGGGCAAAGTTCTCTCTCTTGTTCATTCTCTATTCCCATCTTGGGTAACTTTAGAGGGGTCTTCTAGTTAAATACTCTATCTAATACTTTAATCCCGCCAGCAGATTTACAGAAAAAGTTCATAAAGAATGTATTCATTTCTTATCTACGTTTTGGGGCTGTTGAGCCGTTTACGTTGTTAGCGTGTTAAGTGAAATGTGAAGTCACACAATGCGTGGAGATAAACTTTCATGAAGAGGTCAGTGAGACATACCGGGTAAGGTAGAATACTGAGTAAGGTAGATCCCAGCCAGAAACCTAAACCAGGTCTCAGATAGAAATGAACCATTGGAGCCTCTTAACTCTAGATCTTGAAACAGGTGCACCTCTCTTAAGCCTGTGGCCTGAGAATCCAAGCGGTATTATTTTCTTGCCGTTAATAGAGGCCTTTACATGTTCCAACCTCATCTCAGTTTTACTAAGAAATAAAGAAAGAGCTAGGTGCTCAGGCTTGGGTCAGAGTGTGAAGTGCAGCATGGCCCTTTAAGGACAGTGCTTGTGGTGACAGCAATTAATGATATTCCTCCAAGAAGGTGACCCACCCAGGTGGCAGGACCGGTTCTTGAGACAGGGTCCGGCTCTGTCATCCAGGCTGGCCTGCAGTGGTGTGATCATAGCTCAGTGCCGCCTCGAACTTCTGAGTTTGCACAGTCCTCCCGCCTTAGCCTCCTGAGTAGCTGGGACTATGCCTGGCTAATTTTTAATTTTTTTTGTAGAGACGGGGTCTTGCTGTTTTGTCCAGGTTGGTCTCAAACTCCTGGCCTCAAGCAATCCTCCCATCTTGGCCTCCCAAAGAGCTGGGATTACAGGCATGAGCCACCAGGCCCAGCCTCAGAACTGGTTCCGTGAAGAAAAACTGTTCCTCCCAAGTGGAGATTCTCCCTCCACCAATCTTTAGAGACTGAGTTTTAGTAAACTAAAGGCAGCTGCAGTTTCCTTAGATACCCCACCAAATAGAATCAGTCTTTAATGTTTAAGGAAGAGGGAACTCACTATTTCATTGTCATATGGCTGAAAATAAATCTAGTATATAAACCTAGAAATATAAAGACTTCCTTTTGAACTTGGGCACTAACTAGATATACGACAAAATCTTATCTATTTCTATATGTATATATGTACGTATGTATATAGTCATATGACAATCTCTCTATACGTATATATATGTATGCACGTATACACACACATGTAAAGCAGGGACCATAAAATTCAAAAACAAGCCTGAAGTGGGGTGTATGTAATTCATTGCTGCATAACAAACTAACCCGAAATTAAGCGGCTTAAGGCAATCTTTTTGTACTGTGCATCATTTTGTGGGTTAGAAACTTGGAAAGGGACCAACTCCTGTGGCGTCACCTGGGGTGATCCAGGCTAGATGGCTTTTCCAGTCGCCTTCTTCACTTGCAAGCCCAGCACCTCATTGCTCCTTAGCTTCTCTCTCCACATGATTTCTTATCCTACAGGGCCTCTGCCTGTGGCTGGCTTGGATTGTGCCCAGGAGGGTGGTCTTGGGGTAGTCATGCTTCTTAAACGGCAGTTGGTTTCCAAGGCAGCAGCAAACTAGCAGTAGGTTTCCAAGACAGCAAGGCCTCTTACAAACTAAGCCTGGAATTGGCATAACCATTGCAGCACCATTTACATTATACTGTACTGTACTGATCAAAGCAGTCACAGACCAGCCCAAACTCAAGGGGAAGGAAATAGACCCCTACTCTCACTGGGAGAAGTAGCAAAGAATTTGCAGGCATTTTTTTTTTTTTTTTTTTTTTTGAGACGGAGTCTCGCTCTGTCGCCCA